>NC_000011.10:121414848-121717879 GCF_000001405.40 Homo sapiens | reverse complement strand
CCTTCTTGAGTTTTCTCTCTCCCAGCTATGTTTTTCCAGATCTTTCAGTTACTTTTTATATAACATGGTTTTTGGTCTCTTCATCATCATGTCCACTCTCCCCAAATACATCATCTATCTCTTTCCCTCTTAAATTGGGCTACCCAAAACTAAATGCAAAGATGAGGTTTAACCAGCACAGGCAGCATGCTTATCCCCAATTCTGTTCTAACGCTATGTTTCTCTTACCCAAGTGAACATGGTATACATTTAGGTACACCTGCCAGATTTCGAAGGTGGAAGTGAGTTTCCCTGAATTCTGCCACTGCCACCAACAAGTACAGCTGTGAATACTTTGGGATTTTCTGCAGCAGCACTTGGTATTGCCTAATCACTAGCTTTGTGGGTGATTAAAGACAGTTGCAAAGACATCAGAAGTAGCTTTTGGGTTCCTACTGTGAAGTTGGTAATTCCAGTAGTAGCTTACTGATTCCTCTTCTTCCTGACTGTGGCAGAAGTAGAAACTTTCCTGGCAGACTAAATCCATGGTGTTCCTCTAAGACTCATTCCTGGAGGCTCCACCTAGAGTCTGCTCCTCCAGCACATCCGACAATGTTGTAAGTGCAGATGGTCCCCAACTTAAGATGGTTCAACGTCAGGATCGTGCGAAAGTGATACACGTTCAGTATCCTCCTCTACTTACGATGGGTTTATCATAAGTTGAGGAGCATCTGTACTTAATTCCTTGTATTGAATCCCTTGCTGCTTAAAATGGATAGAGTACTCTCTGTTTCCTGCAACTGTATGGTGAACATTTTGAACAATGAGTAGGATTTCACAAGACAGAAAAGATTATAGCAATTAAAAGATATTGCTTTATATTCACAAATATGTAATATCCATGGGGCTGGAGAATGGATGGACAGATGTATTAAATTTGTGGATGGATGGATGGGCATGGGAAACACTGCCTTCCTGTCTCTATATGCTTATCCCATAAAGTCACAGGTTGGCAATACTGGCTGGCATCTATATTACTGATCAAAATATGTAGTTTGGCTACAGTGATAAATATTCCCATATTGATCAGGACTCTGGGTTACCAGGCACAGAAACACACCTTAAAATGATTCAGGCAAAAGAGAGGTATTAGTAATAGCCCAACAACTGAAAAGGCAGGTGTGGATATGACTTTAGGAACCACTAAGCCAAGGATCAAAGGCTCTAAGGAATCTCTCTCTTCATCTGTCATCTCTACTTCTCTCCAAATACTAGATATCGTCTCCCAAACCATCTTACCTAACAGAATGGGGCATGACTGTCAGCTACTCCAGATTTAGATCCCAAATGCTCCAGAACCAGAGATGAAAATAAAGGCTCTCTTCTCCCAACTGAAATTTGAAAAACCCAAGAGAAAAACTCAGATCACCCTGGTTTGGACCCTATGCTCATCCTTGGTCCATTGCTGTGGCCTGGAAGTGAGGCACTAAGATTGGCCCAGCCTGGACCACATAATCATTCCTGTAGCCAGGGGAGCCACATCAATTGGCAGAAGAATAGGCATGGGGCAGACATAGCAATGCTCGCCCCCTAGGCCTGACATGATCTGAATGACTCACCAATTGCAGCTGTTACTCTTTTAGATGTTAACTCTTCTCAGAGGATTTAAAACCGCTGACAATACTGGTACACTGAGAAGCTGGTTTCAGTGTTACTACTTTGACGCACATGTTTCTTAAATATTTCATCCATGGAGGACTTGGGCAATAAAGCACTTATTTCAAGGTCAGCTATTTGACCGCATCAAAGGTTTGGAATCCAGAAATAAAAAATAGCCTTTGAATAGGTGGATGTTTTAAAAACTTAGTTATAGGTATGACGAAAATGTTTTAGAAATCATTGTGATGGTTACACAACATTGTAAATGTACTAAAAGCCACAGAATTTTACACTTAGAAATGGCTAAAATGGTAAATTTTTAATACATATTTCAACACCGTAAACAATAAAAATAAAGCTATGAATCTAATTCATTGATCTACTCATGCATTCCTTAATTTACCATTTATTTTACTTTAGTCTCAGAGGAAAATCTGGACTGTATGGACATATTTATGGAATAATGGGATCTAACATGCTAGAATTGAAATGATTCTCAATGCACTAAGCTCTCCAAGTGGAAATCCATGATGCCAGAGAATTCTTGGGCTGAAAGTGTTAGCACAGATCATCTAGCTAATCCCCCACTTGTCACTAAAGAGCATTTCACTCCATCCATCCAAGACACCTAATTCATCCTAGACACAGTTGCTTGAACCGGTTAGAAACACCACTGACAGCAATTGCCCTCCCTTGGCGTCATAAGCAAAACTTAGATGTTGCTTTCCAGACTGGAAAGAAATTCTCATATGAAGAATGTTAGTACCGTGCCCCCACCCCTGCCACATCATAGCAAGCCAATGGACATTTACCACCCCACTCCCCCGACTAACAGAAACCTCATTGGAAGAAAAGTGAAGGCTTTCCATTCTCTGCTACAACCTTAAGAACCTGAGACTGTTCTGCAAGAGGAACAAGAAGACATAATGTTTTTTCTTCCTTAAATAACAGACAACACCAAGCTCAGAGAAGGCTAAGCTGTACAGGTGGAGATTGTCTACGACCATTTGAGGTTTTAGACACTGAGAGATTAAAAGTCAACACCATGCTTCTTTTTCTGTCAGTCCTGACTATTGGGCTTCAGAGTAACTATTTATTTCTTCAATGAGAGGCCCTTATGGAGAAGCCACATTTGCAGAAAGAATTTATGACATTTCTGTACCATTGGGTTAAATCAGAGAGATGTTCTCTAGTTAACTGACCGAAGCCTGCCATCTCATGTCATTTTCACTTTTAGATTTCCTGGAACCTCTTTCTTTCATTAAAAAAAGAACAAATTCCTATAGTTTATTGTTTATATACATTATGGAAAAATCAGAAAGTAACAGGGAAAAAACGGGGGAAAAAAGTAAAACTTCTGTCATATATTCCCTTAACAGATATTTATTGAGGGCCCACTACATGTCAGGGTGATGCTGCAGTTGTCTATTGCTGTGTAACAAACTACCTACAAGCAAAGTGGCTGAAACAAGTATTTTATTGTGCCCACAATTTTGAGTGTCAAGAATCTGGGGATGGCTCACCTGGATTCATTTGGCATCTGATGAACTAATGGCTGGAGAATTCTTTCAAGATGGCATCTTCACTCACGTGTCTAGAACCTTGGTGCTCCTTGACCATGTCTCTCTTTCTCTCTCTCTCTCTCGCTCACTCGCTCTCTCTCTCTCTCTCTTCCCTCTCTCTACCTGCTGTCTCATTGTCCAGGGCTTCTCCACTTAGCTTGGATTCCTCACAGAATGGCTGTCTCACAGTAGTCATATTCCTTACATGATGACTAATTCCCCATACACATGTTCCAAGAAGCCCAAGTGCAAGTCCTTGAGCATCACTTCCACCACATTCTATAGGTCAAACTGAGCCATGAAAGCCAGCCCAGATTCAAGCCCAAGTGCAAGTCCTTGAGCATCACTTCCGCCACATTCTATAGGTCAAACTGAGCCACGAAAGCCAGCCCAGATTCCAGGTGAGGGAAGGAATAGACCCCACCTCTCCATGGGCATGTGGCGTGCAGATACAGCGAGGAAAAGACTCCATGGTGTCCAACTTGGGAAGAAGCTGCCACATACAGTGCCATCAGAATCTGGAAACGGTCTCTGTTCTCTCTCTCTCTCTCTGTTTTTTAGAAATGGAGACTCACTATGTTGCCTAGGCAGGTATCAAACTCCTGGGCTCAAGCAGTGCTCCCATCTTGGCCTCCCAATGTGCTGGGATTATAGGCATGAGCCACTGCGCCCACCCTCACAGAAAGAATAGGTGATGCAAGCAAGTAAACAGGTAATTACAATGATGGAAGATGTATGCTGTGGAACAGGAGTACATTAAGAACTCAACCCAGGCTTTGGAGGTCCAGAAAGGGGTTCGGAAATACTTTACGTGAGTGAGACTTGGGCTAAGCTTGGGTTGGTTGCAGGAAAGAGAAAATGGAAGAGATGGTGTTCTAAAAATGGAAACAATATGCTGGATAGCCCAGCAGAAAGAAAGAGTATTTGCATCTCAAAAACTGAAATAATTTCGTTATCTCAATAGTGGAGTGAAAAGGTGTGGACGTTGAAAGATGAAGTAAAGGGAAAAGAAGGGACCAGAGCATAAATCACCGTTCTTTCACATGTGAAGGTAGACATGCATTAAAAGATGCTTTTTTACAAAAATGGGTCCGTGCCATTCATAAGGTTTTGTGATCTACATGTTATCACTTAATGTTAACGTCTTTTTCTTTCAATGAATACACTTCTAAAATAGCACTTTTAAAAATAAACAGTATTTATTTATTGGTTCCATGTTACTTTATTTATTGAATCTGTGAAATATTTAGAGTGTTTCTCATTTCTTTTTACATTTATCTTTATAGCTAAGTCTTAACAGTTTTCAGTGATAACTTCCTAGGTACAGTTTTTGGTTCAACGTGTATAAATAGGTTTCTTTTGTTGCTGTTTTTTGTTTTTTTGTTTGTTTGTTTGTTTGTTTGTTTGGTTGGTTGGTTGGTTGGTTGGTTGGTTTTGAGATGGAGTCTCACTCTGTCGCCAGGCTTCAGTGCAGCGGCTTGATCTCAGCTTACTGCAACCTCTGCCTCCTGGGTTCAAGTGATTCTCCTGCCTCAGCCCCCGGACTAGCTGGGATTACAGGTGTGTGCCACCATGCCTGGCTAAGTTTTGTATTTTCAGTAGAGACGGGGTTTTACCATGCTGCCCAGGCTGGTCTCGAACTCCTGACCTCAGGCGATCCGCCCACCTAGGTCTCCCAAAGTGCTGGGATTACAGGCGTGAGCCACCACACCCGGCCATAAATAGTTTTTTAAGGTTTTTGGTACATAGCATCAACTCATTCTCCAGAAATTGTTATGAATATGTAGTCCCACCAGAAATTCAGGAGCATACATGCTTCCTACATACTTTCCACCAGGAAGAAAAACCATTTGGTTTCTATGTTTGCCAATTTGACAAGTTTCCATTTACATTTCTGCCATTACCTTGGAAACTTAACTTTTGTATTCTGGTAGTTCTTTTTTTATGTAAGCTTCTTAAGATAATAAATATCAAAAACAGTTAAGTGGCTAGACTTCAAACTTTAAAATTCTATAAAAATGTAATATCCAGCAAAATTTAATCCATGAGAAAATTGAAACTGTGGTTTGACAATACCTCTGTCTCCCTTTGTTTCCTCTTAAATGCTTGCCTTTGAACTATTCTGAAATAGTCACAGTGGCTTGGTATAGAAAGAAGAGGAAGTCAAAGGACTGTGGCTGTATCAGAGATCCAGACTGAGTTCAATTCCAGTTAAATAGGTGAAATGGGGTGAGTGGGGACCTTATTTCATTCATGATAGCTCATTGGCTCCCTCCTTTAATGCACTTAATGATCCTGTGGGCTTAATGACTGTTGCAATTAAAGTCACCCTACTTAAGCATTGTGAATTACATTATGCTTGTTAGTGGCTGCCTTTGATAAAACATAATAGCAAGTCTTCCCTTTAACATCATAACTCATTTTAAATATTGCTTTTCCGTATCTGTCTTCCCCAGTTGATTTATTACCTGGTACTCCTAAGAAGTGTAATAAAAAGAAAGTTAGGACTTGAGTAATTCTTTCAGTGTCTAGAGAAGCAGGCAGCCTGGGGGAGATGGCCTTCTCATTGGCCAGCCTAAAAATGGTGATGGAGAAGAGAGTGACTCATCTCATTTAATCAGGAATGACATTAGACACATACAAAAGGAAAATATTAACATTCCCTGGCCTCTTTGCTGTCCCTTTCTTTAGATAGGCAATCAACAAAGGCTGGGCCTCTACCAGGAGAATTTGAGATATTTACCTATCTAGATAAACCCAGGGAATGGATTTGAGGGCCAGGACTTGGGTAGGGGGTAGTTAGTGTTGCATGCCTGCTCTTGTCTACTTAACTTTACCAATGAAAGTTTCAACATAGAGATTCACCATCAAAACTGAGCAACAAGCCGGTGAAACTGATCAATAAAAAACGGGCGGGGGGGCGGGGGGAACAACCAAGATCCTCATGTTGATTTTTTGTTAAGTTCCCTACACGCTCATCCCCACATCATAGGAATCATTGTTTCATTCTCTTCCTCACTTTGTTCTTGCAAATCAAATCCCAGTCTTTTGGCCATTGAGTCCAAATATTTGCTAGAGATAAGCCCACCAAGGCCTAATGTTGTTTTGACGTGAATTCATACCTCTTTCATCCAAAAACCTTCATCCTTACTCATAACATTCACTCAGGATGCATTTGGAGTTGGGAAGGTATTCATTGTAATAGGTATAACAAAGCTAATGATTTACAGTAATTCCACTCTGATGAGTCTCAAGTGACATCATACAGAATTATAGGTGGAAAATATCTCTTATACACCATCAAGTTCTTGGATACCAGTGGAGGAATTTCCTCCATGTATTGTTTTAGTGTTTCTGTAGTCAGCTGCCACTGACTCCACCATGATGTTTCCATAAATAACAGAATAAAGCGTATTCCATTTTATATACACCAACTAAAGATTTTGGGGTAGCAGATAAAAAGAAGAGTTCACAAATTCTTGCACAATATCATCTTCTAATAAAATAACTTTTTGAGAAGAGAGTGATTAAGTAGAAAATGCACTGCAGCAGGAACACAGAGCCCTGTGTATCAGACTTCTTTCTGGTACCGCTCTGCTGTCTTCCCTTAGATCAACAGTTTTAACTACAACAGACCTCAGTTTCCTCATCTATGCAAAGAAGGGTTAGACTATACTATCTCTAAATCCCTTCAAGCTCATAATGACTATGATTCCACATTGCTATTCTGATCACTTCTAATGTGTTTGTGTTATAAATTTAGTAATTTTCCCTTTCAAGGCATTTTTCCATGAAGATATGCATTCTGAAAGCATTTGTCCCATCTTATTTGGAAAAAATAAAACAATGATGTAAAAGTTTTAGAAGCAAGTCAAATATAATTATATATGTGTAATATTGTTATACATTACTACATAATTATATATTCTATTAAAAGCATTTTACATATTAGTTTTATATATTTATATATAATCTATAATATAATAATATTTATATAGAAATATGTTAATTAATATTTGACTTGCTTCTAAGAGCTTTTACATCATTTTATATATATAAAGTATCTATACATACCTTTTTGGTGTTGAACTTTTAATTTACTTCCAGAAAAAAATTAACAATATTTAGTAACACAATTAACTGGATTCTCATCTTCCATTTTTAATGTATGCTTGAATTAATTCTTCAATTTTAATATAATTCCTTACATTACTATGGTCTACTATTTTCTTCCTAATTTGCTAGAGTATACTTATCGTAGACAAGTCTGTTGCCTACATTTTGTTTCCTTGGAAATAACAACAAAAACAACAACAGTAGCTCACACTTGTGTACCACTTATAGCCATTTATTAAAGTTTTTTGGATAAAAGGGGTATGAATTCACACGTTATTTAAAATTAATGCCATACTCATCAGGATTATATTAATAGCACTAGATCATCAGTTGAGAAGATATCATCTATAATTTCACCAAAAATTTATCTAAAAATAAATTAACATTAAATATCATTTATTAAAATGAGATTATCCAAGAGTACCCTCTTTAAAAAACAAATAAACTCAGCAAAGCAGTTTAAGTAATAAAATATAGAATGAGTACAGTGAAATTGGCACTCATCCATTAATGAAAATATATATAATTGGTATAATATTTCTGGAAATAGATTTGGAAAAATGTACCTATAAGCTTAAGAATATTCATACCTTAGTGATTCCTCTTCTATTACTATATATCCAGAAAAAAATCTGAAACACAAAGTCTTCTCTTAATAAAAATACTCATGTACAAATAATTTATAATAAAGGAAAATTGGGTCCAGTCTAAATGACCAGTACAAGGTAATGGTGTAGTAAATTAGGGTCTATCCATATGATGGAACAGTATGTAGTTAACTAAAAAAATTTTTTTTCACAATTTTTAATGACATGGAAAATGTCTTTGATGTTCTATTAAGTGAAAAATGTCATTAAGTTACATGTTAAAATTTAATCTTGAAAATTGCATACCCCATAAAAATAGAACAAAATACTTCAATATTGTATTATTATTATTTTCTTCTTTAAACTTTTTGTAGTTTCCAAGTTTTCCAAATTGAGCATCTGCTACTTTTAAAATCAGGGGAAAAAAATCCATAGAAATAAAAAATTAATATGAAAAGACTTCTTGTATTTTGAGATCTGGAGTTGCCAGAATACGCAGAGGAAGGAAATGTTTTGGTGGATTTACTGTTGTGACAAGAAAGATTAATTAGCAATCCCTTTCTAAAGCTCTTTGCTGAAAATCAAGCAATCAGCCAATAAGTGTTTTCTGAGGATCTATAAGATACTTTAATTCAGGGCTCTGCCAGCTGTTGTCATCCAGACCAGACCAGACACCTTGCAGGGGTTCCAAATAACTACCATTTCGGGAGCACAAACAGGTGTCAGGCAGACCCTGTGCCAGGCAGTGGGGATACCAAGTTAAATAAGACCGTGTCCCCTGTGCTGTCCCAGCCCTAACTGAAGATTAGATCTATAGCAATTAACCCAGAAATACAGAAGCAAATGTCAGACTAACAAAAGCAATAACGTTTTGCGGAATAATTGTGGAAAGAAAATTTCACCTGGAGAGCTCAAAAAAAGTCTTTACAGAAGGACAAAAGAAAAGTGAGCCTTGCAGAATGGACGGGATTACAATAGAAAGTAAGATGATACCCTCCTGCCCCCTCATCCAAGCCAGGCCAAAGAACAAGATGGACCAAAGGCCAGAGGTAGGGAGGAAGCCAGGTCAAGAAGGGATCTTCCTGGTAAGAGCAAGGGTGCTCTTTGGAGTGGTGGGCATGTTTTCCCGAGGGCATTAATTCACTTTCTAAATCAGTACATGATGGGCCTAAGTCTTTGCTCAATTACTGCAGACATTTTTGTGCCTTAATAATCCATTGAAACATTAAATACTACAATATACGTCCATAAATGCACATGCCAAAGGCATAAGATATTGTTCTAAATAATAACTGTAATCCCTCACCTTTGTATAGCACCTTTCCATTTACAAAGCTTTTTCTCTGTGGTTTATCTCATCTGCTCTTCACAGGCACCCTATGAGATGAGTCTTATTATCAGCATTTTACCAATAAGGACAAACACTCAAAGAGATCTGATGAATTATCCCCAGTTACACCACTAGTAAGTGACAGTTGGGTTTCAAACCTTCTAACTCCATTGCATTTTTTCCTTCACCACAGCTGCCTGTGACCTGGGGACACACCCTGGAAGTCCAATTCTATTTTACCTCATTCTCAATTTCATTTTAATCACTGTCATCTTCTTCTTTCTTCTTGGATTACAGAGAACAGAGGATTCTGTTTAGATTGGATTTAGAGTCATCAAAGCCATTCTCTACTTTGAAAGTGCTTTCACACCTCATTCATCCTTACAACTTTTCAGGTAATTCAGACAAACTGAAAACTTTACTTTAGTCTAAGTACACTGAGGACAGAACAGGAGCCAAGGCAGTAGAAGCAGGCAGAGAGAGGAGATGGAGTCAGGAAGAAGCAGCTAATTTACTGAGCCTTTTGACTCAGTTTGTGCTGCACAGACTTGGATAAAAAAGGGCCCTACACATGCTGAGGATGTTAACAAGTACTCAGTACTTTTGTCCTTCCAGGTTGACAGACTCCTGGAAATATAAAAGGTATAAAATCCCTCTTTAGGAATTACATTTTTGTTGCACCACTTTTACTACCAAAGCCTTTTTCAACATTTGGTTCCATAAGTAAAACAGTTCTGTCATATGGTTTCAAGTAATCTTCACACTTCTAAAATTGAATATGGCTGCCAACTAATATCGCAAGAACTAAATAGATGACATCTGGAAAGAAGAATTTTAAAACCCACAGTTTCATTACCCCCACCTGTGTCTTTATAGGCAGTGTGAAAGGGAGAGGTGAAGCAGCAAAGGGAGTCTCTGAAGCACTTTGAAAAAAGATAGGAGGGAGAAGCTGATGTGAAAAGTCTGATTTATCATCTGCATTGTCCTGATTCACCAAATGCATCTCAAACAGGGTGAATAAGAAGGTTGCATATGAAACCAATGCTTTTAGGATATCTTTACAACCAATCATCTCCCCAAAACACAAATGCTATTGCTTAAATTATCATGCTGGCCGTGGAACTGAGCTAGGAATAAATGTACAAATGAATCAATGACACTTATTGAGCACCTCCAATGTCCCCAGTCCGTGGAAAACATGGTACAGTGTAACTTTAAGCAAATCATTAAATACTTCTTACTCCCAATTTGGATACTAATAATACTGGCTCTTCCAACCTGACAGAATTATTGTGAAGCTTGAATATGGTAATGTATGTGGAAGGGATTTATAAGCTCTAAATGCCAGAGAAATGTAAAGTGTCATTATTATACAATGAAGCATTGCATCTGACCCATGCTCATAAAGGAGCTTGCAACCTATTTAGAGGAATAAAGCATAAACACATCAAATTCCAGTAACAGCATAATGATTAAATTATAGAAATGATAACACTACAAGTCGTTTGGCAAGATAATATGGAGCTATTTGCAAGTGAGAGGTACAGACAATGAGATTTATGACTTTAAAATGGATAACAATCTCAGCCAGCTGGAGTGATGTGGACAGAAGAGACTCTGGGTCTAGTCTTAGATGGTGAGTAGAATGAGCATGAAGAAGCAGATAAAAGCCTTGCAGCAGACCCAAGCTCCTACCTAGATCCAAGTGAAGGCATGATGAGGTGGGATTAGCAAATCACCCTTTCATGTGGTCTACTGTCTGGGGCCAGCTGAGGTCAGATGTTGCTACATCAGGACACGGGGTAGATTTGGAAAGAAGTCCATGAATACTACTGTCTCATAGAGATTCAATCTGGAGTCTGTTGGCCACCCATAATCAAGAACCACCAGGATCCTCATGCACTTCTTTGCCACGTCATTCTCATTCACATTTGCCTCATCCAATAAACTGCAAGATGTCTTACAAGAAGAGAATATATTTGCCAAGCATGGTATTCCCTACTTGGGGCAATCGTATGTTACGCTGTAGATGGTAAACTAAATTCCAAGTGGGAAACATGGGAGCAGAGATAAAGAGGGCAAAAACACAAGATGTGACTCATTTTAAAACCATTCACAGGCTGGGCACAGTGGCTTACGCCTCTAATCTCAGCAGTTTGGGAGGCCGAGGTAGGTTGATCACCTGAGGTCAGGAGTTCAAGACCAGCCTGCCCAACATGGTGAAACCTCATCTCTACTAAAAATACAAAAAATTAGCTGGGCATGGTGGTAGGTGCCTGTAATCCCAGCTACTCAAGAGGCTGAAGCAGAAGAATCACTTGAACCTGGGAGGCAGAGGCTGCAGTGAGCCGAGATCGTTCCATTGCATTCTAGCCTGGGCAACAAGAGCAAGACTGCATCTCAAAAAGGAAAACAAAAAATTCACTTAGCTACACCTATGTCAGAAAACTCTATTTATGAGGATGTGCTGGATCCCAGGCAAAAGTGGCATGAGGGGATTATGAGGCGTATTTGAGTTGGTTAGAGCAAGGTGGTAGCATGACCAAATTCAGAACTTCAATCTTCTGTTCATTCATCCACAGACGAAAAAGCAGTTAACTATCACAATTTGCTGGATGAAGGAAGCTATACAATCCCATCCAATCATCCCACTTGTACACAGTGTGGGTCAGAGGGTCATGTCATTCAGAACAAGGAGCAGATGGCTCAGTCCAAACACTACAATGCGTAACATGCTTGGAGAGCATGTCAGAGCCCATAGCACTATTCAGTCCCTTTCCCTCTCCCAAATGTGGTTCACCATTGGCCCGCCATTGCCTCGCACTGTGTCAGAGACATGTCCCATCTGCATCTTTGCTCAAGCTCTCTCTCTTGCCCCTTTGGCTTTCCATTTCTCTCATGGTTCAAACTGTCTCCTTTCACCAGGACTCAAATTTTAGTTGCTGCCTCCACTGCAGGGCCATTCCTGATGCCACAGTCCCCAGAGTGTTCCCGTTGTCTGAACTCCTGGAACACTCATGGTGCCTTGCATTTTGGCTCTTGGATAACTTCCTTGAACTTGGCATGGCACTTTGTATACAGTAAGCTCTTTTTAAATGTGTGTTTAAGAAATTAATTCCAGTTACATAGGGTGGGAGTAAGGGGTGGCTAGAAAGAGCAGGATAGAACATTGTTTTGGGCTTATGTATTTGGAATATAAATGTCTTATCTCCCAAAACAGCACACCTGTAGTGACATCAGTAATAGTAATGACAGTGGTTACAGTAGGATGAGGAAAAGGAATAGTGTGATCCCTGGATTTTTAAATAATATTGACAGGAAGACAATATTTGTGTTTACCAGTACAGTCAAGGATATCCACAGAATTGAAGACATTATCTAAATAATTGGAGTAAACAAACTAAACAAGGAAACATAAAAGGCAAAAAAGTGAGAGATTATTATCTCCTGTCCCTGTCCTTTCCCTCTTCTCCAAAATCCAGTCAGTCTCAGGTCTTAATGGGTCTCCCTCTAAAATCTCTCCCACATCTATCCCCATTTCTAGATCATCCTTCTATCTGGGCTGTTACAAAGGCCTCTTACCTTATCTCTGCCCCTCTAGCCTTTCCCCTTCTTTAACACATCCTTTCAGGGTAGACAATGACTTCATAATACTCCTATCTGAGTGTGTCCCTCCTTGGCTTACTAAGTCATGAAAAACCCTCATCCCACCCTATACCCTTAAGGATGAAGGCTGTACTCCTAGACATGGCTTCCTAATTTGGTCTTAAACCACCTTTCCGGTTTTATTTCTCCCTATGACCCCCCACATCCTACCCTCTAGACACATCAGTCCAACTGGTCACCACGCCCCCCACTCAAGGGTGTCTTTTCACACCTTGTCCCAGTGTCCGTACCGCGCCTGTGCTTTGCTACCTCCTCCTCACACTCCCACTCACCCCCCAAAAACCAGTTTCCAAGTTACTTCTGGGAAGCTTCTCCCACCATGGCTCGCACCCTACACTCTGGCTCCTTCCTCAGCTTCCTCGCACAGGAGGATCACAATTACTTGCTGACATGTATCTTTAATCTCACTGCCCTGAGGTCCTGCAGAGGTGGAGGCTGGGTCTCATTTATCTCTGCATCCTCAGGACCTGGCACAAAGAAGGGGCTCAGGAGCATCTGTTGTCTGTTGAGTGAATTCAGCTGGGTGGGCTGCCCACTCTCATCAAATCTGGATCCCATGGCCAGCTCTTCACTCTTCTTTGTCCCTGTAGCTGCGTGTTCTTTGCCTTACTCATAGTTCACCCTGATGTGCTCATATGAATGAGAAATTAATGAAAATGAAATGATGTTCTGTGGGATGAACAGAGAACACCAGGTCCTTGATGATCAAACAGAGCGTTTCTAGAAGAAGTCTGTGTGCCCTGATTCATTGTTCTTTTTCCTCTTCTTCCAAATCGAGTCAGTCACAGGTCTTACTGATTCTCCCTCTAAAATGTCTCCCACATCTATCCCCAGTTTTTAATCATCCTTGAGCCCTTGCCTTATCTTCTCTGGGGCAAAGTAAGGAGAAATCTCTTGGCCTGACGCTCCTGCAAATGTTCTCAGATTCACAGCCTTCCTCTGTCCCGGAGAGCAGTACCTAGAACACCTGCTTCCCTCGTGGGCCTCCTTTGACACCCCTCTCAGATCTTCAAGGCAATATGATGAGAGGGGACACTGGGTTATGAACCCAGATGCAGAACTTCTCGTTCCACTGCTGCTGCTGATACCTGGTGTGACTTTGGTCAAAACGTTTCCCCTCTCTGCTTCTCCATTTCTTTTCCCACTGTCAACTTGGAAAAAGCCTCTCATAATAAATAAATCTTGATGAGGTTTTCTAGCAGAAGATACACTCTAAGGAACTTTAGCCCTAACACTCAGGCTCTGGAATCCTATACTTCTCATTTCCCTGTCTGCTTGCTCTCCCTCTCCTCTCCTCCCCTCTGCACATGCCCCCACCAAGGCCCACCAAAGCCTTGACATTTTATTAGAGTTTATTTCATTACTACCTTTGTCTCAAGACCTCCTACCAGAAATAGGAAGGATGAATATAAAAGATCTATTTCCTTTCCATTGTGTTTTCCCCTCCCCTTTCTAGTGAAAATGGACTATTTGGAGAAGCCAAAATGCCTTTGAATTGAATTCACCAAAGTCATATACACAAGGTTTTAATTTACAGTTTGGGGTCTCCAGGCCCCTGCATATGAGTTCTATAAATGAGACGTGTTGCTACAATCAGTCCCATTGGGAGAGGCTGGACTTAGACTGAGAACAGCTGTAGAGCTGAAATCCAACAAAGTCAGCTTCTGAATCAGATATGAATTATTGGTTCAGTCACAAAGCTAAGGATATGCTTTCCCCACAGGCACTCACATATGGCCTTTGGCAGAAATGAAAATATCTTCTCCCGCCTTTACTGGGTTTGGTGAATAATGAGCCATTATTCTGCATACTTTCTTACATCTTAACTTTGCTTCTCTTTGTTCTCATTCTGATTTCCTCGCCAAAGCCTCAGAACAGTCACCTGTACAAGGTGAAGCTAACAGCTCTTATGAACCATTTAAAGCTCATGGAAGCCAAGGCGTTCAAGAGAGGGTTCCCAGCCTTGGCTGTACACTGGGAATACATGAGGATCTTGCAGAAATCCCAGTGCCCACACTGCACCCCAGACCAATTAAATTGGAAACTCTGGGAATGAGACCAAGGCATCTGTATTTTTTAAGCACTGAGGTGATTCTAAGATGTAGTCAGCGTAAAACCCACTGCTTTAAACTCAACTATGTCTAAGCCATGTCCAGCCTTCTCCCTATCCCCAAACAACGTGTAAGAAATATGGGTGCAAAATAGTTTCTTCTTGAAACTGAAATTTATAAAATCTTCAGGTCCTGAGACCAAGACTTGTCTTCTAAACCAAGGTGTGTAGCTGAAACCTCAAAAAAATGTACCCAACTATTTTAACTGTTGGAGTTAAATTTCTGGAGTACCCAACTATTTTAACTATCTGGTCTTTGAAACATTTGATTATGAAGACTGGAGGCTAACAGGGAACAGTGAAAAATGTACCAGAGCTGAATGACAGGTAAGCTAGGTCTGGCAATGTCTGTTTCTGACACTAGTGTCAATGGAGAAAAGTCTGTTTGAATTTTGGAACTTCATTTTTGTCATCTGTAAATGAAATGTGGAGGTTGAAAGTCTTTCAAATGGAAAATATCAGGTTGATCAAAGATGTAGGAAGTGCTACTCCCTGTTAAGCACCACCCATCTAAGTATAGCCATGCGCCCTCAAGAAATAAACATAAAAATAGTAAATAAATAAACCTTGCCCTTCCCAGAATTGCCAAATATTTGGAGAGAAAAGCTGAAGGAGGTTTGGATCAAATCATCCAGATACAGGATCTTCATCTTGACACTGGACAATAGAACAATAGAGCAATCACTCTCTTTGTCATTTCAGCCATGATAAGGGCAGGAATCTTTCTGTCTAGGTAGGGAACACAAATCCCTCTGAGCCCCCTCTCCTTCCTCTGCTATAAAGGATCGGGCTCACCCATGAGTTGACTGAAGACCTCTAGTTTCTACATGACCATCTTCATGACCTGTTGCTATAACTGTTAGTTCTGAATCATTCAGATCAGCTTGGGCACGACCTATACTTAAGCAGTTAGTTTTCTCCTTTTCTGAATGACAAATAGATGGTGTTACAGTTGAAAATATCCTGCTCTCCTGCCTGACTCACTGTCAAACACCGTGCTGGATTCTTCTCTCTACCTTGAACTTGGCACACAATTGTTTCTATAGTTAAATAATCTCCTAAATCTCTTTAACCTATATCTCCCTTTTCATCTCCATTGCCGCTGCCCTGGTTCAGGTCCTCCATTCTTGGGGAACTTTCTTCCCTGGACAATTGCAGCAGCCTCCTGATGGGTGCATCACCCATTCCCACCCGCAGTGCTTTGTGAATCACTGACACATATGAAGCATCATGCTTGGTGCTCAAGATAAATCACCCTGGTCTTGCCTTCCAGGAGTTCCCAATCTAGCAGATGAAACACAGACAAGGAAATCACTGCCACGATTTGGTAAATTTTTAGCTGTGGTATCAAAAATGTGGCTATTTCTGGCTATCAAAATCAGAGAAGGCTTCAGAGCAGAGGGAGTGTTTGAGCTGAGGGGCATTCCAAAAAGAAGGCACAGCATGTACAAAGGCCTGAAGTTAGAAAGGATGAGAAGTCATTATCAGATTGCAAGTAGCTCAATCCAGTGGGCAGGCAGAGGACAACCTGTTATGACCAGGGGCTAATAAAGGAGGCAGAAGGCATATCCTTAAGAACAACTACAGATCCACATTGCAGTGAGAAATTTGGATTTTGTCCCAGGGTCCGTGAGGCGCCATTGGAGGATCTTAAGCCACCAGGGTCCATGAGGTGCCACTGGAGGATCTTAAGCTGGGGAGTCACGTGATTATATAATACTTTAGTTTTAGAATTCTGTCTTGTTAGAAGATGGGAAGATGCCTTGAAAGAGATAAAGCATGGGAGCAGGTGATGCTGACAGACACAGAACGTTGCAAAAGTCCAAGTGACAAAAGATGAAGCCTAAATGAAGGTGGTGACAGCAAGAGTAGGGAGGAAGCAAAAAAAAAAAAAGTAGGTATTTGTCCTGATTTCCTCCTGGAGTGTGGGTCTGGCTTTTTGTTTTTGTTTTTTAACATGTATTGACTATTTCCTCACTTTCACACATATACATATATTACTTAAGTCTCAAAACACTGCTGAAAAATAGGTATTTATATCTCAGTTTTACCAAGGAAGAAACTGAATCAGAGAAGTTAAGGAACTCACCCAGAGCCACACAGTGAGAGGCAGAAGCAAGCCTGGTACCCAGATTTTCTGACTCCAAGTGATATTCTCTTTCAAATACATCTTCACTAAGCAGCCCCAGACTCATTCTTGTTCTATGTCTTTCCCATGCCACACTGAAGCATGGCAGATAAATCACTTGTCTGGGCATAACTTTGTTCATCCAGAAGGCAGCTGTGCTAAGAGCCTACCTCTGGAGTCTGAGCAAATTGGGTCTTATTCCTTAAGTAGTAATCCTCGAACCTTAGTCTCCTCAGTTGTCACAAGAGGACAAAAACATCAACCAACAGGATTGCTGTAAGGGTTAAAAGAGATCAAAGCACCTAGTACAATGTCTGGTACCGGTCTGCTCTCAAGAAACGGGAACCATTTTTTTTTCTTCAGAATAGTCAGGAAAGAGTTGAGCCATAACCAGAAGAGATATATATACTAGTGGAAGTAGGAAATAGCTGTAAGGCTGGAGCTGAGAAAAAATTTTTGGCCTGGTTTTAATATCTTTCCTGTCACCTCCAAGATAATTCTTTCCAGTTCTATTTGTGTCACTGAGGTCACTACAGAAAACGCCCCCTAACACCCTCCGCAAACAAGCCTAATACCAAGCTCAGTAGATTCTTGTGCTGAGCTACTTTGGGGGGTTTTCTGTTCTTTTTATTTTTTTCCCTCTCTCTTTTCACGCTAGAATTAAGAAACCTGTAACTTGCTGCTTATCTCATTATCTCCTGCCTTGCATTTTAATGCGTCGCCTCTAAAAAGACCTCATTGATATTCAAGTTATGTATGTGTTTGTTTGTGTCTCTCGGGAAAATTTGCTACCAATCTTCCAAGCTGAGCACCAGCATCTTCACAGCTCAAAGTTGGTTCTCTCTTTTGTAAAGGAAAAAAAAAAAAGGAGATGGTTTGAATATTTTGCATCTACAAGCAGCTGTAAATAGAACAGCTCAAGAGTCTCAATCCAAATCTATGCACAAAAAGGCAGGTGAAGAATTGGGAATCTTCCCGGGATGCTGGGTTATGTCGATGAATAATTCAAGTCTAAAAGCTCTTAAAAGGACACAGTTACCTGGTTTTCCAGATAATTAGAGACCCCGACAGAAAAGGTTTTAACCTAATTTAACCAAATAATTAACCAGATCATCCAGAAAAGAGCAAGCTTTTTATTCTGGGTAAATTATCCAGCGTTTCATCATTATTAGGTAACTAACAACCTTCTCCATTACTGCTACGTAGAGTCTACACTGTGGACGGGGCTGAATCAAGCCTGGAGTTAACAGGTGACATGAAGAAAATAAGGAATTATCTAACAAAACCTAGTTGCTCTTTTCAAGTATATAGAGCATGGCTACCTCCACAAAAGCACACTGGAAGTGCCCTGGAAAGCTGAGGCAATTATCTTTAACAAAGCAAAATATCCTACCATTAGGAAAAACTGGATATAGTGGATACCTGATTTTACTGACTTTTTTCACAGGTTGAATTCTTTGAAGAATGTCTTGCTTCAAATGACTGCTTATGTATGAATACTGGGAGACAGAAGTAGATAGACCATTTTTATGGATCTGACGTTATGACTATTACTGCAGCTGGTGAAATCTTCCTATTTTATTAATCAGCTTCTACTTCCCCCAAGATAACTCATTGAGATCCTTGAGGAGTTAACCATTGCTGCTAGTTATAAAACATACCATTTACTAAGTGCCAAACCTATCCCAGGTCTTTAACATATATTACTTCATTTAAAGGCGGAAAAGGCCCTTCAAAGTAAGTTTCTATTATTCCCATTTTGTTGAGGGGGCACTGAGATTTTGAGCGGTAATGGGATCAAGAGAGGCAGTGACAGGCAGATTGACTCCAGAATGAATGCCCTCTGCATGCTGCCCTGAGTCTACCTGTCTAGAGCAGTGCTATATGAACATAAGGCTTCCCTAACTTTCAGCATTGCCTACATCACACATTCAAAATAGTGAATAGAACACTAAAGACAATCATAAAAAAAAGATGGAATACAAAATTTGTCATTACTTTTCACTCTTTAGAGGCAAATACAGATAGGACAACTTGTTGATTTAAAATATGGTGGTCAGAGTCGACCTGGATTGAATTCCTTTTTTTTTTTTTTTTTTTTTTTTTTGAGACACTCCTTCACCCAGGCTGGAGTGCAGTGGTGTGATCTTGGCCCACTGCAACCTCTGCCTCCTGGGTTCAAGTGAATCTCCTGCTTCAGCCTCCCAAGTAGCTGGGATTACAGGCACCTGCCACTACACCCAGCTAATTTTTGTATTTTTAGTAGAGAGGGGGTTTCACCATGTTGGCCAGGCTGGTCTCAACCTCCTGACCTCAGGTGATCTGCCCACCTCTCAAAGTGCTGGGATTACAGGCACGAGCCCTGCTGACCTGGATTGAATTATAAATCTACTATTTCTTAGCTATGTGATCTTGAACTAATTACTCTCTCTAATCTCAGTACTCTCCTTTGTAGAGAGCTGTTGTAAGTATTAGAAGAGTTGGGGTATGCACAATATCTGACGTGCGGTAAATGCTTAATAATTGTGATTATTAAACACGAAGTAGAGCGATCATTCCTAAGAATGCAATGGATGATGTACAGAATTCTTTGCCAATAGGCAATGATCTAGATAATTTAACTGGTGACAGTTAACATTTACATAGCTGGGCACTGTTTAAAGGGCTTTGCCCATGGTAATTTGCTTAATACTTGCAATAACCCTCTGAAATAATCAACTATTATTATGCTGTTTTACAGATGAGGAAGCTCCTTAAACTCTGAAAAATGGAGAGATAAGAAATGGGTCCAAGTTCGCACAGCTAGTAAGTAGCAAAGCTGTGATCTGAACCCGAGAAATCTAGCTCCACAATCCATAATCTTAGCCACTATACTCTACTGCCTCCCCCAACTAAAAAAGAGTGAGATTTTTACTACATTTATACATCATGTCATCACTGTCACCATCATCCTCTCTTCACTGAGTTTTTGGCCACATCTTCCCTTTTTTGCCCAGCATTTAAGCTTCCCCACTCCTTCCATGTAAATGGAAATTCTGACTATGATTTCTTAGGTTTGACTTTTGCCCCCTTGCACTAGTTGAATCAATAACAAAAGACAAAACATAATTCTATATAGCCACAGACCCTAGCCATGGTGTGATTGCTAGAGTATACATATTAACAAGGGAACCTACTTTGCCTCGACAAGAAGCAGTGGAAGAGAGCCAGATGTCCCATTAAAAGTCCTTTCTAACCTAAATGAGTTTGTGACTATGTGTGTTTATACGTGTGAGGATGAAACACACTGTGAACACCGTTTCTCCTAGTGTCTAAGCTGTTATCAGAGAATGAAGCACTTCAGGAGGCTAATTGAGCACTGGAGGCTGTCTATACTGGCAGAGCAGAGGGGAGAGGGAGAGTTGGAGCCCCCCCATACACACACACACACACACACACACACACACACTCAAGAAAAACTGCTCAATTCTCTAGGCAGGCCAATCTCATCTGATAGAATCAAATTAAACTTCATGTTGCCTCTACAGACAAAATACATTTGTTTTCAGATGCCCAGACAAGACTCAGCTTCCCTAGTCTGTGCAATGGTCCTCGCAGGACTTCTGAGTAAACCTCTCATTCTGCGCATTCAGCTCAGACTTAGCTGCCACGATGTTCCGGCATTGTCTTTCCGAGCCATACTCTTCCAGCCCCTGCCATTCTGTTATTTAACAGAGAGCACGCAAAAGAAAAAAAAATTAAGGTGAAAAAGAATCATACTAAAGGTCAATCCCATATTTTGTATAAAGATATTATTTTTTCGTTGTTTATTATTGTTGGCCTGTTTGGATTAATTATAGCACCGTTTTTGTAAGTGGCAGGGGCAATCTGTCACCCAGAATTACACAGCAGGCCACCCAAGCTCCACACTTCCTGTTATCCTGCTGTAAATCAGTGTCACTCGCTGGAGAGCATGCCACACGTACCCACGGCCGGGCTGGCCCCGTCACAATCAATGCAGTGCCCACCACTCCCCTCTTCTCATTCCCGAAAGGGTCCTGAAAGAGGATTTGTCGAGGAATGCCACAGCCTCACAGTGTGCTGACTTTATAAAGAGACGAGGTGAAGTAACACTTTTCTTTTTAATACCCCGTGGTGTCGAACTGAAATTGCAGCCTGCTATTTTCAGAGGCCTCCTTGGTAAGAGAATGTTTTTTATCTGGAGATACAATGACCGTACCCCGTACCCTGCAGTTCCCATGAAGCTGTTGCCAAAGTCCATGAATGCTTGCTTTATGAATTGGTCTTGCAGGTGTTCAGGGGGGTATGTAATCACTAATGAATAGTCGAAAAACACAGAAACTCTCCGCAGCCTCTGGCACCGAGAGCTGCTGGGCTTTATAATTCTGTGAGAAAACACACATGCAACTAAAGCTTTCCCTGGGCTCCAGCGTTGCCTGAGGCCAAATATTCGTCACAGCCCATCCCTAGGCTGGTGGTATGTTCCAGAAGGGATGAGAGCTGTAGTCGCCCTGTGGGCCGGGAAGTTTTTGGCACTTACACAATTTCCCTGCCCTGACGTGGTACATTATTTTAGCCAATGGTACCATCTTTATTTAAGGGCCATTTATGGAATATCCAGCAGGCCAGACCACCTGGATATTTTATGAAGACCTTATGGGCTTAGGCCCAGGTGGGCTGGATGCCCAGGGAAACAAGGCATTGGGAGGTCAAAACCAAATCACCTCAGATAATCTGCACCAATGCTTGGGCAGGAGGGACTAGAGCTATGGAGAGTCAAGAGTAAAGTATTGGCTGGGTGCAGTGGCTCACACCTGTAATCCCAGCACTTTAGGAGGCTGAAGCGGGCAGATCACAAGGTCAGGAGATCGAGACCATCCTGGCTAACACGGTGAAACCGTCTCTACTAAAAATACAAAAAAATTATCCAGGCATGGTAACAGGTGCCTGTAGTCCCAGCTACTAGGGAGGCTGAGGCAGAAGAATGGCATGAACCTGGGAGGCGGAGCTTGCAGAGCCAAGATCATGCCACTGCTCTCCACTGCTTTGGGTGACAGAGCGAGACTCTGTCTCAAAAAAAAAAAAAAAAAAAAAAAAAAGAATAAAGTATTTTTTTCAGCCAGGCATGGTGGCTCACGCCTGGAATCCCAGCACTTTAGGAGGCTGAGGCGGGTGGATCACCTGAGATCAGGAGTTCAAGACCAGCCTTGTCAACACGGTGAAACCCCGTCTCTACTAAAAATACAAAAATTAGCTATGCGCAGTGGCGGGCACCTGTAATCCCAGCTACTCGGGAGGCTGAGGCAGGAGAACTCCTTGAACCCAGGAGGCAGAGGTTGCAGTTAGCCGAGATCGCACCACTGCATTCCAGCCTGGATAACAGAGCGAGGCTCCATCTCAAAAAAAAAAAAAGAATAAAGTATTTTTCTCAAGCAGGCTAGATAAGGGGGCTGTGCATGGGAAAGAAAGGGTCTTGGTATTGGATGCCCACAGGGCAAGAGGCTTTAAATCTAAAGAGAATCTATCATGTCCCCTCCACCCAAGAAAAGTTACCGAGAATCAAGACTTGTAGGAAGAGGATTTTATTAGAGCTAATCGAGCTTGTCCTTCCCAGCCTCAGCCCGGCAGGGAAGCAAAGCTAAAACATTTTAGATGTGGAAGGCAATGCTTGTTATTTTTCTCACTTTCCCTACCTGCCCTCCCTCTCTTTCATGAGCCCTCTCTGAGCTGATAACTGGAAAAATGTAAGAGTGGTAACTGGATCAGCTCTCCAGCCCTTCGAAAGGCTGGAAAAATAAAAATAAAAACTTGTGAGAGATATCCAAATTCTCTGGTACTTTGAATGGGGGTAGTAAGATCTCTTTATCAATACAGGCTCCATCCCCACATTGAAAACACAACATCAGGGCACTGGGAAAATACAGAAGCCTAGTATTAGAAAAATAGAATATTGGACAGTAGCATGTGGCACCTTCCAGTATCCTCCATAGCTGGGAGCAGCCCAAATCTCTAGCAAACACCGAAAGCCCCTAGGCACTGATAAAAGAAAATGGGGGCTGGCCCCCGACAGGGCCATGTCCCTGAGAACAAGCTTTCAGGGCTCACAGCACCTGGGACACTGAGTCTCTTTCTTAGCCAGAGCCAGCAGTAGTGGTCCCAGAGCAAAGCTAGGACTGGAGTTCAGAAGCTGAACTGTCACAGCTACTTATAAACATTGAAAAATACTAACTTCTGCACTTTGGGGGTGAAAGAATTTTGAACTATGGGAGCTACAAAGATAGCAGACTCTTTCTCACAAAATACTTGCTTTCTCTGGGTTTTCATACCTCTCCTCATTCATGTTACACTAACATTTCCAATCATCTACACTGACACCGGAGATGCCAAAACTACCCTGATGGGTCAGTTACAGTTAGATGGGATGGGACGTCTTGGAATTAGTGATATTTCAGAAACACAATGAAAGTTCTAGCATGCTATAGGAGGATGACTATAGTTAATGATAATATTGGCCGGGCACGGTGGCTCACGCCTGTAATCCCAGCACTTTGGGAGGCTGAGGTGGGTGGATCATCTGAGGTCAGGAGTTCAAGACCAGCCTGGCCAACATGGTGAAACCCCATCTCTACTAAAAATACAAAAATTAGCAAAAAAAAAAAAATATATATATATATATTATACAGCTTCAAACAGCTAGGAGGAGGATTTTGAGTGTTCCCAACACAAAGAAATGATAAGTGTTTGAGAGATGACAGATGTACTAATTACCCTCAACTGATCACTACATATTATGTTCATTGAAACATCACTATGTACCTCATGAATATGCACAATTATTATGTGTCAATTTTTTTTTGAGACAGGGTCTCACTTTATCACTCAGGCTGGAGTGCAGTGGTGTGATCTCAGCTCACTGCAGCCTCAACCTCCTGGGCTCAAGTGATTCTCCTGCCTCAGACCCCCAAGTAGCTGGGGCTAAAGGTGTGCCCCACCACATCAGGCTAATTGTGGTATTTTTTGTAGAGATGGGGTTTCACCATCTTGCCCAGGTTGCTCATGAATTCCTGAGCTCAAGCCACCTACCTTGGCTTCCCAAAGTGCTGTGATTACAGGCATGTGCCATCGCGTCTAGCCCATTATGTGTCAATTTTTTTAAAAAATTCCAAGACATCTTATTTCCAAAAATATTCCCCAACTAAGCACCCTGACACAAGAAATTCCACAATTAGAGATGTGTTTCTTTGGCCTAATTCGAAATTGCACTACTATAAACATTAATTTATTTAGCAAATATCTACTAAACATTCTATACAATGCACAGTGCTGGGGAATAGATAGATGGGGTAAATAATATGTATAAGGTTTCTGCTCTTGTAGCACTTCTATTAATCTATATCAGTCATTTAAGGATGAGTTCACCAAATTATTTCCTGGAAACACATGAAGGGGGGCTGGGTAGTGATGGCTGTCCCTAAACCAAAAGGCACAAAGACCAGGATGTCAAGACAGTGGCCACTGAGGATAAATTTCACCTACTTCATTCTTCATTCATTCACCACTCAACAAGTATATTTTGAGCATCTCTTTAGAGCCAGATACTAGAGATATAACAGTGACCAAGGCAGACACAGTCCTTGCCCTTGGAGTGTTTTGGTTTTTTTTTTTTTTTTTTTTTTTTGAGACGAAGTATCGCACTTTTGCCCAGGCTGGAGTGCAGCGGCACGATCTCAGCTCACTGCAAGCTCCGCCTCCTGGGTTCATGCCATTCTCCTGCCTCAGCCTCCCGAGTAGCTGGAACTACAGGTGCCCGCCACCACACCAGTCTAATTTTTTGTATTTTTAGTAGAGACGGGGTTTTACCGTGTTAGCCAGGATGGTCTCAATCTCCTGACCTCGTGATCCGCCCGCCTCAGCCTCCCAAAGTGCTGGGATTACAGGCGTGAGCCACCGTGCCCAGCCGGAGTGTTTATATATAATATGAGAGACAAACAAGTAACTCAATTACAGTACAACATAACTAGTGCTATTCGGGGTGGGCACAATACACGAACAGGGCACACATTAGGAGCACATACACTGGACATGGGGAAAGGAGTGAAGCAGGGAAAGCTCTGTGAAATCATAGGAGTGGGGGTGGGGGGCCCAGTATTCCTGAGAACAGGAGCAGCTGATGCACAGTCCCTGAAACAAGAGTGCTATTGTGCCCCTCAGCACCACAGTTGGAATGTGAAGTATCAAAGCACAGTTGAGGCAAGAGAGCACATCAAACTGTAGGTTGAAGCCAGGTGTCAGCTCACTGCTCTTGTAAAGGGCCAGATGGTAAATATTGCAGGCTCCATGGTCCATAGGGTTCATTGCATCGACTCTACTCTCCCCTTGTAGCAGAAAAGCAGCATAGGCAGTGAGTAAGCAAATAGGCATGGCTGTATTTCAATGAAACTGCATGTACAAGAAAAGGCAGTAGGCTGGATTTTGCCCATGAACCATAGTTTTTCAATCTGTGGTCTAACCAGGATTTGGAGCCAAACAGAGGAAACTAAGGAAACCTTGTCTGCTGGGGTTGGCTTCCCTAGAGAAAGGTGATATTTGTGGCAAAAGAATACTAGGGTAGGGAGCCGGGAGATCTGAATTCAGCTCTTGGTTGGACCACAGTCTCTATGATAATGTCCCTGAAGCACAGTTTCCTCATCTATAAAACTAAAGAGTAGAAAAGAGTCTCTAGGGTCTCTTCTCTGAAGGTCTAAGCAGGGGTATTTAACTTAGAGGACAGGGTCATCCCAAGGAGTCTATGAATAATATTGAGTGGTTCATGAACTTAGAGCCCTATTACATTTGTTTCATTAATTTCTAACTGAAATGTTGTATTTACTTCAATTACAACAAACCACAGTATCATTAGCAGTACCTATGACTTTGTCTCCAATAGAAATCATAAATATGTTCATATGTTACAGTTGGTTCATATATCTTGAAATACCAATTATATTTATCACTTCTTTTAATTTATGATAGCTATTAGACCTGCAAGTAGACCTTGTTATTTAATATGTTAATAGAGACACACACATTTCTGTATCACAAATAGGGTTTTTAAAAATATGTTTGACTTATTCTCTTTTTTCTACATCCAAGTATCCATTATTTAAAAAAATTGATAACTATATTTCAATATAATTGGTTTTTCTTTGTAATCCTATGTAATTTATTTTGCTTATTAAAAAAAAAGTATTCAGGCTTGGCATGGTGGCTCACGCCTGTAATCTCAGCATTTTGGGAGACCAAGGCAGGTAGATCATCTGAGGTCAGGCGTTGAAGACTAGCCTGGCCAACATGGTGAAACCCCACCTCTACTAAAAATTCAAAAATTAGCTGGGTGTGGTGGCGGCACGTCTGTAATCCCAGCTACTCAGGAGGCTGAGGCACAAGAAACATTTGAACCCAGGAGGCAGAGGTTGCAGTGAGCTGAGATTGCACCACTGCGCTCCAGCCTGGGCGACAGAGCAAGACTCCATCTCAAAAAACAAAAAACAAGACAAACAAACAAACAAACAAAAAACTAGTATTTTGAGAAGGAGTCCATGGCCAAAATAATGGTTAAGAACCTTGGTCCAGAGCAATGAATTATTAATTTAGATCAATTATACTTATAAAATATTTCTTACAAAAAGAAAACACACCATTTTGGGTAAAAATGTGGCAAAGAATTAGTTTCTTACACAGTTTATGAAAATATGAATTGTTACAGGCTTTTAAAAAGTAATGGAACAAATATTTATTAAAATTTTAAAATACATATATACTCTGTAATCTCAGCCCTGAGACTTAACTTATATAAATAAAAATGCCAGTACAAAAAAAAAGGATATGTAGACAAGCATTGTTCACAGTGTCAAAAAGAAACAAACACACACACCTAGAAACAAAGTGAATGCCTATTGCTAAGGGATGATTGAGAAATGATGATATATCAACAGAATGGAATATTATGTGGTCATTAAAAAGAATGAGTTGGACAGCCTGGGGTGGTGGCTCATACCTGTCATCCCAGCATTTTGGGAGGCTGAGGTGGGTCGATCACCTGAGGTCAGGAGTTCAAGACCAGCATGACCAATATGGTGAAACCCCATCTCTACTAAAAATACAAAAATTAGCCAGGTATGGTGGCATGTCCCTGCAGTTCCAGCTACTCAGGAGACTGAGACAGGAGAATTGCTTGAACCTGGGAGGCAGAGGTTGCAGTGAGCCAAGATCTCGCCACTGCACTCCAGCCTGGGTGACAGAGTGAGACTCCATCTCAGAAAACAAAAAAGAATGAGTTGGAGCTATACTAGATGCCCTGGTGGAATGTCCATGCAGTATCATTGAATGAGGAAAGGATAGAATTTTACTCCATTTAATAAAAATGCACTGTGACAAAAGACATGTTATATGTGTATGATGATGATGATGTGTGTGTGATTATGTGAGGATGGAGAAAAGTGAAGATGGAAATATATTAGTATGCTAATATGTACCTCATGGGCAGAGGTCAAGTTGATGGGAACAAGAGTGGGGAAAGGAAGAGCCAAGCAAAAACAGAAAAGGAAAACCACACTTACAACAGCAACAAAGTGCATGTATAGTATCATCACATTTTTGTGTTGACATAAAATTATATCTGTATGGTTCGAAGGAGAAATCATTCTCTCCACCCCTCAGAAAAATCTATGACATCAGATAAACAGAGGGTGAATCCTCCTTCTCTGGTATGCGACATTATCAGTTAACTTTTAAATCATCAAGTATTTATTGATTCCCTCTTTGCTCCAAACTGATACCTAACATCTTCGAGCACCTTATTTGGGAACTTAAAAGATAATCACAACACCAAAATGGTTTTATTTTACAAATAAATATGTCTATTTTGATATAAACAACTCATTCACTCATTCCTACATTCATTTCCAAAGAACCGTAAGTGTCAGGGTCTCTGAATAAAAGAAGCAAAAAAATACAGGAAGGGAAGAGTATCTTACATTCTTTCCTGTCTCTAGTTTGTTTGATTGTTGTCATTGTTGATTAATATCAAACACACACTTTTTCTCATTTCCACTACTTACTCCTTTGCAGGCTTACCAAATTCTCATAAAGATCAGGTCAATGCCCAGCACATCATAGATACTCAATAGAGGCTCACAGAGCAATGAATGCAGATCCACTTGTCACACCTTTCAAGGTCAGAAGAGAGCAACGGTGGCTCCAGCCAGGCGCCATCCTGCCCAATGACCTAGATGCTCAGGAATCTGATCAGGCCACTTTGCAGAGGCCGTCCACCCCACTCACTGCCCATCAGTTTCTATTCTGATGACCAAGAATGAGAACAAAGGAAATGAAATGCCAGCAACTTTCAGTCTTTCCTCATCCAATTGGATGGCCTCTTTGTTTTTACCTATTCAGATCTGTTTTGGGAACTGTTAACCAAAGGACAGTCTAAGCCTCTCAAACTGCTGTTCTTAACTTTTAGGAAGAAAAAGTTTCTCACAGTTTTCTCCTTGCACGAAGTGGAAGATGAGGAATAATCCTGGATGTACTGGATCCTCTATTAGAGATGGCAGCTGTTACCACCTAACGATCATTCTAATTCCTTACAGCCAGTGCTATGCATTTCAAAAGATTCCCTTCCACCTATAAAATTCCATGAGAGATTGGTAGCGTGGGCAGTGTTAAATTAGCAATCGGTGAAGAATCTGAAGCTAAGTATAGGGCAGCAACTTGCTGGAGATGACAAACTAGTGATCTAGGAACCAGGAGTTGAACCCTGGTCTTTCAAATAGTAGTAGGATTACAAAAGCCGTTGGCATTTTAGAGAAAATAAACTGATGTAGATCAATGCTGTTCAACAGAAACTTCATGGGAGCCACACGTGTAAGTTAAACATTTTCCACATTTAACACAAATTAGCCACATTCACAAAGCAAAAGGAAACAGGTGAAATTAATGGTTTTTTAATGCCAATATATTAAAATATTATCATCTCAACATACAGTCAATATAAAAATTTTTCATGAGCTATTTTACATGCTTTGTTGTACATAGAGGACATCTGAATTTGAACTGGCCCCATGTCAAGTGTGCAATAGCTACATGTGGCTGATGACTGCCAGACAAGCCAGCATATAGGTAAAGGAGGAAGAATAAGACAATAGGCTGCATTTACAAATCAAGTGAGATTTCCTTCAAAAAAAGAAATTGTGTTGCAGTGTTTCACCAGAAATGGAGCTAAGGAAAGTCAGCATCAACCCTTCTTTAGGCCCCAAAATGTGGAATTCAAAGCCGTGGTACTGTACTACATCACAGGTCACCCAGGAAAACAATATCTAGCCCTCAATAATAGAAGCAATGCCTGGAAAGGTTATGGACAAGCTGCTCCCTGCGGGATGGAAGCAGGGACAGACATACTGGGGGCTTATAAAGCCTCTGTCAATAAGAAACCGGGCTCCACAATAATTTTAAACCACAGTGAGCCTGACAGGAAACTGACCTAGTAAACCAGACAAATTACTGCTGCAGCCAGGCCAGCCTGCCTCCCACTCCAACCCGCAGTGAAACTTGAGCTGTTTGAAAGCTTTCTGGAGGGTGAGAGAGAAGAGGCATGCGGAGAGACCATGAGTGCTCTGGACAGCCTGAATCCTGAGCCCTGGAGGTCTAGGTCACTGTCATTTCCCTATGGGAGCAAGTACACAGGGGTGTGCACTTGAGGGCAGTCCATCCTGATTTGCTGGGTGTCTCTGAACTGGCTGGTTCCCCTCTCTGTCCTCTCCCTCACCCTGACAGAAGGTGACTATAATAATGCCTGCTCATCTGGGACCACATTCTTTAAGTTCGTGACCTCCTCCGATAGCAAAAGACCGTTGTCATAATATTTAAGCTACATTGGGATAAAGTGTCCAGTGGACTCCCATTAGAATCCTTGGAAAAAGCCAGAGGTATCATACTTGTAGCACACTTCGAAATGTGCTGTAAGACTACAGTAACCAAAACAGCATAGTACTGGTAAGAAAAAGGATACCTAGACCAATGGAACAGAATAAAGAACCCAGAAATAAAGCCACACGCTTACAGCTATCTGATCTTCGGCAAAGTCAACAAAAATAAGCAGTGGGGAAAAGACTGACTATTCAATAAATGGGCTGGGATAGCTGGCTAGCCATATGCAGAAGAATGAAACTGGACCCCTACCTTTTACCGTATGCAAAAAATAACTCAAGATGAATCAAAGATTTAAATGTAAGACCTGAAACTATAAGACTCCTGGAAGAAAACCTAGGAAACACCATTCTGGACATCAGTTTTGGGAAATAATTTACGACTAAGTCCTCAGAAGCAATTGCAACAGAAAGTAAAATTGACAAGTGAGAGCTAATTAAACTGAAGAGCTTCTGCACAGCAAAAGAAACTATCAACAGAGTAAACAAACAACCTACAGAATGAGAGAAAATATCCACTACTATGCATCCTACAAAGGTCTAATGTCCAGAATCCATAAGGAAATTAAACAACTCAGCAAGCAAAAAACAAAGAGCCCCATTAAAAAGTGGACAAAAGACATGAACAGACACTTCTCAAAAGAAGACATATGAGCAACAAACAAGTTTATATAAAAGTTCTCAACATCACTAATCATCAGAGAAATACAAAACAAAACCACAAGGTGATACCATCTCACACCAGTCAGAATGGCTATTATTAAAAAGTCAAAAAACAACAGATGCTAGTGAGGCTGTGGAGAAAAGAGAATACTTAGACACTATTGGTAGGAATGTAAATTAGTTCAGCAACTGTGGAAAGCAGTTTGGAGGTTTCTCAAAGAACTTAGAACAGAATGACCATTCAACCTAGCAATCCCATTACTGGGTATATACCCAAAGGAAAATAACTTGTTCTTTCCAGAAGGACATTGGCACTCCCATGTTTATTGTGTGCTATTCACAATAGCAAAGACATGGAATCAACCTAAGTTCCCATCTACAGTGGACTGGATAAAGAAAATGTGGGACATATACACTACAGAATACTATGTGGCCATAAAAAAGAATGAAATTGGCCAGGCATGGTGGCTCATGCCTGTAATCTCAGCACTTTGGGAGGCTGAGCGGGGTGGATCGCCTGAGGTCAGGAGTTCGAGACCAGACTGGCCAACATAGTGAAACCCCGTCTGTACTAAAAATACAAAAAATTATCTGGGCGTGGTGGCAGGTAACTGTAATCCCATCTACTTGGGAGGTTGAGGCAGGAGAATCGCTTAAACCTGGGAGGTGGAGGTTGCAGTGAGCCAAGATAGCGCCATTACACTCCGATCCGGCAACAAGAGCGAAACTCCATCTCGAAGAAAAAAGAAAAAAAACAAGAATGAAATCATGTCCTCTGCAGCAGCATGAATGCAGCTGGAGGCCATTATCCTAAGCAAATTAACACAGGAAAAGAAAACCAGATAGTACATGTTCTTAGTTATAAGTGGGAGCTAAACACAGGTACTCATGGACATAAAGATGGCAACAATATACACTGGGGACTATTAGAGGGTGGAAGGAGATGGGGAGGGTTGAAAAACCAACTATTGGCTACCATGCTCATTACCTGAGTGATAGGATCAATCGTTCCCCAAACCTCAGCATCACACAATATACTCATGTAGCAAGCCTGCACATGTACCCTCTGAATCTAAAATAGAAGTTGAAATCATTTTTTAAAAAAAGAAATTGAAAAAAGAATCCTTGGGACTCGATTCCTGGCAAGAAGGCTATAGGGATGCAGAAGAAACCACTGGAAAACAAAAGTTATAATATAAAAGTGTAAAAATAGATTTGGAGGGCATCAGAAGGTCCAAGTGGGTAGGAAACGGCCTTTTTGTCTGGAGTTTACTCCACTTCTATCCCCTTTGTAGACAGGAAACCTGGGGCCCTGCTCGATGATTATAAACAGAAAACTGTAAACTTGGACAAAGGTGGGGCAAATCAAAATCTACTGAAATAGGACACCTGGGATTATTCAAATGGCACTGGGCTGGTTAGTTAGAAGACTTGAGCAAATCCCAGAAGTGCTCCAAGTCCCATGACGTCTCTACAAAGTGCGTAAGGATGCCTTCCACCTCTGATGTTCTCTGAATCTGTTTCTGAACCCTCTGCACATTGTGTGCATGCTACAGGCACTTAAACACTCACTAAATGGGCAACCCAGTGTATTCCACACAGGACAGCAAGATGACTCTAGTATAATATTCTCCTGACTCTCACTCAAAATACTAAGATCCATTCTATGGGAAGGACCAGGTGCATTGTGGGAATGGACAGAGCTGAGCTCAAGGAGCCCTGTCATGTGAGGAGCTCAGAGCCTTGGCACCCCTGGTACTGCTCTCCTGCTTCCACCTCCACCTGGGTCCTGAGCTCCAGAATTGGGTTCCTTTCAGTCCATTTGTGTCCCCTCAATCTGTGGAATTTCTCAAATGCTCCAGATTTTCTGGCTAGTTTAACAGCCTTATGGAAGGGTTGAAATCTCGAATTTAAACTGTCAATGCTGCTTAAGGTCTAACAAAGCCTCAACGATCTAGCTGAATCCAGGTCCCTTATAAGGATGCAACTGAATGCCGTAGTCATTTGGTTTTTGCAAATTCTTCTCTTTCTATTGATGTTAAGAAACTTTGACATAATACTAGAAGGCAACTAAACACGCAATGAAAATAAGGCAACGCAATTTCTTGGTAAACCCTTGAATTTTAATTCCTATCAGTCATGAAAGCTCAAACCAGTGATTCTGGGAGGTAAGTGTTCTAACATAACCTGTGGGCACCATGCTGGGAGAAACTATCAAGACACCCACCTTCCTCATGTGTCTTCACCCTGATTTCTGATGTCAAATTGCACAACTTTCTTGAATCCCTGAGCCTCAGTTTCACCATCTGCAAAAAGAAGACAGTAACCTATTTTCTACCTAGCAACCTATCAATATAATTTATTGTATCAATAATATAATATTAGAGTAACTTGAATTGAGTTAAAAATTTTGTAAGGACTGTGATAAGTTTACAGAGGGATTTTTTTCTCCTTTATCTTTCAAAAGTTTTGAAATGTAATCATATTTCACTCCCCAAAATTAATTTATGACAAATTTTAACATAAAGTAACTTGAAATTGATGAATGCCATATGAGGGCAAATCACAGCCAAACCTTAATTATTCATTTGCCACTGGATTCACAAAGTCTATTATCTACAATTAATTTTTAAAATCCAAATGGAATTTCCCTGGTCACTAAGAATACTTTAGAGACAATCTCAATCAATCAGTCAATCACAAAATATGAATACATGTATTGATTTTGAACTGTGAATTCGGCACTGCAGAAAACATCTGAGAAGGAAGGAGAGGACCTTCAGGTCCTGACCTGAAGGAATCCCAGTGATGTTGGAAAAACAAGACTAAAAATTATCACAAAATGCAAATGGCAAAACTGTGGCCATGACTAAGGGCCAAACCGTAGGGAACAAATTCTAGAGATGAGTAGATGTTCAGAGCAACTGTGTACAATGTTACGAAAAATTGCGATTAAGTGAATCCTTAAAAAATGTATGACATCTATCTATGAGATAGAAGGAGGAAAATAAACTAATATTTGCTGACATCTACTATTCCCCAACACTGTTGTAGGTGATTTCACACATGTAATATGATTGGCTCCCCACAACTTCCCTATGAGACAAGAATTTTTAGTTTCCATTTGACAGATGAGGAAGCTGAGCCTCAATTATTGTGCTGTGTTTATGGTATAATGCAGGAACCTGCCTGATTACCAGGGACACTTGTGCCCTATGCCTGATGACATAATGAAACCTAAGCTAGAATAAAGAGGGGCCAGATAATAGACAGCTGTGTGGTCCAATATGGTAGCCACCAGCCAATGCGCCTCTGGACAATTTGAGACGTGTCTGGTGCAACTAAAGAACTAAAACCGTGTGAAATATTTTTTTGTTAAACACAACTACTTTGTTTTGATAGGGCTACATTTTCCTTTAAACATTGAACATTTAGCTTCCAAATTAAGAAGTGTTACAAGTTTTAAAATACACACTGAATTTCAGAAACTCCGTATAAAAAAAGGAATGTAAAAAATCTTATAATAAGCTTTTAATATCGATTGAATGTTAAAATGATAATGTTTTGGATATGTTGAGTGAAATAAGATATTGTAATAAAAATCATTTCACCTATTTCTTCTTACATTTTTATGTGACCACTAGAATATTTTCAGTTACAAACGTGGCTCTCCTTATATTTCTCTTGAACAACACTGAAGCAGAGGATATCAGATGCCAGGCAGTGGCAGGATGGAGAATAAAGTACAGCAAGGAGTAAGAGTGATGGTCTGTCTTCCTCTACAATATGAGATCCATATATTCTCTATTTAGAATACAGTAGAGGCCTTGTTTCTATTCACCGCTGTATCCTCACTACATCCTCACTACATCCTCTGGCATATAGTGAATGCTCACTACATCCTCTGGCATATAATGAATGCTCAGTACATTTCGACTCTGAATTCTCGCCATTGGTACCACCACCATTCTAACCACTGAAGCTAGAAAGCTTGGTGCTCTGTTGGCTCTCAACTGTCTGCCATCTTTTGTCAGTCCCAAGACCTGTCATTTCTCCCTCTGTGAGGGCCCCAATATCCATCCATTGTTTCCTATTTCCTATGTCTCCCACCCCTGCCTCACCCCACATCCCACCTCACTAGGTGCTAGTGCCTAAATTACCTTAATTGCTTCATAACTGCTCTCTCTGCCTCTCTCTCCCTCCAATACACTCTTCTCATCACTGCCAAATTAATTCTTCTCAACCATCACTTTCACTTTCAAAGTTCCTTAAAAGCAAGAAATGGGTCTTACTTATCTTGGAATACCCTGTGTATGGCACTCAGTAGGTGCTAAAGAACTGTGGAAAAAAAAAGTTTCATAAATTTATTTATTTATTTAGAGAGAGAGTCTCGCTGTGTCACCCACGCTGGAGTGCAGTGGCATGATCTCAGCTCACTGCAACCTCTGCCTCCCGGGTCCAAGAGCTGGGATTACAGGTGTGTGTCACCACGCCTGGCTAACTTTTTTGTATTTTCAGCAGAAACAAAGTTTCACCATGTTGACCAGGCTGGTCTCGAACTCCTGGACTCAAGTGATCTGCCTGCCTCTACCTCCCGCAGTGTTGGGATTACAGGCATGAGACACCGTGCTTGGCTGTTGTATAATTCACGTTTGTCCATAATGACTAAAAATTACTTTTATCCTGTCAGTTCCATGCTCAGAACCCTTTAGGATTCCCCAACAACCAACAAAACAAAGTTCAAAATCAGCCTATGATTCGTGGCCCATTATGATCTGGGGATGCCCACCTTTTGGTCCTAGCTCCTCCACATTCATCCTTCCCTCCCTGATAACACCCCTCTCTCCTGCTTACTTCTGCTGATGCTGTTCTTCACTCCCTTGGGGCACCTTCCCTCATCCATTTATCCAACTTCTACCCACCCTTCAAAGTCTGGATCAATCCCCACTTCTCCATCAAGGACTCTCCAAATCATATCATGCAAAAGTGAGCATCCCCTGCCCTGTCCTCCTGGAGATCCTACCAGTAGCATTAGTCATTTGGCATTTAGCACACGCTGACATTCATTCATTTATCATTCATTTATTCAACAGATACTTATCAGACCATTATCACATAGTATTAACATTTTCTTCCCATACTTGCACATTATCTATTCAATTATGTTATAAACTCTTTGGAGGAGAGCACTAAGATTTTAAACTTATTTGAATGTACACATTCATATATATGTTACATTACTGATCAAAGAGAATGTGGTCTGTTTCATGCCTCTATGTTGTTATACATATTGTTCCATTTGCCTAGAACATCCTCTCTCCAGCTGTCATGATTCCCATCTGTCAGGCAAATTCTTACTCATCTTTAAATAAACAAGTGAGTCTGATCTCTCCCTCCTTTGGGTGTCCTCTACCAACAACACATCACACTTGTCCAGCTCTTATCCTCATGATTTTCTTGTCTGTCTTGTTTGGTGAATGATTCTCCCTCCTGAAACCACTAACAATAGTATTTTATGATATACTCAAGTACTATATGTTCTTCACAGGAAAAGCATTAATTAAATTTATTCAGGTGTTGTAGTCATGGTTGTACCAAATATATCTATGAACTTTAAACATACATTCTCATTACTAGTCCCTTATGTAGTAAAATGTGTTTCCTTCCTTTCAACCCTCTCAACATCCATGTGATGTTGCTACAAAACATCCCCATATTGCATTTGAACTAATAAGTTCTGCAGCTTCATGCTTCTTTTGCTGTTTTTCATATTATTCCATTTGCCTGGAATGCCCTAAGAATAGAAAGAGATTAAATGAATCAGTAAAACATACTCAATGTACACTGAACAGATCAGCCTGGCCAACATGGTGAAACCCCATCTCTACTAAAACTACAAAAAACTAGCCAGACGTGGTGGTGCACATTTGTAATCCCAGCTACTCGGAGGCTGAGGCTGGAGAATTGCTTGAACCTGGGAGGTGGAGGTTGCAGTGAGCCGGGATTGCGTCACTGCACTCCACACCGGGCAACAGAGTGAGACTCCGTCTCAAAAAAAAAAAAAAAAAAAAAAAAAGGACGCTGAAGGACCCCATATTTGTTCATATTCGGCATTCCTTGGGTACTTCAAATGATATTTAGAAACAAAAAAAGAGTTCAGTTTTTTGGTTAAAAGAAAATTCTGAGAAATCACGAAGCTCAAGACAGGTGATGTTAAGGATAGCCCAGTGGTTCAACTGGTATTTTCTAATCAAACTTCTTTGATTCAAATTTCAGCTCCATCTCTTTCTGGTTATGTGGCCTGAAGCATGTTATTTTATATCTCGAATTCTCAATTTCTTCAACTATTAAGTGAGGATAATAGAAGAACTCATATTATTGTAATGATTCAAAACTCACAGTATTATGATGACTCAAAAAGATAAGGTATATAAAACATGTAGCCTGCTTCCAGGCACACAGTAAGCACTTCATAAGCAAATAAATGTTATTTATAAATATTATGCCAAAGACCAAAAACAGATAAATATTTTCATATTTCTAAAAAGCATATTCCAAAACCTGCTTAATGGTAAACATTACATTCTCTGGAAAAATCCTTAAAACGTCATTAAATGTCTGACTTACGAAGAGAAAGAGATGTGATCCCTATAGGCCAGCATGGGTTCATTATGAATAAGTCAAATCCACTAATCTTATTTCTGTTTGAAAAGGCTTATCAGACAAGTGAATTAATGTGATCATACAGAGGTCATATATATTTTTTGTTGGTTTTGTACTCTTCTGGTGATTTCTTTAAAGAAATACAGACAAAATGAAAATTCTGTTATGTAAGCTGATTAAACCTGTATCAATGGCCATGATGGAGTAACTGGTACCAGGTTTGCCCTCCTATAGTAAATAACTTAAAAACTGGACAAAAAAAAACAATTATTTTCAAACATTAGAAAATAGGCAATGCTGGACTGCGATCTCTGAGAAAAGAGATGCAAACTAGATGAGCTATAGAAGAGGATGGGCATTCTGTCTGGAAGCATTTTCAAGGCCACAGCAGACAGGAAAGGAGCCCAAGCAAAGCACAGCATTCTTGCTGAATTGAGGAGGCAGAAATCAGAGTTTGAGCAGGCAGGGGCAGCTGGAATTTATGAAATAGAATACAACAGAGCAGGAATTCTACACAGGAAAAGAGCTCCAGAAATTTGCATTGAGTCTTTTATTAAGTATTAAGCTGCATATTTTCAGACAGAAGCTCTATGAGGCCAGGAAAACAACAAATATTGGGGAGTGGTAAACTAAACAATTTCCAGAGCTCACATGGGCTGGAAGATAGTTAAGCTCCAGCCAGCCAGCATGAAGAGAGTTCATAGAACCTCAGGGCATTTAGCAGAGACTACAGAAGAACCACACCTTAGCAGTAATAAGATAAAACTACCGTGAGGGTAAAGACTATTCTAGACCCAAGTTTTAAAAATTTTTACACAAATCTCAACACAGTCAGTGTGATCCACAAGTAACTTAATAGTCTGCCAAAACAAAATTCACCGGTCTTTAAAGGAAAACAACAAAATCCAAGACACTCAACAATGTAGCTTTCACAATGTACAACACCCAATGGACACCCTACACCAGAAATGGTTAGATATGGAACCCATAGTCAGTTTAAAAAAAAAAAAAAACAGGCAATAAGAACAGTGACAGAACAGATAGAAATTATGAAAGTAGCAGACAACAACTTTTAAATGGCTAATATAAACAAGTTTAATGATTTAAGAGAGAATATAAAAGTATAAATTAAAAATATGAAAAAAAATCAAAATGGAACTTCCAGAGCTGAAAAATATTATATCTGAAATAAAAAATTTACTAAATAGACTTACCTAAAGCAGACTAGACATTGCAGTAAAAAAGACCAGTTCTGTTTTAAGAACTTGCCTGAAGTTCTTTTAGGCAAGGCAATAGAAATTATCCAAATTGAAGCAGAGGAAAGAAAAAAAGAATTAGAAAAAAAATGAACATAACATCAGTGACTTTCAAGACAAGAGGAAGCAGTCTAGCATGTGTGTAATTTGAGTCCTAGAAGGACAAACATAAAATATTATTTAAATAAATAATGGTTACAAATTTACCAAATTTGATGAAAATTATAAATCCAGAGATCCAAGACACTCGACAAAGAGCATGTAGAATAAAAATAATTGGACACACCAGAGTGAAACTGTATAAATCAAAGATAAAGAGAAAATTGCAAAAGCACTTAGAGAAAAAATATATACAAAGAAGCAAAATAATACTGACTGCAGACTTTCCAAAAAAAAAAAGTAAGCCTGAAGGAAATTGAATGACACTTTTAAAGTGCTGAAAGAAAATGGTCAATCCAGAATTCTATATCCATTGAAAATCTGTCTCAAAAATGGAGGCAAAATAAAGACATTTTTTTAAAACAAAAGCTAAAAGAATCTGTCATCAGCCTATCTGCATACAAAAATATTAAAGAAGTTTAGGCTGAAGGAAAATGACATCAAATGGAAACTGCGATCTACACAAAGAAATGAAGAGCATCAAAATGGTAAGTGTATGAATATAAAATATATTTAAGTGAATTTAATTAAAGACATTCTTTTCAAAAATGTAAAACTTTCCCAAAAAGCAAACTCCCACCTCAGATGGTTTCCGTAGTCAGTTAGTTGAAACTTACAAGGAAAAAATAATACTTTTTTCACAGAATATTTTTTAGAAAACAAAAAAGGGGAAACATTTGCCAACTCATTTTATAGGACAGTAATAATGTGATACCCAAACCAAATAATAAAATTACAAGAAAAAAATTCAAACTAATATCCTTCATAAATATAAACACAAAAGTGTTAGCAAAATATTCGCTAATTAAATTCAGCAATGTATAAAAATCATAATGCATCATAACCAAACAGGATTTATACCAAGAATGTAATACTGATTTAACATTTGAAAATCAGCCACTGAAATTTGCCATAAAATTTTGCCACAAAATAAAGGAGAAAATTACATGATCATCTCTATAGATGCAGAAAAAGCACTTGACAAAATTCAACATTCATTCATGATAAAAACTCTCAGTAAACTGAGACTAGAAGCAAACTTTCTTCAACCTGGTAAAGGATGTCTATGAAAACCTACAGTTAACATCATACTTAATGCTGAACACTAAACTCTTTCCCCCTAAGGTTTGTAACAAGGCAAAAATATAAGCTCTCACTACTTTTAGTCAACTTTGTACTGGAGGTTCCAGCCAGCGAAATGAGAAAAGAAAAAGATATAAAAAGATAGTTGTTGGAAAGAAAGGCGTGAAACTGCTATTATTTAGAGGCAATATCACGTACGGAGAAAATTCTAAGGAACCTAAGAAGTCGTTGAAACTAAGTAAATTTGGAATATCAGAGGATGCTAGGTCAACACACAATAGAGGATGCTAGGTCAGAGGATGTTAGGAAAGAGTCAGTTATATTTCTATACACAAAATAAAAAATAATATTTAAAAGCAATATAATTTGCCATAGCATTCAAAAACATGATATAATAAGGGATAAGTATAAAAATCTTTTCAAGACCTGCACACTGACAATGGCAAAGCAAAAACATTGTTGAGAGAAATTGGAGAAGAAAGCCAAGATATGCCATGTTCATGGATTGAAAGACTAAATGTTATCACTCTCCCAAATTGATCTATAGGATCCGTATAATTATTTATTTATTTATTTATTTATTTATTTTGAGATGGAGCTTCACTCTATTGTCCAGGCTGAAGTGCAATGGCACAATCTCGGCTCACTGCAACTTCCTCCTCCTGGGCTCAAGGGCTCAAGTGATTCTCCTGCCTCAGCCTCCCGAGCAGCTGAGATTACAGGTGTGCACCACCACGCCTGGCTAATTTTTGTATTTTTAGTAGAGATGGGGTTTCACCCTGTTGGCCAGGCTGGTCTCAAACTTCTGACCTTGGGTGATCCACCTGCCTTGGCCTCCCAAAGTGCTGGGATTACAGGCATGAGCCACTGCACCCAGCCAGGATCCATATAATTTTGAGCAAAATTATAAAAGTTTTTTTTTGTAGAATTTGACAGCTGGTTCTAATATTTATAGGGAAATAAAAAATCCATAATGTATAATATAATTTTGTATAAAGAACAAAGTTGGAGAATTTATGCTGTCTGATTTTATATTTACTAGGAAATGACACTAACCAGTGAGGTTTGTGCTCACACATTGGTGTGAGGTCAGGCATACAAATCAATGGAGAGTATATAGGGTCCAGAAACAGACCCACACTCATATCTGGTCAGTTGATTTTTCAACCCTTTGGTCAGTTCATTCAAACAGTTGAACTGCCAAGGTAATTCAATGGGGGAAAAAGCAGTCTTTTCAAAAAACTGTGTTAGAATAACCAGATGTTTGTGAAGAAAAACTTAAATCTTGGCTTTTATTTCACATCACATACAAAAAAGTAGCTCAAAGTCCGTCACTAAATTCAACTTAAAAGTTACAACTACAAAACTTCAAGAAAGAAACAGTAGAAAATGTTATCAATCTCAGGGTAGGCAATGATTCCATAATAAAGGCAAGTAAAGCATTAATCATATAAGAAAAAATAATCAATTAAGCTCCATCAAAATTAAATATGGCTGTTCTGATCTTTAATACTATTAAGAAAATAAAAAGAAAAGCTACAAATCAGGTGGAAAGAAAAACAAAACAAAACAACAATGACATTATATATATATATATATATATACACACACACACATAGGGAGAGAAGAGAGAGAAGCTCAACCTCATTAGTAATCATGGAAATAAAAATTAATTGCCCAATAAATTATCACCGCACACAATACCAAATGTTGGCAAGTATGTAGAACAACTGGGACTCTCAGCCAAGGCATGGCAGAGATGAGCTGCAAACTCCAGGTGAGGGCTAGACACCGAATAGATCTGTTTACTGCATCTCCAGCAAGGCATGGGAGAAGGCTTCAAGGGCCCTTTCCCAGCTCATGCCGCCAGCACTTTGCACCTGCTTACAAAGAAACCAGGAAGCCAGAGTGCATACGTATTGGTGCCTAGGACTCAGGGTTCAGGGTGCTAGACAGGCAATGCAAGGTGCACTCTCATACACTGCTGACAGGAGGGTAAAATCTGACAACTACTTTGGAAAACTGGCAGTTGCTTATACAGTTAAGCATACACTTACCTTATGACGTAAAAATTCCTCGCTTAGGCATTTACTCAAGGGAAGTGAAATGAATGGACTCATACACAAGGACACACAGACTCACAAGGACTCATACAGGAATATTTGAGACTGAGTTAATCACGATAGCCAAAAACTGGACATAACCCAAATGTCCATCGAGAGGGGAGTGCATAAACACATTGTGACAAATTTACACAGTGGAGTATTCTTTAGAAATAAAAAGAACAAATTACTTATATATGCTACCTCATGAGCGAGTCTCACAAACATTATGCTGAGTAAAAATGGCTGGATACAAATAGTACATAATGTATGATTCCACTTATGTGAAACTCTAGAACAGGCAATACTGTACTAATCAATAGAGACAGAAGACAGAGCTGTGGTTGCCTGGATCCAGGAAGGGGTGAAAAATGCACACAACGCGACATGGTAGATGGCAGAAATGTTCCGTCTTGACTGTGGCGATGCTTGCAGGGGTGCATGTGTTGGTCAAAACTCATCAAAATGTGCACTTTAAATGGGTTCATTTTAATCTATGTGATTTTTATGTAAATTATACCTCAATAATATTGACTTTCAATAATCAAAAAAAGATTCTATAAAATGGATTAAAAGTACGGGGCTTTGTTCTTGACCTTGCCCTGTTCCACGTTTTCATATGGCAAGAAATCCTACTTATTAGATTTACTGGTGGCACTTAGTTGTGAGAGTTTCTTTTATTTGTTTATCCAACAAATGTTCTTTAAGCATCCATGTTGTGGTAGATATTTAAGACAATAATGATGAAGAAAAGAATGAGGTTTCTATTCTCATGGTATTACCGTCTTATAGGGGAAGCAGACATTAATTGAACAAGTAGAATGTATGATTTCAAGGTGAAAGAAGCTGAACAATTCTATGGGACCACATACAAAGGGACCTGGCCTAGCCCAGGAGAGCAGGGGAAGCCTCCTTGAGAAAATGACCATCCAGTTAGACGCTTAAGGATGAGTAGGTATGACTTCATCCAATTGGGGGAGGGGATGCATTTTGCATTTGCAAAGTCCCTGTGTGGGAGAGGGAAGCATTTTGAAGGAAGTATAGGAAGATCAGTGTGGTTGGAACTCTAAGAACAACAAAGCAAGATGAAGTGCAAAAGGCAGGAAGTCATATCCAAGCCATGTCCTGAGAACCATGAAAAGCCAGCCAGGGGTCCTACGCAGGAGCAAGAGTATTAACCAAACAGTCTGGGTGAGAGAATTGGCAACTTCTGCTAGGCCGATGGCAGTGGAGAGGGAGGAAGTGGATGCATTTGAAAAATAGCTAGGAGGTAAAAAGGACAGTTAGTGAGGGATTAGATTTGGAGGATGAGAGACAAGGAGGTGTCAAGGATAACAGCCAGCTCTCTTCCTTGGGCAACACTGAATGGAAGCATCTCCATTCTATATGAAGGTAAAGAGGCACTCAGGGGATTTTGAGGCAAAGATGAGGAACATATTCAACCTCACGTACCTAGAGGATGCTGATAGGAAAAAGTCCAGATTACTCCACATGGTGTCCTGAAGTTTGGGACATCCAGGCTGGAAGTATGGAGATGGCACCCATCAGAATAGAGCAAAACCTTTGGGAGGATGAGGTCACAGAAACAGAGCTGTAAGGAGAGAAGAGTAGATCCTGTAACAGAGCCCAGAGGAGAACCAGTCCTTAAGTGCCAGGCCAGAAAGAGCAGGGTCCACAAAGAACAATGAGAAGGAGTGCCCAGGAAGTGGGAAGAAAAACAGAAAAATGTTATACTGCAAAAACCAAGAGGGTGCAGCTGGGGATGGCATCCCTTCTAACTCAAGGTTCCAGAACCATGCAGAAGGTGAGTGGGAGGGTAGTGATGGCAATGTCTAACATGATTGAGTGCTTACTGTATACCCTGGCACTACTCTAAGCTCTTTATGAGAATGATCTCATGTCATCACAACAGTGGCATTGCGTAGGAAAAGGGATCACACTCATCTAAGATCTCTCTGCCAGAGCCAGGATGAATACAAGACTCCTGACTTCTGAGCCAGTACTCCTTGCTCCTCTTGCCTTTTCACTGGCCTAGCCTACCTGGCCATCTCTTTCTCCAAAACTGCCCCTCAGGCTAGGTGACCTAAGTCTTCTGTACCATGGGATGTGATACTCATCAAAGATATTTGAGACTTCGGACTTCAGGGTCTTCTTCCTGGCCCACGTTGAAGCCAGCTGACTCTGACCAGAAGGGGAGGCCACTGTCAAGCAAGTCACCAGAGAAAGAGCATCTACTCCTGCAGGAACCTGGTGCAGCACCCCGTCCACCTACCCACTTCGGGATTCCTCCTTTATCACGCAATTGATGGCACAATTTCTGCAGGAAAATTCACTGTCACTGCAACCTGCTGTGGGTGGATAAAGGGGAATATCTCTAGCTCTGCACCAAAAGTGGCCTTCCCTGCACTCTCCCCATTCTTTCACTATCCCATCCCTTAGGTTGGCATCATTCTCTTTCCTTCCCAGGCCTTATATAGTCATGAAGTTTCACAAGAACTCAGGCTGACTGTGACTGTCTGCCAGCACCTCTAACCACTCTACTGCCAAGGCATGGCTGAAGCAAGCTGCAAACTCCGGTCAGGGCCAGACACCAAATAGATCTATTTTCTGTGTCCCAGGCACCCGAGAAGGCCTCAGGGGCCCTTTCCCAGCTCATGCCGCCAGCACTTCACACATGCTTACAAGGAAACCAGGAAGCCAGTGTGCATAGGTGCCGGTGCCTAGCACTGAGGGGCCAGGGTGCTGGGCAGGCAATGCACAGTGCCCGTGGATGCCTGGCAGGTGCTGAGCACCCACCCTTCTCCCGCTTGCTGCCTGCACAGGCTGCAGTTCTTTGTGTCTGAGTTTCTGCTCCCTGTCTGCACTAGACTGGGTGGGGTGGGGAAGCCGGAAGTGTCAAATCAGCATCTGGGTCTTGAGAAATGCCTAGAAGTGGACATTTGCATTAGAAACTTTGCCCGTTTGGACAGAACAAGTCTGCCTGTGCAGTTGTTTTCCTCTCCTGGCCTCCTTCCCTCCCCCGCACCCACTCCTTATCACCTTAGCTCCCCTTTCTGATTTCTCTACCAACCCCCTCCCTCCCTGGTCATCTGGATCTCGTTGTTCTTGCATTTCCCCAGCTGCCTGTCTGCATTAGCAGCCCTGCACGTGCACAGACACACACGTGCTCCCGGCACCCCCACCCTGTGGCTCTTTACCCCAACAACCCCACACCTTTTGCAAATTCACAAGGCAATTCCTTCCTTGGCTCCAGGACCCCCTTAACAGAATGGATTCTTTATTCCAAAGTAGGAATAGAAAGGGCCTTGGGTATAGTTAACTTGAGTGAGAGAAGCCACCAGGAAGGGGTGCATTTTTGTATGGGAGAGTGGGTGGGCGGCTTGTGTGGTTTGCAGTATTTTAGTCCTTTCTCAAAGACTATACCATATGAACAATCTACTTCTCCACTTCAGGGGCTTCCCTAAATGAAGACTGTTGAAAGGAACATATAGGGAACACCCTTAACAAAATGTGTTTCCCTCACTTCACCTAAAGGCCTTTTGCTGCATTCAATTACTGTTCATTTTATATTGCTTATGTTAACCAATGTGTTGAAAAAGATCAGCAAAAATCTAAGACATTGTCACTTTAAGAATCTAGACTAAAACACCTTAAATGAACTCTGAAGCAGACAGATGAAAAAAAAAAAAAGCCCTTCTCTGGCCCTTGCTGCTTTTGCCATTATTCATGATGTAATTTTTCAGGTGTTAGTTTGGCAGAGAAAGATTGGAACAGAGCTTGTTGCTAGGACATGAATGAAGAAGAGGGATCCCATTGGTTCTTTGGGACTTGGCAGAAACCAATGGGAATGAAGGGGATGGAGGGGGGAAAAAAGCCACCAAAAGGAAAAAAAAAAAGACTCTCCCGGCTGGACTATTATTGCGTTTTCTATGTTAAAGTGGGGTATTGTAAATTTATGGGAGGTTTCGTTGGTCTATTTTTTTAAGGTGTAGGTGGGTAGTGGTGCTCGATGGACCAAGGCTGAGAATGAGCAATTAAGAGGCAGCTTTGTTCAGACTGTCCTGGGTTTCACTAATAGCTCACTGTTACTGGCAGTCTGGAGAGGTATGCAAACGAGGCCGGGTACATTTCACACCCTCGCCATGCTGCCACACACCGTTTGGGGAATACAAGTATACTAGAGCTGGAGGCAGGGATGAGGGTGGAGGGGCACTGGGATGCTTCCTCCAGCCTCGAGATTAGGTGAACCCCAAACAACCTTTTACAATGTAAGTGAAACTGCTCTGTGTGTGGAAACGAGGGGCCCAACGTGTTCCCTGCCCAACGCTTCTGAGCCGCCTCCCAATACGCTGCCCTAAGCATTTCACTGAGTCAGGGCAAGATGTGGCCCAGCGAAACCTCTAGTTCTGATAACAAGCATGTGGGCTCATGTGTTATCAGTGCAGCAGAGAATGTCACTGGGACTTCCAGACGGAGGCTATAAAACGTTCCCCCACTTAAGCCGTTTGCGTTTCAGCCTCCCAGCTAGCAAAGTAAGCAGTTCTGTGTGCCAGTCATGCTTAGCTGCTTGATTCTAGGCAGAGCCTTGCAAATCTGGGCAGGAAGAGAAATATCGATCTCCACAGGTCCCCCTCATCTCCTCCATTGACTGTGTAGACTTGACAATCATTGCGGGGCCTCCGTTGCTATATTCCATTGTCTGGGCTCCGGCTGTAACCCACATCTTTTCTTTAATACATGGGCAGGGTTTGGGCTGAGTGACTTGAAACACACACACATAATAAATTGACTTCTATTGGGTTATAGACCTGGCCAGTTTATTTACACCCTGGAGGGGGCTCAACCTCTGCCAGATTCCTAACATCAGAGATTTTGTGGCTGGAGTCCAGCAACATAAAAGGATTTCTTTTTGTAATCGGAGCACTTCCTAAGACCACAGGCAGTTTCAACCAATTAACATCTCTGATTGCAATAGAAACATTTTAGGAGACTCACAAGGACTAGGAAGGTTTTCATTCACAAGCCTTTATTGAATCCATAGCATCCAGGAATTGATCTGATTATTGATTTATGATGATCATCCAGGAATTGATCTGATTATTGATTTATTTCTTGCTGATTTCTGTGACTTCTCAGGTTGTTGGCGATTTGGGAAAAAGGAGGGTGGGGTGTGGGCAGAAAACGGGAAGAAATGAAACAAAAAGGGAATTGTTTTTAATAGGCCTGTCTTGTTCTTTCAGCCAAACGAATCCCACGCACTGTTCATGTCCACCCCTCAGCATTGATAGAAAACATAGCTCCAAGTACAGAGCTTAATTGCACTCTTCAGGTGACAGGTAGCTTGTGTGCCTCAGTTCAAAGCCAAAGTCCGGGTTGAAGAAATCTGATTTCAGACAGTCAGCATTTTAAAATAAAAGCATTCACCCTGAGCCCCAAATGGGAGGTCTCTCTGCAGCTTTTTCATTTGTTTTTAACTCAGACTGCTTAACAAAGCTGTCTCACCCAAACTAAGCAGAGCCTTCAGAGCCTGGTGCCAGGGAGGGTAAACTGTACAGGAATGAGGTTGCAGGCAGCCTCCACTGGGGAGTGGGGAGCTGAGCAGCCACCAAGGGGGACAAACAGGTCCCCGGAAAGAAGAAGGAAGGTGGCAAGGCGTCTCTTTCCCTATATCTCAATGTATTAATGAGTTATTTATTAATTAGGAACCTTTCTATATTTACTGAGGAAAATGTGTGAAAATCATAAGATCTGAGCTCTCCCTTTCATGGAAAAAAAAAAAAAAAAAAAAAGACAAAAAAGACTATCAGACCAGTTGAAGAAGCAATACTAGAGCTCTGTCATTTAAGCAAAAGGGATTGTATTCAAAGCCAGGCTCTAACTTGAAGCCTCCAAATATCCAACTTATGTATTATTAACTGCATAAAAGCGTTGTCATTCCTGGGTGCAAGAAATTAACAAGGGCCCCACAAGTTAAGAGAGCTGCTTAGTGACACCCGATCAACCTGGGTCAGGAACCAGAAAGGAGAAAGGAACACCTCCCACTTGGATCAGAAAGGACCCTCCACCCACGAACAGACTTTAGAAATGAGCACATTTTCATTGCCACTGCGTGACCTATAAGCTAATTATGTTTTCCTGCAAGGGAAGCAAATTATATTGATTGTACAATAAAAGCTATTGTCATTCCCAGTATATTCATCATGACTCAGAAAGATGCAAAAATATTGACTTGCTCTAAATAGCATTTTACTTTTGTCTCCAGACAACAGTTTTTAAGGCATAGCATGACTAGAGATGATTTTGTTAACCAGTCATGGGGAGTGAAAGGGACGGAGGAGAAAGCAGTTTATGGGCATAACCTCGTCCACCATTTGTGAATGACAGAGAACTCTAAGGAAAAGCATACACATTTCCAAGTTCATGAAAGAGTTAACCTTGGTTATTACATATATATTTTTTAAATTCCCTAAAACTCCCAATAGTATGCACCGTAACAAGAAAATAACGAAGCCCACTGACATCTTTGAAAAGAAGGTGATTAATTAAAGTAATTAGGCTGCACTGAATTATTAAAATATGAAGTCTTCTGCAGGGACGACAAAAAAAGGCAGAACATTTTTGCAGTTCAAAAATTAAAACCATATTCTGGTTCATTAGCTGAGACGGGAACTCACACGCTTTAGCCTACAATCTTATTCACAGATGCGTAAGTGTCTAATATTTCACACCTTTGTAATGGCCTTTGTAAAAATTTAAAAAAAGAAAATACAACAACCTGACTTTAATTATTTTATTGCTTGTAGAAAAGAGGCGATCTTTTGAAAGAATGGCAATGAGCCTTTCGGGTTTGCTTTGAAAATGCCCCAGGCTTTGAAATGCCAGGTGTGTTGGGGCCGTGACTAGGCTCAGGCTGGGGACAGTGAAGGGCAAGGAGACACCTCTTAACACATTTCTTGGCTGTGTCTTCAAAGTGGTCCATGTCTCTTTCCCTCTGACTCAATCAAACCGAACTCCTTAGTGTGACTTTAAAATCCCTTACCACGTTGCTTTGCCCTACCTGTCCCCATTCTATGAAACCTACGCCCAACGTAGTCAAACAAATCTCACTATCTTGCTCCAATCCACATGTATTTCTTCTACCTCCTCAGCGGGCTTGTCCCTTGCCTGGAAAGTCCTTTATTTCTCTCTGATATGATCATAGCATCCCCATCACTCAGAATCCAGCTCAAGTCCCCTTCTCCTCTTCTCCCATGTCTTCACACTTTAGGGACCTGGGCCATTTATGATTTAATTACGAATCTGATCATGTCACTCTCCTCCTTTGAAGCCTTCCATGGTGCACCCTGCCTTCAGAGTAAATGTTCGGGTGCCTTAGGCTGGTGTTCATTGCCCTCTGGAATCTGGACCTTACCTGTAACAGCACCCACTCTGGAGTCAGATGGCCTCAGGGACAAGCTTAGCTCTGCCTTATAGTACTACTCTGGACTTGGGCAAATTAACTTAAATAATACTTAAAATCTTTGGGCCCCAGTTTCGACAAAGGACTATTGAGATGACTAAATGAGTTACTATACGTGAAGCACTTAAAACCGGGCCTAGCACATACTTGGCACTCAGTTATCATTGTCCTTCATATCCTTCCTCCTCATCTCAGATCCTGCCCTCAAGCAAACTATTTGCTGTTCTATGTTGCTTTTCTACCAGCATGCCTTTGTTCAAAGACTCTATCAAAACCTACCAATCCTTCAGGCTGTAATGCCATGTTCTCCAAAATCCTGTCCTGGATTCAGTCCCACCAATCTGTCCAGTCTCTCAACTAACTCAGCACTTTATCTGTATCTCTCTGATGGTGCTTAGCACCATCTGTTTTGTGTCATAGTTTTGAACAGGAATTGAGGGTAGGGACTATATCTATCTTTATATCCACTCCCACGTGTCACAGAAACTGTTAGTGTTCATCAAATATTTCATGTATGCTATATTAAAGTTCAGCCACAATATGGGGAGCTCCCATCTGTATGGGTCCCTGAGTGACTATGTGGAGCAGACAATTCCTTACACCCTTGTTGGATGTATTATCTGAGCAAAATTAACCCTTTGTTGTGTTAAAGCTTTAAAATCTGGGGACTGCTGTTACTTCAGCACAGCTTAGCTTATCCTGCCTATTTTGACACCCTACATTTTCGACACCTGATATAGGAAATTTAGCACATAGCAAGTATTTAATATTCAAATGCCAAATACATCATATACAGAACTACCTTTTTTTTTTTTTTTTTTGAGATGGAGTCTTGCTCTGTCACCCAGGCTGGAGTGCAGTGGCACAATCTCAGCTCACTGCAACCTCCACCTCCCTGGTTCAAACAATTCCCCTGTCTCAGCCTCCTGAGTAGCTGAGATTACAGGTGCACGCCACCACATCCGGCTAATTTTTTTGCATTTTTAGTAGAGACGGGTTTTCATCGTGTTGGCCAGACTGGTCTCAAACTCCTGATCTCAGTCAATCTGCCCGCCTCGGCCTATCAAAGTGCATGGCATGAGCCACCATGCTTGGCCCAGAATTACTCTTTTTTATGAACCTGTCTAATCGTTTAGGTAGTTCAGTCCAACTTTAAGCATTTTGTTTTGACTCCTTACCTAGAATGCACACCCTTCGTGGGTTTTCTCTGTTGTCCAAAGCACCTAGCATAGTACTGGACATGTGCTTAGTAAGACCTGTTGATTAATGGGTCAGCCTCAGTCCACCAGTTCACCAGAAGTCAACTCCAACTGAGACTACAAATTGGTAGTAAAGGCTCTGATGATAGCTGATTCCTCTGGAGCTACTTCTGGCTCCACACTCTATCAGGGTATAGTGGGATGATGGCCATGCAGTGAGGTAGCTGTTCCAGCTCCAGAGACGACAACTCTTTGGTGGACATAGAGGACAAAAAAGATCAAACTGGTTTTCAGTATTTTTTTTTACCCATACCATATTAGTCAAGATTTTGCTAGAATTTTGCTAGATAGTTTATATTATAAACATTCATTTTCTAAGCAGGAATGTATAATGAATATATTTTTCTGAAAAACACTAGATTTTTTTTTTCCTCCTTTGCCCACTCTGGAGATTCTGATATCCACCAGATGGGTGGATATCGAGTTGAAGCCCTGTTCACAGTGCAGCTTTCTACCATCTTCATCCAAGATGGATGAGCCAGGTAATACATATGATGCCTCCCACCCTCAAAGAACTTCTCCCTGTGGTGGGAATCTGAAGACCCAGGTTCAAGTCCCAGATCTACCTAATGGATAGCTCATTCCTTCTACATCTCAGTTGCCATCTATAAAAAGGTAAAAGGTGAGGAGGAGCAAGCTATTCCACTCTCCTTCCTTTCCCTGTAGGATTATTCTAGTAAAGATTAAATAAGATACAATGGGAAGTTCTTGGAAATAAAAAGACATGAACATTTTCCTTTGGGCTTTTAAATAAAATCCCCTGTCCCCTAGAATGCTCACATGCACTTACCTGTTGGTGGCTGTCACAAGCATCTGGGGCATATGAGATAGTTTATATAATCCAATCCACCTTCAAGCATCTTATTTTGACTATTTACCTAGAATGCACACCCTTCATTGGTTTTCTCTGTTGTCCAAAGGACCTAGCATAGGAGCTCTTATCTGAGCACCTGATGAGAAGACGACACTCAGAAATCTCGGTATCATGCTCACCTTCACTGTCAGGGTCATCAAAGTTGACACAGAGGGAAAGATTAAAATATCTATAGAATAAAAGCAACTCAATTCAGAAGAAGGGTAAATTTTGGAGTTTCTCTACTGACTGGAGTTTAAGAAAAAAGCTAAGAGGGTTAAGAGGAGGCAAATTTCGTCAGTTCAGCTGGAGAAAGCTCTCCATTCTGAGGTCATGCTCTGAACCAAGATGCCGTCAATCCAAGGTCACCCACCCTCAAAAAGGAAAAACACTGAAATTCTTTTAGAGCAGGGAGAGTTCAAGAATAGGCACTATCTGGGCTGAGATGAACTGACTGAGGTAGGCTCTTTTCCAGGATGTCAGAACATTGTACAAAGAGAGCATCCAGGGATTCAGGTAATTACCGTCACCCTGACTTGGAAAGTCCACCAATGATAGACTATGCCACGGGTCCCAGCATCTCTGAACTGCCCTCTTAATTGGTTTTATCCTGTGCCAGTTACTCTCAAAGGCTCTAAATGCCAGTTTGCCCTGTGGGGCATTGCCCCTGAGTGGACAGAACTAGCTCAGAGCTGCCAGGGCCACCTGGATGTCAGGCTGCTCTGAACCACTACATGGGTAAGGCAGGATATCCCAAAAGGAAAGGGCTGGCTGAAGGCGACCAAAGGAAATCTCAGCCAGGAAAGATAGGCTTTGTCAGGTCACTGCTTAAAATGCAACAGGGAAGCAAAGCTGGTCTCTTGAGCCAGGTGGGAGCCAAGGCTGGTAATTAAGAGGTAAGAGACACTGGAGCCAGCGGGCTGGGAATTAACTAAGCAGATGGTGGAGGTGGAAGTGCAGTTGCTCCCCAGCCAAGTTCCCTTGTGCACAAATGACATTGTTGGGTACGTGTCCTACCAAGGGCTCCAGCTCTTTGACACAGCAGTGCGACTGTCCTGCCTCCTGCTACATGGAGACACATTATACCATACCAGCTCCTACACTGTTCCGAAAGCATGCTAAAACAATGCTATCTCAGCCCCCGAAGCCTCAGCTTTAAGGGTATTTTATTCTCCTGCTTGGCCTTTGAGATTCCTTCCTTCCTTCCTTCCTTCCTTCCTTCCTTCTTTCTTTCTTTCTTTCTTTTTCTTTCCTTCTTTCAATTCATTAGACAATGAGCAAGCACCAATTATGTGCCCGGCTTTGTGCTGTGCCCTGCCGATTCTAAGATAAATGTGATTCCTGTACAGTCTGAACTTGAGCTGGACTTGGAAAATGGGTCTAGTCAGTGAGACAGACAAGTAAATATGTGCATGAAGGTGACATCGTTTCTAGGAGTGAAACTTTACATGGCTGACCAGTGCTCCCTTAACACTGTCTGCTCTGGGCTTCAAGGATAGCACAGTCACCTGGTTTTCCTCCTAACTTAGTGACGCCTCCGTCTCAGCCTGCTTTGCTGGATCTTGTTCCTTCATGTCTCAGAAAGTCCTGTGGCTTATTCCCTGGTCCTCTCTTCCCCTGAGTGACATCCAACACAGTGACTTTAAGGACCATCTATGTGCTGACAATTTTCAAATTTATAGTTCCAGCCCAGTTCTCTTCTGAGCTCAGTTCCCTACATCCAACTTCTCTCTGACATCTATGTTTGGATACCTAATAGACATCTCAAGCTTATTTACTGTTTACATGTTGACTTTCCTCTTCTTCAGGTCTGCTCCCACATCCACCAGCAAATCCTCACTCCCTCAGTACATGGCAGGACACCCATCCAATCACTCAAAGAGAAAATCCAAGATAAAGAAAATCAATCAATAAATCAATAAGTCCAAAACAAAATCCAGCATCTGCTACTTCTCACCATCTCTTATGCCCTAACTCTCACAGCAGTTGTGGACCTTATCCCCAAAATATGCATATATGCAACATTTTCCATATCATTTCAGAGGTTTCATGGACTCATTCACACACTGCTGGGGGAGAGGCTTGTCAGTAGATTTCAGGTTAAGAACCCAGGTCACACTGGCTGCTACAGATGAGTGTTTATATCTGTTTAGCAGTTTTAGATGTTAAGCTACTTAGGGACAGGGACCCTTCGTGTATTTATCTCAACAGAGCACCTGGCACTGTGCCTCATACAGCTAATCCTTTAATTAATTCTTTTTGAATATAATATGGAGAAGAAAATTAATCATTCATCCAATAAACGTTTATTGAACATATACCATGTGCAGTGACCTGTGCTGGTTGTCATGGAAAATACAAAGATTTACACAAAACGTAGAAGGAAAATCAGCCAACAACACAAGGAATGGCATGAACAGGAAGGGAGTACAGGATAGAATGGGACAAGGTAGGCTTGTTAAAGAATAAGGCAACTCAGCATGGCTAGAACAGAGGGTGTGGAGAGGGCTTGCTGGAGCCAAGGTTAGGAGGTGATGGGCAGTGGAAGCAACTCTCAAGCAATATTTTCCTGTGGCTGAGTTGGCAGGAGGATCATTTGACAATGTTCAAAATACATTGACTCTGAAAGGTGGTGGGCAGCCTCCTTTATTTTCCTGTTTTCATGCTGGAAGATGGAAAATGGGTTGGATCACACTCTTCAGAGGACACTGGGGTATCCAGGTACTTACAGAGGGCACTGGGGCATTGGGTGCTTAATTGTACGATGTATTTTTGAGTGTTTTACAGGCGCATGTAAATTAATTTCAAACTTATCACTCCCTTTTAAATAGGGGTGCCTGAACTCCACTATATAAAGACTGCTAACATTTTCTTTTAGCCTCTCTGAAAACCCTGATTGTCAACATCTGTCTCTCTATCAACGGGTCTTCATCCAGTGCCCCCAGTTCCAACTCTCTGTTCTGATGGCTGTGGATTCCCCACCAAAGTCAAGTGAAGAGGAACGTCCCAAAATAATGGAAGTACCATTTGTAGCACTCTTATCACCAGTCCTCTGAATGGCAGGCAGAGGGTGACTGTGTCTGAAGCCAGGGAATTTAGAAATAATCATATTTAGAAATAATATTTCTAAGGGAATGAGCTTTGAAAAATTGAATTCAGAGCCGGACTATTCTTTTGCATACCAGCTTTTATTCAAGATTCTCAACTGAATATAATCACCACTCATATTCCTATTTCCTGGGGTCTCCTTCCTCTACACCCAATTTATCTAACAAAATCTGAAAGAGGAAATCAGTTCTGTGGTCCTACAAGAAGTTGGGGTAGAGATGGCTATAGATCTAGACAGCCTTGAGGAAAGGATCAATGTCTAGTTCATAATATGACGGCCCTACAGCACCTGGTGTGACATCTTATTCCTGAGAGCGCCTCAACAACAAATAATCACTGAATTTCACTGAGCCTAGCTGAATCAAAATAGCCCCATGAATACTGCTCAGCAGAGAGTGTGGTAGGTGATTCCTTGGTCACAGGTTTCATCATTAGTAGAGAGAGAATCCCGGTGCTCCTAGTTTGAGAAGGTGGAATCAAGAGATGACAAGACCTCTCTATCACAACGTCCAGTCCCTAAGCCCAATCAGCTTTCCAGGTATCCATTCCCGGGCAGTGGAATCAATCACCCAAGCCATTGTCAGTTGTCCTGCATGGGATTTAAGCTATTGTTGGATCCAGTATGAAACTTTTATTTTTCTATAAGAACCACATAAACATGGTCAGCTTGGTTCTGAATCATGAAATCAACTGGAAACTTGTTTCTTATCCTTTACAGATAGGGGCCTGGGGGTGAGGGGCAGGGACAGAGAGAATATTTTGAAAACAGTCATTAAGGAAACACTGCCAGGACAAATTACACAAGCCAACACAATTACTCACCATCTGTTACATGGACAAAGGATGGTTATTTAGTGATCAGAACAGATCCCTTGGTTCCCGGCCTGAGCTCTTCATGAAGTTGGTGCCTTTGTCTCTCAGCACACAATTTACTGGTGTGTCAAACAGAGGTGAAACGGCCATACTCTTGCGGATGTGATGACAAAGTTTTTCCATACAGATTGAGCAGGAATGTGACGCTAGCAGTCTTTAATTTAATTAGTCTTTGCTACATTTTGGGTGGAATTGCTGGTGAAAAGGGCCACATAGAGGAGCAAAGTCTTGTTACTATAATTTATGACTCAACTCTTTTCCCAAGCTCTGTGTTGATACATTTTGCAATCCTGTGTGATTTCCACAGCAGAGTTCATCTCTTCTACATGCATTGGAAAAACAGCTTCCCAGAGGAACACCACTAGAGGCTCTCACTGTCTTAGGGAGCCATACTTAATGCATTAATACAAGTGCACACAGAAATGAAACTTCAATAAGGGAGACTCTCCGTGACCTATTTATGGCTGTCGGTTTCTAAACACATAATCAATTCTTAATTATGCATTCAGATAAAGGACAAATGATGTAGGAATCTAAATGGATGTCAATGAAAAGATACGTCTCCTTCCATCCATTCATTTATCCACTCATTCTTGCAATAAGCATTTATTGAGCACCTGCTAAGTATCAGGAAGTATGCTAAGTTCTGGTGATTCAAAGCTGACTAAGATATAAGATTGTCCTTTAAGGACTCATGGTATAGCAGAGAAAACAGGCAAAAAAAAAAAAAATCACAATACAAGATGATAGGGACTGTAGCAATAAAGGTATACAAAATTTCCCTGAGAACATGGAGGAAGAAATGCTCTTATTTCCATGCTGGTGAAGTCCCACTGACAACCCAGCTGATGTGGGGCCCTGGCATAAGCTGGGCAGCAGCCAGGCCTCTTTCCTGCAAGCTCTCGATCCATGGAGCTGGCAAACCAAGGTAACATGAAGATATCAAAAAACCATGTGACCACTGGCTGGTTATCCCAGCAAGCAGACACTGAAGCAAGTAAGTGTGCGGAGCTGAGTTGTGGAGCCAAAGGACTGGTGATCCAAAAAGGATAAGAATAAGAAGCAGTGGGCCAGGCGCGGTGGCTCACGGCTGTAATCCCAGAACTTTGGGAGGCCGAGGTGGGCGGATCACTTGAGGTCAGGAGTTCGAGACCAGCCTGGCCAACAGGGTGAAACCCCATTTCTACTAAAAATACACATACACACACACACACAAAAGGCAAGGTGATGGACGCCTATAATGCCAGCTACTTGGGAGGCTGAGACAGGAGAATCACTTGAACCCAGGAAGCGGAGGTTGCAGTGATGCCAAGATCATGCCACTGCACTCCAGCCTGGGTGACAGAGCAAGACTCCATCTCAAAAAAAAAAAAAAAAAAAAAAGAATAAGAACCAGTGAGTGCATTCTAGAGAAAGCAGGCAGAACTGGCTCTTGTCAAGACTGACCTTACCTGCTCCTGGTGACATCGCGATGAGTGTGAATGGACTTCAGAAACAGAAAGAGAAAAGGCCAGAGTGACTAGTTCTATCTGCAGAGGTTGGGTAAAACTTTAGAGAGGAATCTTATGTGCTAGTTTTGAAGAATGGGCAGGAGTTTGCCACAGAAAATTCATTAGTTAGACAACCAAGTGTTGATGGTTATACTGCAGCTACTTGTGGGTGCAGCATGAAATACATGTTTGGTTTATCTCTTCTTGAGGTCAGAGTTTTAATTGCTTGTATAGCTTTTGAGGCACCCATTGTCAGACACCAAGCAATATTTATACCCCGTTACATCCCTCCCCATACCTACTACCTTCCAGTCACATAGAGTAATCTCTGTGCCCTAAACAACTTCAGGCTCTGTAACTTTGCTTCCATTGTCCCCTCAGCCTAAAATCACCCCCCCCCCCCGAACCTTGCCCTTTTCCTGTTGAAACTGTACACACCTTTCTATACCTAATTCAAATACTGCCCCATTAAGAAGCCTTCCCTTACCCCCATCAAAGCCCTAGGAAAAATTAACAACTCTCCATTTTGGTCTTCCAAGATCTACCACTTATACCTCCTCTGGCCATGTATTCTATTCTGCCTTGGATTAAATATAGTGATTCACATGTCTGTTTGCCTTTGATAAGCAGTAAAGGGTAAATAAATGGGAAATGGAAGCCCCCTGTGGACAGGGGCACTCCCTTTTGGTCATGACTTTTTATTTCGAAAACTCATCTCCAGAAAAGTTGAGTTAGTCAATGAGCACTTGATACTCCCCATCCTTGATTCATCAATCATCAGCATCTGGTACATTTGCTTTTTTTTCTGAATCATTTGAAGGAACGTTGCAAACATCATGACACTGATCCTTAAGTACTTCAGCATGTAAAATGTCTCATGTAAAACCACAATGCTATTATCAAATCTAAAAAATGTGTCAATAATCCCATTACGAGATCTATATTCAGATTTCCACAGGTCTCTCAAAAATGTCTTCTCTGGCTTTTTTCTTCTTCTTGGATCTAGGATCCAATCAAGGTCACATACTGTATTTAGTTATAATGCCTCTGTAGCCTCTTAATCTAGAAGAGTCATTCCTAGAAATAAACATTCTTCCCCATCCTTTTTTTTAAGCAGAGTTGGTACTTAACAAATGTTTATAAGATGGAATAAATGGGTGGATGGACAAACAAGCCCCAATGATGCAAGATCCCTGGGCAGTTCCTCTAAGAAAAGAAAGAATTCTAGAGAAGGGACTTACATTAAGTGTCCTTTGTGAAGTCACCAGGCACTGGGTAGGGAACCAAGTCGTTGTTTTTGTGTGGCTGCTCATGTTCTGACCTCCATGTTTAAAAATCATGAGTTAGTCCTAAGGTCACTGGGGAAATGCCTCAAGAGTAATTGACTTAGAGAGAGAAGAGAATCCAGAGCCTCACATCTGACCGACAAAAGGAAGGTCCCAGAGATGAGGAACTCGTTGTCCCATGGAATGTCAGAGCTGGGAGAGACCTCAGAGATCATGTCCAACTTCCTGGCTTTTTTCCAGAGGAAAAAACTTGGGCCCATAGTGATACAATGGCTTGTCCAAGGTCACACAGGACACCGTTGCCTGACTCCCTGTCCAGCTTCCTTTCCACTTTACCTGGTGACCACAATGTCTGGGCTCTTTTTCTCCCTTGTTCCCAATGAGTTATGGTAATATGGTAACTTCCTCAACCTTCAAGCATCAAAGATCTCAAAATATTCAAGTCAAACCAATTCTCAGAAACATAGGGTTAAGCCAGTGACTGCTTCCTTGCCCACAGAGGACAGACGTATTTCTGAGGGTGTTTGTTACCTCCAGCAGGTGACGACTAACAAGAAAACAGCACCTTGAGCAGCCCCAGGGGAAGAGAGGTGAGATTAAAGCAGTGATGTCACCAAGGGCTGGGAAGTGGGTGCCTCCATGTTCACTTTGCCTCTGCCATCTACTTTGGCCCAAACACGGCACTAAACTTTTCTAGGGCCCAGGAGCCTCATCCCTAAAAACAAATCATTGCAAAGCAGTTATCACCATGATGGCCATCTGCAGGTATGAATCCCTTTTGGGAACATAAGTGATAAATAAGGGAAATCAGGGTTGGCGGGGGTTAGATTTTCATTTCTAAAGGTCTCAGTATAAGCCTTTATTTAAAGCTACAAAGTTGAAAATTCCCCAGTAAGTACTGTTCTCTCTCGGTATTTGTGGGGAATTGGTTCCAGGACCCTCGCAGATACCAAAATTCATGGATGCTAAAGTCTCTTTAGATGAAATGGTGTAGGATTTGCATAAAACCTACACACATCCTTCTACATACTTTAAATCATCTCTAGATTACTTATAATACCTAATACAATGTAAATGCTATGTGAATAGTTGATATACTGTATTGTTTAGAGAATAATGACAAGAAACAAAGTCTACATGTTCAGTACAGACACAGCCATCCATATATACATACATATATATATATATATATATATATATTTTTTTTTTTTAATATTTTGTATCTGAGGCCAATTGAATCCATGGATGAAGGACCCATGGATACAGAGAGCCGACTGTAAGAGGAATTTCTTATAGGCAACAGCAACACACGTTGTGGCTGATAGAGGGTTTCATTAAACAGGGAAAAGAAGTGACTGGCTCTGTCATTAATGGGTTCAAAGATTGAGGAAAAGCCTCAATCATTGCTGAGGAGCAAGGAGGTCTTATACAGAAATTCCATACTTGGACTTGAATTTGTGTGACCTTGGCTGAGCCGCTTAACTCTTAGGAACCTCATCTGTAAATCAAGGGAATTTGGGTTAGAAATGCAGTGATTTTTAAATTTTGTTTTTTAGCTTCTAGCTGTACATTACAACCACCTGGGCAGGGAGTAAAATCATGACCCCTATCCCCAACCCCTTTTCATTGTGATTTCAGCAGCTCTGGGGGTAGGGTCCAGGCAATTCTTAAGTACGCAAGACTGAGAATTTCTGGATTATAGCATGTCCAAAAACTGATTCTCAGAAGGGAATAAAGTAAATGAAGCAATGGAAAGGAATACTGGAATTCCTTAGCCATTCTACGCACACAGGCCTCGAACCATTGTACTCACCTGAATGCCTAATTTGCCTATTTCCCTCCAAGGCCAAGTCCCCTCTAGGATCAGGGTGAGGCTCCCGCCAAGACAATCAGCACTTTCCCAACAATCTGCAGGGACACATGTAGTTTTCAGACTGAAAGGAGGATAGCAGGAAGTCTGGGTCCCTAAACACTCTGGAGGTATTGGAACAGATGTGTGGAGGTCCCACCATCTTTCCTACGCCTCCTCCACACAGTGGGGTGGCCCCTGCAGCAGGTAAGTGATGAGCGAGGCCCCAACCACATCTAACAAGATGGCCACTCTGTCTGCCTGGCTGGCTGATGCCAGCACCAGCCGCTAGCTCCCGACATGCAGGACTTAAAGCATCTGCCAGACTGGTGCCAGCTTTTGATCAGTACCATGTTGAGCCAGAGACCTGCAGGGAAACGGTCAGGCTCCCTGTAGTCGACTAGCAGGAATCTTACTGAAGAATTTGAGCACAGATTTAAAAGTGAGGTGCAGGCAGGGGGAAGGGGTGTGGGGGACTGCTTGACAGAGGCTGTCTTTTCAAGGCCAGGTTATTCCATCTCTGCTAAGGGAAGAGACACCCTTTCCTGGCTGGTGGTTGGAGCAGGATTTCTGGGCTCCCTTTGCACATTTTGCTGCTCTGCCCTGGGGGTCAGAGGGAGTCTTTTAGCCTCAGCTCATGCATCTGTAATACCCTGAGACCACCGGGATGGGTCCCTAGTCTCCCCCGTGTCCAGCTCCACGGTGTTGCAGTAAAACCACAGCAGGGCCGTTTACAAGACACTTGACGACTCCAGCCAGTCCACTCGCCAGAGGGCCTGCAGGAGGGCTCCTGTCTTCTAAACGAGTCCTCTGCGGCCTAGGCTGCTGTCCTTAGGAAACCCAGTCTACATCCTTGGCAGACATTCAGAGTGCCCCTAAAAGCTGTGTGCTAAGATGGGGAGCCCCCTCCTCCACTGCCCCCTTCCTGGGACACCAAGCCAAGTGTTAAGCAGAGGCCCAGCCCCAGAAACAACGCGTTTTGTGTCTGACAATAGCAGCCTACGTGACTTGAAGGACTCTGCTGTTGGTAAACCAAATGCACGCCAGTTTTGCTTATTTGCTCTAACCTTCAAAGAACCTAGAGGTCCCTTTCTAGTTCAACAAATAAATCCAGTTCCACTCTAGCGGGCCTCCTGGACAAAGTTCCATTGTTACGCCTTCCCTGAATGTCCACTGCTCGCTCCCTCTCAGGCACCCTAGCCCCACGCCTGTTCACCCTTCTTTCGTTTTGGGATAAATCAGCCTCCTTTTTTTGTTTTGTTTTGTTTTGCTTTAATTCTTTCAAAGGGTAAGGAATGTTGACACCCCCGAAACATGCCTCTGATGTCTGGGTAGACTTCAGACGGCTGTATTTGAACGTGCGCTGACGCAGTCGGGCAGATTGGGTTAAACCAAATATTACAATTGCAAGAACTCATCTGGAACTAATAATTTTGAGGCCACCGAAAGTAAAAGGGCCCTGCTTTGGGGCTGGCCAGCGGCAGAGGCCAGCTCGGGCCAATGCTGCCACCTGCCGAGGGCGCCGGGAACAGGGTGCGCCGCCGCGGCCTTCCTGTTTTGCTCTGGCCCCGCTCACCGGCTCCCACGCAGACAGGTTCGCCAGCCAGCCAGACCAGGGCTATTTTAAAAGGCTAGCGCCTCTTCCCAGCCCTTGGTGTAAAGATAGCTAGTCTGGCTGTCCCGTGTCTTCGCTGAAAAAAAGACAACTTCCCAATTATAGAGCCGGGGCTGGCTACAAAGGCAGTTGCAGTTGGAGTCCGATTAAACACGTGCCGGGTGGATTACACAGATCATGTGTCAGTGGCTCGCCTAGGAGGAAGGCTCGTTTAAGTTCAGGATTTTTATTTTGCGGGGGATGATGGGGACGTACAACTCTGGGTTATGTCGGCGCATTGCTGAACTGCGAGTCACATGCCAGATCCAGAAATGATGAAAACATCTGTTTTTGCTTTAGACCAGCGAGGCTCTGGCGGTGGGGAGGGGCGCGAGAGGGACGGGAATGGCTTTGCTCACCAGCACCATCTGCTGAGCCTGCTGTGGAAACGCGTGCGTCCCCAGCACAATGCAGGTTGCCACTCGCCCCGGGAAGGGGGAGATCAACAGGTGGGGGTCTCTGCCCGGGCGATCACTCTCCATGGAGGACAGCCCCGATTGTGCCCTGGGGACTGTGCAATCCCGTATTGTCTCGGAGTGTTCACAACAAAGAGCTTTGTCCCTGAGGACTGCCCGAGGGCAGAGGAGGAGGAGAGAGAAGCAGCAAATGAATTCCCAGGTTGGGAAGGAAGGAGGTAAAGGGGGAGGGGAGTAGCTCCTTAGTGGTTTGCAGACAGTAAAAATTTGCTGTTCTTTCTGGCTGAAATCTACCAGAACAAAGGAACCACGTCTCTATGAAAACTCCCAGCTGCACTTCCCCCCACCGTCCCTCTTGCCTGCGATGGTAGCTTTTGCTCGGCATGTCTGAGAATGTTCCAGTATTCACAGAGACCTTTCTGGTCTCTATGACCAAAGTATTCACAGAGACCTTTCTGGTCAGGCAGGGCTTGACCAGCCCTTCAACGTGCAATCCTCCCAGCTTCAAGAACCCAGCAATGGGATGGTTCTGAATCGGAGCCATACTGACAGCCAAGCCAACGGCATTCTTTCGATGTACAGCAAATATTTACTGCCTGCCTGCTAGGTGCCCGGAACTCACTCAGCATAACTATTTGTCATACAGCTTAAAAAACAATACAAATATGTCAGAGAAAAATGTATGTTTAGTGTCAAGTGCGTGTTTGAGACAATGACAGCTCTGAGTTGAGAAGCAAGGCGAGGATTGCAGACCTCGAATCTACCTTTCCTCAGTATTTGGGGGCAGTTCTGAGAAGAAGCTGGATTCCTCCAGCTTGTGTTTTGGGTTGTGTAGTCAAATCCCCTGAGTAACTGATTTTAATCAACCTGCTTCAGCTCTGACCTCCAGCCCTCTGGCGTTAAAGATAAATCCTCTACAGTTCCCATCCAAACGGCATCCATTACTCACAATCAGAATTGGGTGGGGACCTAGATTCCACTCCCAGGAATCTCCTCTGGGCCAGGTACAAAATTCTGAGCTACAACCAGATGAACAGTACTTCCCAACAACACACAGAGAGGTTAATCCAAGGGAGAAAAACCTGGGTCAAATGAAAAGATCGAGGCTTGCAGACCTCATTAAGCACAGTGCCTCCCTTTACACGCAGCTACCAAACACACCCTCAGCTCTCTGCTGCCCACAGCTGAGGTTCCCAGAAGAGCAAATGCTGCTGATCCGGACCGAAGTTAGTCTCTTCCGTAGGCTCATTTTTGCCCACTTACCTATAAACTCCCAAGTTCAAAAAGGAAACGGATCCTCTCCATTCCATCCCTTCTTCCATTTCACTCCCAAATAAGTATAGAAAGAGCTGCCATTTGCGTGGGAATGGGAACTTTACGCTAAGGGATGAGTCGGAAAAAAGCCTCCTTCCCATTTTACAGCTGGACAAAAAATGTAAGAACCATCCCGATCCTCACAGAGCTTGCCACCAGCTATATCCCCAGTGGCCACATCCGTTCCCACAGGACTCACGTTCTCAAATTATGAGGGCGCAAACAAATCCCCAAAGCCATCTACAAGTCCGTTGGTCAGTCACCTGCTCCGCTCTGATGTTGAAAGATTACTAGTTCAGGGGAGCCATGCGAATCAACACAATCAACTTCACTTTTTGTTTCAGGCCTCAGAAGATTAGAACATGAGACAGCACTTTAATCTGGTTTGGTATTGGGCTGATGTGGAGAGTTCTGATGAATTTTCTTTGTTTTATAAACTGAGGAAACCTTGTCACTGACCCGTATTTCTTTTCTGGACTCTTCTTGACAGTTTTCCTCATTTCTATCTGGTTTTGCAACAGGTCTGTGTTTGAATCTATTGAGGGCTGAAATTTTTCATGCTGCATTGACAACTGTGAGCCCAGAATTTAGGGTGTTTTGTCAACATTCGGCAAAATAAAATCTCTGAACTAGGCTCCAGCAAGAGGGTAGAAAAACTGCAGATGAAAAAATATGTGGCATGAAAATAAACTTTGGTGATTTTGTGCTTTACTAGGCTTAGGATGCCAACCTCCCAACTATTTTTCCAGGCCTATATAAGACTCTCTTTTTCCTCATTATAAAAAATAATTTCTGTTGCCCCACTTCACGCCATACATCTTGGTGTGATTCTCTTCACACAGAGAAATAACCTTTGTTCAAAGCTCTGCTCTCCTAAGCTGCGCTAAATTCTGCAAGATCACTCTCCATATACAAGATTAGCACCTCCTTTCCAGCTCCAAATAGACTATAATCCAAAAGCTGCTCTTTTAAATAGAGGTTCCTTTTATGCTTAAATTCCTACATAAAAGAAACATCAATGCTACTGCTAGTCTCCCCAGTTAAATCCGATTTGCAAGAAATGCTGCAGGCTCAAAAATCTGGGTGTGAACTGAAGTCTGGGCTAAGGGAACGCATTTGGGATTCTCCAGTCATTCTCTATCTGGAGGGCCCTCCAGTGGCCAAAATAATACCTGATATAAACAAAGACCACCAAAGCAAGTGTTACAACAAAGGCAGAGGATGGACGCTGGCCTGCATTTAAAATGCTGCATGTGAGCCCCACATTTGCCCCTTAGAGGTGTGTCTCATTTAAAGAAAGCCAAGACAGAATCTCAGCTCACAAAACGAAGACATTATTTGCATTACAAAAGGACCCTTCACTTGATTAAAAAGAGGCAGGTTTGAACTCCATTAAACGACAACTCCCCCTAATTTCTTTAAGATTCTATTGAATTTGCAGGAAATAAAAAGACTGACATACAAATTTGCAGAATGCATGTGCAGCGTAAAACAAGGTACATTTGTAGTCACTCTGCACTACCTGACCTACCCCACCCACATCTCCACCTCTGAAAGCCTAATAAGCACTCTGACCATGAGACACGGGGGGAAAGTGCAGGTCAGAACCTGTGGAGGTAAGAGCTGAAGGCTCAGGGCAAGTTCAAGGTGCTCGGAGCCCAGAGCTGCCCTTCTGGAGGACTGTGAGGGAAGCAGCCATTTGTTCCAATACAATTTGCTCTGGACTTGAAGGATGCTGTTGGTTTTCCAGAAGGAAAGTTCTAGCTCTATTGTGTATTGTCATCTTATGACACGCAGGCATGCCTCACTTTCCACGGGTGTAAAATGAATGGGTGGACTACACAAGCCAGATACAAATTCTAGAACCTTGGACTCCCAGACGTCGTAATGATCTTTTTTCCCTCGGAAGCACTGGGCATGAAGTGGGGAGAAAGGGGGGAAGGAAACTTTCTCCCATTAAGTCCTTTAGGTCCTTCTGACTTCTGCTTCTGCACCTCACCCTGACTCCAGTCCCCCAACCAACCTGTGACCTGCAGCAGCACCAAATTTCAGCACCCCACCACAGACCACAGTCTTCACACAGCCACCCTCACCTCACTCCCTGCTAGGCAAACTCCTCCTCATTCCTCATGGCCCAAGTCAAATGCCAGTCCTACCCTTAATCATTACCAACTTCCCCAAACACTGGGCTGTTTTCTTCCCCGCTTTATGTCCCAACAGCACTGTGCACCTGCCTCGGTCCTGGCGCTTGGCCATGCTGGTCCTCTCCAGCTTGAGGACTACAGGGCAGTCGCTGCCTCCTTTGTAGCTACATCCCCAGGGCTTAGCATAGTGCTGGGGACATGAGGTGAGTAAATGGGGAATGAAAGCAAGGGATTCCTGAGAGCAGAGCTCCTTCCATTCCCTTGGGAGATGAGACAATGGTTGGGGTCAGCAATCCCTTCCCCAGGCCTGCTCTGACCCAGGGCCATAGGCTTCCACTGCCAGATGCTGGGAGAAACAGAACAATGGTCCCTCCCTTCTGCACAGTGTGGTGGTGGTGATGGAGGGATGTCTTGTCCTCCCCATTCCTCTCTTTCAATCAAGCACCCACCATCAGTCAGATCCCCCTTTGTGTTATAATGATCTGTGCTAGAGACTGAATATTTGTATCCCCCCAAAATTTATAGGTTGCAACCTGATCCCCATTGTGATGGTATAAGGAGGTGAGGCCTTTGGGAGGTGATTTGGTCAGGAGGGCAGAGCACTTATGAATGGGATTCATGTCTTTATCAAAGGGACCCCAGAGAGCTCCCTCACCCCTTTCTCCATGTGAGGACAGAGCAAGAAGTCTATGAACCAGGAAGTGGGCCCTTATCAGTCATCAAATCTGCAGGTGCCTTGATCTCAGACTTCCCAGCCACCAGAGCTGTGAGAAATACACTCCCCCTGTGAATCTGCCACCCATTCTGTGCTATTCTGTGACAGCCCCAAACAGATCACCTGGGTTCTTCTTGCACTTTCAACGAGGCAGGTTCTCAGTGCCGTGGAGACATAAAGCGGGGAAGAAAACAGCAAGTATCTGGAGCAGCAAGTGTCTGTCTGGAAACTGTGCTAGTGCTGGGCCCAGCCACATCTAGTTCAGGAGAAAGGACACATCTGAACAAGATGACGACGTTCTGAGGCAGGTGGGGGTGCAGGCGGCAGAGCAGTGAATTCTGAGGTGGCAGAAGCCACTGAGCACACAGGTACAGGCTGCAGGGCCGGCCTCCTGCTCTCCAGACACTCCTGCTTCCCCTCTGCCCACCAGACATGCCCCGGTCTTCCCCAGACTATGAGATCTTTCCCTTGATCTTTTTTTCACATTGAACCTACTCTCCCCTTTCTCTCTTTTTCAACATTTGTAGAGATAACTCTAAACTCATTTCTTCTCCCCACCTCTCAATCCCTGCTCATCCTCTGCTAGTCTGGTGTCGCTGCATAGTGTTCCAAAACCCGCTTTTTGAGGACACCAATGGTTTCTTTATCTGTCAAGGGCTGCAGGAAGGATGAAGGAGGGGCACTCTCACAGGCAACACTCATAGTCTTGGTTTCGATATGCATTATTATCTCATTATCTAATTTCATCCTCACTACAACACTGTGAGTCAGGTGCTAAACCACCCTTATTTACAACCAAGGAAACTGCAATGCAAAGGGTTAAGAAACCCAGAGTCACACAGCCCGAGTCCAGATCAAGCCCAGGCCATCCGAGCCCAGAGCCCAGACCGTTAACCACATGTGATTCTGCATGGAAAATGCAAAGAAGAGTTTCTGGAACAGAGGAGCTTCTCCACAGTCATCATCCCTGAACTCCCTGTGGTATTTGAGCCAGATCCTGCCTCATGAGCTCCCTGTGCCCCTTGACATCTGAATGCTCCTGATCTCCACCTACCTCTCTGGCCTCCCTAGCACAGCCTGTCCCAGGCTCCTAATGTTGGATGTTGGAAGAGTCCTGGAAGTGTTGCTTTGAGATCTCTTCTCATTCCTGACATCCTTCTCCCAACTTTTCTCTCTACCCTCCCTCTTACTGCCACGATTCAAGATATAAATCTCCGGCAAACATCTCCAGCCTAGCTCTGCACTCCAAAAAAAACTGTCTAAACTGTCCTCCCCAACCGCCCCTCCCATGCACAATTCTCCTTCGAACTCTATACCTCCCGCAGCCCCGGCCCCCCAGCACTGGTAGCACTGACCACCTTCAAACATATGATGTCACTTCGTAATCTCTTGTGTTTATTGTTTGTCTCCCTCTGCTTGAGGCCAAGTTCCTTGAAGACAGCGGTTTGTGTGTTTGTTCACTGTATTATCCCCAGCACCTGGAGTGTGCCTGGTACATAGTCACTCAGTAGATGTTTGCTCAATGAAAGAAGCCAGCTGTCAACCAGTCATGCTGCCTGGAAGTGCCACTAGCCCTTCAAACTCAACATTTCCAAAACAGAATTCACCACCTTTCCTAGCCCTTGTCCTCCTTCTGCCTCTCCTATCTGGGTTCATTCAGCCAGACCCTCAGTTTTACAGGCTGAGAATGTTGGAAGTGTCCTGAACCTCGCTCTGCCTTCATGCCCCTTCTTCTAGGGGCACACTGCTAGCTGTAGTGAGTTCTCTGCAGATGGTGTGACCTCTGAGGTTTTGCAAAACAGTGATCTCTGTACTCAAGGAGACCCCTAACAACCTTATTAGCAAGGCATTTTCCTAGATGAAACAACTGAGGACCCACGTAAGACTAGATAATGAAATGGGCGGCACGAGTAGTGTGGTGAATGCAGTGTGGCAAAGTCGGTCACAAGACATTGGCCTGGGCTAGGTGATCATTTGCCAAACATTGTCTTTTTTCTCCAAACACTTATAGAAGGGATATTCATCTAGCGCCTTCCAGCTTAAAAGCACTTGTACGACCCGGTGCGGTGGCTCACTCCTGTAATCCCAGCACTTTGGGAGGCAAGTCCTGAGGTCAGGAGTTTGAGACCAGCCTGGCCAACATGGCGAAACCACGTCTGTACTAAAAATACAAAAAATTAGCCAGATGTGGTGGTGGGTGTCTGTAATTCCAGCTACTTGGGAGGCTGAGGCAGGAGAATTGCTTGAACCCAGGAGGCAGTGGTTGCAGTGAGGCGAGATCACGCCACTGCACTCCAGCCTGGGCAACAGAGTGAGACTCCATCTCAAAAAAGAAAAAAAAAAAAAAAAGCACTTGTACATCTACATCTTTCAAACCTTCCAACAACCCTGTGAGGTCCGCTTCCACATCATTCCATTTTATGGACAAGAGAACGAAGGCACTGAGGTACTGAGGTGACCAGGGAAATTGTCTTAGTGATCACAGAGCCACGAAGAAGCGCTGAGGCAGGCTGATGCCTCAGCTTGTACTCGCTCCCCTGCACCGCCCTTTGGGCTAGACTTAGCTAACCTGGCCTTCCGTATAATCCGGCCTGTTTTGTTTTTGTTTTTTGTTTTCTAACTTTTCATTTGTTTTACTATTATCTGCCACAGACTGTATGGCAAAGATCACTAGTTGCCTGCTCAATATGGATTCTCCCCTTCCTCCTTCCAGCGCTGGAAGTGGCAATGAGCCAGGATAAATGTACATGCTTCCCAGACTCCTTGCAGGAAGGGATGGCCAAAGCCACACAATCAGAAGTTGTTGGGTGGAGATTCTGGGAAAACTCTTTAAAAGGAGCCGACACAACAGTGAGGTACTCTTACCCACCTCACCTCTTCCTCCCTCTCGATGCCTGAAACTTAGACCTGGTGGCTGGGATGGGAACTCCATGCAGGCTGCAGACAAGGCGGGGATCTAAAGGGAGAAATTCACACTAAGGATGGCGGAGCAGAAAGATGGGAAAATCCTGGATCTTTGATGGCCAAAGCTTCTATACCAGCCCAAGATTTCTTTTACACAAAAACAAACACACAACCCCAGTCTTTTGAAGCCACTGTTATATGGGGTTTAGGTTATATGCAACTGAGCCACATACTAACTGATTGACTCTTCAAGAACAGGTTAATTAAGGCCTGGTGCAGTAGCTCACATCTGTAATCCCAGCATTTTGTGAGGCCAAGGCAGAGAATCACTTGCACCCAGACTCTGTCTCCAACAAAAATTTAAAATCAAATTAGCCAGGCGTGGTGGCACAGCCTGTAGTCCCAGCTGCCTGGGAGGCTTAGGTGGGAGGATCATTTGAGGCTGGAAGGTCCAGGCTGCAAGTGAGCCATGATTGCATCACTGTACTCCAGCCTGGGTGGCAAAGTAAGATCCCTGTCTAGAAAAGAAAAAGAAAAGAAAAGAAACAAGAACAGGTTAATTCATCCCCTCATCCATTCAACAGATTCACTGAGTGTCAAGGATTGTTCTAGGCTCTATGGAAATAAACAAATGAGGAGCTCCAACTTAAAAGGTTCTGTGTTTTCTACTTCTTCACCCTCACTCTACACCTAACCACTCGGGATCCAGGGCTGATGAGTGGCAGGCTTTATTCCACAACAGTTTGCCCACTCTTGGGTAAGATCAATGGCCTTCACTTTTGTACTCTCCCCAGCAAGCTCACCATCTCCACAGATGGGGTGACTTGTGCTCCTGAAGCAGAGAGGTCACCTTTTGTGCTGTCTCCCCCTATCAGAGCCACTTCTGGCCCATGTGTCTTTGTGTGAAGAGCAACCTCACATGACCTTGGAATGTCTTTTAAGAGTGAGCCCCCAAAGGACTACTTCAGTCTGGCACTTATTCAGAAAGTTTGCTACATCTTGAAAATGTGTCCATTCATTCCAACCTATTCAATGTATTACCAAATTTTGCAGCAGTAGAAATTTAAAGATCATGTAGCTATATAGAATAGATTACTCTGTGTGTGTTTGTCTGTCTCATTTTCAATGAGGAGTGTGATGGTTAATTTTATATATCAATTTAACTGCCCATAAAGTGCCCAGATTAAACATTATTTCAGGGTATGTCTGTGAGGGTGTTTCCAGATGAGGTTATCACTTGATTGCTGGACTCGCTAAAATAGATCCCCTTCCCCAGTGAAACTGTGAATCATCCAGTCCATCAGGGGCCTGAATAGAACAAACGTGAGAGAAGGAGGGGCTTGCTCCTTTTTTTTTTTGATTCCTACCTGCCTGCTTGAGCTGGAACATCTCATCTCATTGTCTCCAGCCCTTAGATTAGGATTTATACCATTAGCTCCTATGGTTCTCACCTTTTGGACTAAGTTACACAACTACCTTTCCTGGGTCTCCAGCTTGCAAACAGTAGATTGTAGGACTTCCCAGTCTTTGTAATTATGTGAGCCAATTCCATGTATATATTTCCTACTGGTTCCACCCTAATGCAAGGAGATAGGGAAATCACATAAATCTCTGGGCTCACTCTTCCTGCCATGTCTTGCTGCCTCTTGTAAGACATAATTACTCTGTCTTCTCCTTTCAATCTATCCCCCTCCACCCAGAACCTCTGAATACAGGAAACACTCAAGTAAATGTCGATTCCATAAAAGAGACCATCTACTAAACTAGCACAGTGGGGTTAACTCCAGGAAGGACCAGATAGATCTGGGCTCAAAACTGGCTTTATGTTCTACGTAAAACTTGATGATTATATTTATTCCAAAGGAGTTTTCATGTTTAATGATATGGCAATGCCTGGCACATCATTGGTCCTAAATAAATGGGAGCAATTATTGTGCACTCACCCGTCCATCCACCCAACAAACATTTCCAAAATAACCATAAATTCAGAGCAGTCTAGTGTCAGTGATAGAAAAGAAGTAGACAACATGGTCTTTCATTTTAGAGAACTTAGTTTTGCCAACCAAAATAGAAGTTAGGGGAAATTTTACCAGGTGAGAAGGTAAAATAGATTTTCCATCAAAGGGTTCCAATGGCCACGGCTCTCTGTAATCGGAAAGTTGATTCCCTGATGAATCCTCCAGTGTGATTTATTTTATTTTATTATTTTTGAGGCAGGGTATCAGTCCATCTCCTGGTCTCAAGCGATCTTCCCACCTCGGCCCCCAAGTAGCTGGGACTACAGGCGCAAGCCAACACACCCAGCTAATTTTTGTATTTTCAGTAGAGACGGGGTTTCACCATATTGGCCAGGCTGGTCTCGAACTCCTGACCTCAAGCAATTGACTTGCCTTGGCCTCCCAAAGTGCTAGGATTACAGGCGTGAGCCACCACACCCAGTCAGTGTGATTTATTTTAGTAAGAAACCACATCACACCTCAGGCCCTGTGCATATATGCCATTCCTTCACACAGCCCAACTTGAGAGATGAGCAGAAGAGAGCTGCCCTTTCAGTGAAGGACTGAAGGATGCATTCTTCACTTTCCATCCTGCTGGTACCCCTGCTACAGAAGCTGACAAGCAGAAGCATTCAGGGAAGGACTCCGTCCCCTGCTCTACTGTGCAGGGGATGATGCTATTTTCACATCAACAGGCCATATGGGTGTAGGATGCAGCTGCTTGCACCATTGTTTCAAGGCTGTCTAAAAGAGTCAAGGAGAAGGAATCCCAACTATGGAGTTCAGAAAAGGGAGGAAGATCAACTTGTTAATCTGTGGTTTAGAGACTCATTTTTAGCATGAATTACAGAGTTTAGGGTGAAATGGTTAAGACAGACATATTACCTGTGCTCCATTAAGAAAGGGAGCTGAGAAATTCTGGAAAAACTTTAAAAGGTGGGTTATTCAAAAATGTATTTTCTATGTGTGTTTTATAAACAAAAAGCTTGCCTACTTGTGTACATTTTGCTGTTATTACAGTCAGCTTTTATTTCCCCAATATAAAATAACAGAATAGTGTTAGGTTATAGGAGAGTATTTGGGTACTGGGATTCTTCCATTCATCCCTTTTTCCATTTGAGGAAGAGTCTACATATAAAAAACAATGGCCAAGGGGAATAAGGTACCACATTATTAATAAAATCTAGATCAACAGACAACAACACAACCCTTCCGCCCCAGTGAAGAAGGTTTCTCTGAGAAGCTGAGTTGCAGCCTGACTCAGGCTGGAAATCAAATTGGAGCCTACTCCCCCATCCCAGTAGAATCACAGGATGTACAGCACAGGCTTCACTTCAGAGCTTTTGGATTAAAACTGATTAGCTCACTGATGAGCCAAACTCTTAGGCAAGTCATTTGACATCTTTATTCTCCATTTCCTCTTTTATCAAATCATTTATACTACCTACATAAGACCCGAAATGGCCTCTCAACCCTGAGGTTTTATTATTTGTTGCTCTGGAGAGCAGGAATCATGCCTGTCTTATTCCACATTATATTCCCAGGACAAATATAGGACTGGATACAGAGGAAGTACTCAATAAGTATTTCTTGAATAAATGTTGCTATTGGATCTATGCATCCAGTGCCCTAATTGACCAGGGAGTTTTGAATCTTGCCAAGTAGAGCTTGAGACCTCACTTTCCTCTTTAATTTCTCCAGAAACTACTAAATCCTCAGGATTCTCTTTTTCTCCTACTTGAACTTGATGCTATATCCTGAAGACTACAGACATAAAAGATTCCAATAGAAGGCTCAGCATCTATTCACATAGAATCGGAATTTTACATCCTCTAGCTCTGGCATCATAATCTCTTTGTCTTTATTTTTTTTATTTTTTTTATTTTTTGAGACTGAGTCTTGCTCTGTTGCCCAGGCTCTGGAGTGCAGTGGTGTGATCTCAGCTCACTGCAAGCTCCGCCTCCTGGGTTCATGCTGTTCTCCTGACTGGCATCATAATCTCTATAATATTCTTGTGCTGCAATTTAATACTAAGGAAAACCATCTTGCCCATCTAACACATTCCCATTCTGAGTTGAAATGAAGAAAGTATTCACCACCCAACACTAAATACCTCCAAAGCTCCTTTCATCTCTTTCTCTTCCTCCCTCCCCATCACAGAAACCGGCAAACCAGTCCCACCACTGAGCTTTTAGCAGACTGTAGACCATCCACTTCTCCGCAGAGTCAACACCTCCTTGTTTGCAAGTCAGGTTCCTTTTGCCCTAAACGTGCTTAATGTGACAAACATGTTTGCGACCCATCTTCTGTTTATGTGCCTATGTTATGCTGTCTCATGTCTACTTCTGTTCTCTACTTTCGTTGATGGGATGTGTTGATAGCTATTCCCCCAATCTTGTGAGCAGCAAAACACTGAATAGTAAAAACCTGGTGAGCCAGAGATAACGAGGTGACGGGAATGAATCCTCCTGGGAGCTCCATTAATGTGAAAGATGACTCAAAGCACTTGATTGTAATGATAAGAGAGGGAGACACACAGCTGGCGGTGCAGCAACAACCCCCTGGTGCCACTGGTCTTCCGAGTAAGTCTGTATTAAAACTGCTCACAGGGACAAAGGGGGAAGAAGATCCTGCTCGGCTTCTATCTGAATTCAGATTTGTCTTTATAGTTGGAACTAAGACCTAAGAGAAGTGACAGAGGTCTGGAACACTCAGCTTCTATCTGAATTCAGATTTGTCTTTACAGTTGGAACTAAGACCTAAGAGAAGTGACAGAGGTCTGGAACACTCCCACACACGGACTTAGTCATTGTCACAGCAGAACTGTAACAGATGCCATCACTCATACAGAACAAAGCAATAAAAGGACACATACCAAATGTTAACAGCCATTATCTCTGGGATTACCTGGAAATCTTATTTCCTTCTGGCTGCTTTTAGTTTCCAAAAATGTCTACAATGGATACAAATTGTCAGGCCTCCGAGCTCAAGCTAAGCCATCGCATCCCCAATGACTTGCACATATACACCCAGATGGCCTGAAGTAACTGAAGAATCACAAAAGAAGTGAAAATGCCCTGCCCCGCCTTAACTGATGACATTCCACCACAAAAGAAGTGAAAATGGCCAGTCCTTGCCTTAACTGATGACATTACCTTGTAAAAGTCCTTTTCCTGGCTCATCCTGGCTCAAAAAGCTCCCCCACTGAGCACCTTGCCACCCCCACTCCTGCCCACCAGAGAACAACCCCCCTTTGACTGTAATTTTCCTTTATCTACCCAAATCCTATAAAACGGCCCCACCCTTATCTCCCTTCACTGACTCTCTTTTTGCACTCAGCCCAACTGCACCCAGGTGAAATAAACAGCCTTGTTGCTCACACAAAGCCTGTTTGGTGGTCTCTTCACACAGACGTGAGTGAAATTTGGTGCTGTGACTCGGATCGGGGGACCTCCCTTGGGAGATCAATCCCCTGTCCTCCTGCTCTTTGCTCCATGAAAAAGATCCACCTACAAACTCGGGTCCTCAGACCCACCAGTCCAACGAACACCTCACCAATTTTAAATCAGGTAAGCGGCCTCTTCTTACTCTCTTCTCCAACCTCTCTCACTATCCCTCAACCACTTTCTCCTTTCCACTCTTCAATCTCTCCCTTCTCTTAATTTCAATTCCTTTCATTTTCTGGTAGAGACAAAGGGGACATCTTTTATCCGTGGACCCAAAACTCCGGCGCCGGTCACGGACTGGGAAGGCAGCCTTCCCTTGGTGTTTAATCATTGCAGGGACACCTCTCTGATTTTTATTCACCCACGTTTCAGAGGTGTCAGACCAGGCAGGGACGCCTGCCTTGGTCCTTCACCCTTAGCGGCAAGTCCCGCTTTTCTGGGGGAGGGGCAAGTACCCCAACCTCGTATCTCTGTGCCCCAATCCCTTATTTCCATGCCCCGACCTCTCTCTGTGGCCCAACCTCTTATCTCTGTGCCCCAACCCCTCATTTCCACGCCCCAACCCCTTTCCCGCTTTCCTGGAAGGTAAGAACCCCTGAACCCTTTCCCTCCGTGTCTCTATTCTCTCTTTTCTCTGGGCTTGCCTCCTTCACTATAGGCAACCTTCCACCCTCCATTCCTCCTTCTCCCTTAGCCTGTGTTCTCAAGAACTTAAAACCTCTTCAACTCACACCTGGCCTTAAAACCTTATCTTCTTCTGCAATGCCGCTTGACCCCAATATAAACTCAACAGTGGTTCCAAATAGCCAGAAAATGGCACTTTCAATTTTTCCATCCTACAAGATCTAAATAATTCTTGTCGTAAAATGGGCAAATGGTCTGAGGTGCCTGACGTCCAGGCATTCTTTTATACATTGTTCCCTCCATAGTCTCTGTTCCCAATGCAACTCGTCCCAGATCCTCCTCCTTTCCCTCCCACCTGTCCCCTCAGTCCCAACCCCAAGCGTCACTGAGTCTTCCTAATCTTCCTTTTCTACAGACCCATCTGACCTCTCCCCTCCTCGCCAGGCCGAGCCAGGTCCCAATTCTTCCTCAGTCTCTGCTCAGTCTCTGCTCCCCCACCCTATAATCCTTTTATCACCTCCCCTCCTCACACCCGGTCCAGCTTACAGTTTCGTTCTGCGACTAGCCTTCCCCCACCTGCCCAGCAATTTCCTCCTAAAAAGGTGGCTGGATCTAAAGGCATAGTCAAGGTTAATGCTCCTTTTTCTTTATCTGACCTTTCCCAAATCAGTTAGCGTTTAGGCTCTTTTTCATCAAATATGAAAAACCCAGCCCAGTTCATGGCTCGTTCGGCAGCAACCCTGAGACGCTTTACAGCCCTAGACCCTGAAAGGTCAGAAGGCCGTCTTATTCTCAATATACATTTTATTTTATTACCCAATCTGCTCCCAACATGAAAGAAAGCTCCAAAAATTAAATTCTGGCCCTCAAACCCCACAACAGGACTTAATTAACTTCACCTTCAAGGTGTACAATAAGAGCAGAGGCAGCCAAGTAACAATGTATTTCTGAATTGCAATTCCTTGCCTCCACTGTGAGACAAACCCCAGCCACATCTCCAGCACACAAGAACTCCAAACGCCTGAACCGCAGCTGCCAGGGGTCCCTCCAGAACCTCCTCCCCCAGGAGCTTGCTACAAGTGCCAGAAATCTGGCCACTGGGCCAAGGAATGCCCACAGCCCGGGATTCCTCCTAAGCCGTGTCCCATCTGTGTGGGACCCCACTGAAAATCGGACTGTTCAACTCACCTGACAGCCACTTCCAGGGCCCCTGGAACTTTGGCCCAAGGCTCTCTGACTGACTCCTTCCCACATCTTCTCGGCTTAGCAGCTGAAGACTGACACCGCCTGATCACCTCAGAAGCCTACAGGACCATCACAGATGCTCTAAATAACTCTCACAGTGGAGCGTAAGTCCGTCCCCTTCTTAGTCAATATGGAGGTTACCCACTGCACATTATCTTCTTTTCAAGGGCCTGTTTCCCTTGCCTCCATAACTGTTGTGGGTATTGACGGCCAGGCTTCTAAACCTCTTAAAACTCTGCAACTCTGGTGCCAACTTAGAAAACATTCTTTTATGCGCTCTTTTTTAGTTATCCCCACCTGCCCAGTTCCCTTATTAGGCCAAGACATTTTAACTAAATTATCTGCTTCCCTGACTATTCCTGGATTACAGCTGCATCTCATTGCCGCCCTTCTCCCCATCCCAAAGCCTCCTTTGCGTCTTCCTCTCGTATCCCCCCACCTTAATCCACAAGTATGGGACATCTCTACTCCTTCCCTGGCAACCGATCACATGCCCATTACCATCCCATTAAAACCTAATCACCCTTACCCCGCTCAACGCCAATATCCCATCCCACAGCACGCTTTAAAAGGATTAAAGCCTGTTATCACTCGCCTGCTACAGCATGGGCTTCTAAAAGCTATAAACTCCCCTTACAATTTCCCCATTTCACCTGTCCTAAAACCAGACAAAGCTTACAGGTTAGTTCAAGATCTGTGCCTTATCAACCAAACTGTTTTGCCTATCCACCCCGTGGTGCCAAATCCATATACTCTCCTATCCTCAATACCTCCCTCCACAACCCATTATTCTGTTCTGGATCTCAAACATGCTTTCTTTACTATTCCTTTGCACCCTTCATCCCAGCCTCTCTTCGCTTTCACTTGGACTGACCCTGACACCCATCAGGCTCAGCAAATTACCTGGGCTGTACTGCCACAAAGCATCACAGACAGCCCCCATTACTTCAATCAAGCCCAAATTTCTTCCTCATCTGTTACCTATCTCGGCATAATTCTCATAAAAACACATGTGCTCTCCCTGCTGACCGTGTCCGGCTAATCTCCCAAACCCCAATCCCTTCTACAAAACAACAACTCCTTTCCTTCCTAGGCATGGTTAGCGTGGTCAGAATTCTTACACAAGAGCCAGGACTGCACCCTGTAGCCTTTCTGCCCAAACAACTTGACCTTACTGTTTTAGCCTAGCCCTCATGTCTGCGTGCAGCGGCTACCACTGCTTTAATACGTTTAGAGGCCCTAAAAATCACAAACTATGCTCAACTCACTCTCTACAGTTCTCATAACTTCCAAAATCTATTTTCTTCCTCACACCTGACGCATATACTTTCTGCTCCCCAGCTCCTTCAGCTATACTCACTCTTTGTTGAGTCTCCCACAATTACCATTGTTCCTGGCCCGGACTTCAATCCGGCCTCCCACATTATTCCGGATACCACACCTGACCCTCATGACTGCATCTCTCTGATCCACCTGACTTTCACCCCATTTCCCCACATTTCCTTCTTCCCTGTTTCTCATCCTGATCACACTTGGTTTACTGATGGCAGTTCCACCAGGCCTAATTGCCACTCACCAGCAAAGGCAGGATATGCAATAGTATCTTCCACATCTGTTATTGACGCTACCGCTCTGCCCCCCTCCACTACCTCTCAGCAAGCCGAACCAGCTGCCTTAACTCAGGCCCTCACTCTTGCAAAAAGGCTAGGCATCAATATTTATACTGACTCTAAATATGCCTTTCATATCCTGCACCACCATGCTGTTATATAGGCTGAAGGAGTTTTCCTCACTACACAAGGGTCCTCCATCATTAATGCCTCTTTAATAAAAACTCTGCTCAAGGCCGCTTTACTTCCAAAGGAAGCTGGAGTCATTCACTGCAAAGGCCATCAAAAGGCGTCAGATCCCTTTGCTCTAGGCAACGCTTATGCTGATAAGGTGGCTAGACAAGCAGCTAGCTTTCCACCTTCTGTCCCTCATGGCCAGTTTTTCTCCTTCACGTCAGTCACTCCCACCTACTCCCCCGCTGAAACTTCCACCTATCAATCTCTTCCCACACAAGGCAAATGGTTCTTAGACCAAGGAAAATATCTCCTTCCAGCCTCACAGGCCCATTCTATTCTGTCGTCATTTCATAACCTCTTCCATGTAGGTTACAAGCTGCTAGCCCGTCTCTTAGAACCTCTCATTTCCTTTCCATCACGGAAATCTATCCTCAAGGAAATCACTTCTCAGTGTTCCATTTGCCATTCTACTACCCCTTAGGGATTGTTCAGGCCCCCTCCCTTTCCTACACATAAAGCTTCAGGATTTGCCACCACCCAGGACTGGCAAATTGACTTCACTCACATGCCCGAGTCAGGAAACTAAAATACCTCCTAGTCTAGGTAGACACTTTCATTGGATAGGTTAGAGGCCTTTCCCACAGGGTCTGAGAAGGCCACCACGGTCATTTCTCCCCTTCTGTCAGACATACTTCCTCAGTTTGGCCTTCCCACCTCTATACAGTCCTATAGCAGATCGGCCTTTATTAGTCAAATCAGCCAAGCATTTTTTTCAGGCTCTTAGTATTCAGTGAAAACTTTATATCCCTTACAGTCCTCAGTCTTCAGGAAAAGTAGAACAGACTAATAGTCTTTTAAAAACACACCTCACCAAGCTCAGCTACCAACTTAAAAAGGACTGGACAATACTTTTACCACTTTCCCTTCTCAGAATTCAGGCCTGTCCTCAGAATGCTACAGGGTACAGCCCATTTGAGCTCCTGTATAGACGCTCCTTTTGATTAGGGCCCAGTCTCATTCCAGACATCAGACCAACTTGGACTGTGCTCCAAAAAACTTGTCATCCCTACTGTCTTCTCTCTAGTCATACTCCTATTCACCATTCTCAACTACTCATACATGCCCTGCTCTTGTTTACACTGCCGGTTTACACTGTTTCTCCAAGCCATCACAGCTGATATCTCCTGGTGCTATCCCCAAACTGCCACTCTTAACTCTTAAAGTAAATAAATAATCTTTGCTGACAGGACTATGCTGAATCTCCTTAGGCACTCTCTAATTAGATGTCCTAGGTCCTCCCAATTCTTAGACCTTTAATACCTGTTTTTCTCCTCTTATTCCGTTTAGTTTTTCAATTCATACAAAACCGTATCCAGGCCATCACCAATAATTCTACACGACAACTGTTTCTTCTAACAACCCCACAATATCACCCCTTACCACAAAATCTTCCTTCAGCTTAATCTCTCCCACTCTAGGTTCCCACGCCGCCCCTAATCCCGCTTGAAGCAGCCCTGAGAAACATCGCCCATTCTCTCTCTCCATACCACCCCCAAAAAATTTTCGCCACCCCAACACTTCAACACTATTTTGTTTTATTTTTCTTATTAATATAAGAAGGCAGGGATGTCAGGCCTCTGAGCCCAAGCTAAGCCATCGCATCCTGGATGACTTGCACATATACGCCCAGATGGCCTGAAGTAACTGAAGAATCACAAAAGAAGTGAAAATGCCCTGCCCCGCCTTAACTGATGACATTCCACCACAAAAGAAGTGAAAATGGCCAGTCCTTGCCTTAACTGATGACATTACCTTGTAAAAGTCCTTTTCCTGGCTCATCCTGGCTCAAAAAGCTCCCCCACTGAGCACCTTGCGACCCCCACTCCTGCCCACCAGAGAACAACCCCCCTTTGACTGTAATTTTCCTTTATCTACCCAAATCCTATAAAACGGCCCCACCCTTATCTCCCTTCGCTGACTCTCTTTTCGGACTCAGCCCCCCTGCACCCAGGTGAAATAAACAGCCTTGTTGCTCACACAAAGCCTGTTTGGTGGTCTCTTCACACGGACGCGCATGAAACAAATTCCTTCTATAATCCATCCCCTAACAGAACATTACTGTATTGAAAAAGGTAAACTGGCTGGTTAAAATAAATTCCTAATGTATACACCCAAAACTGTGCTATCAAAAGGGTTGTTTGGAGGGGCTGTGCAGTGAAGTAATTGAAAGCAGTCTGGAGCCAGGTTACCTGGGTTCATATCTCAGCTCTGACACTTAGAAGCTGTTGTGACCTTGGGGAAATTTCTTAACCTTTTCGTGCTTCAATTTCTTTATAATATGAGAATAATAATACCTTCCTTAAAAGGTTGTTGTGAAGATTAAATGAGTTAACATACAAGAAGCCCTCAGAACGGTGTCTGGCAAGTAGCAATTACTTACTACTTATTACGAAATACTATTACTTATTGCTACAGTGTTGCCATTGCTCAAGATATTTTCGGACCACCTTTTGGGAGTCTTGTCATGAGTCTTAAACGCATTCTTTTGAATCACCTCAATGAGAACAAAACTTCTCCTTTGAAAATGTGCTAATTCTTAGGAGCAGTCAAGCAGTTTGGGGTCCAAAATAAGGTGTATTTGTGAAACCAACAGGTTGTTCTCATGTTGTTCATCTGCTGTCTATGAAGAATTCCATCAAACATAGCTGCACACACACACCCAGACAGTTCAGCACCATCCAGGGCTTGATCAATCCCTGGGTAACTAATAAGTTCTGCCTCTGCTAGAGGGAGGTTGAAAAGCAAGTTTTAATTATGAAACCTCTTTGTCTGATAGATCTTGAAGGCTTTACAGATTAGCATATAACCAAAGGGCAAATCTCATAAAAGGCTGATTTATATTTAAATCCTAGTCTTTTTTCTTCCTCAAAGTTTGCTGATGCTGAGTTTTAAGTATGAAATGTCATTGTTTTCAAACAAATATTCCCAAACATTACCAATCGTCATTTTGGCATTAAATAGGGTTGCAACATTACAACTGTAACATTAGCATTTTAAAAAGCATAACATCATTGTTCTGTAAATTGTTGCAGGCTCAAATTACCCCGCACATGATCTCTTAAAATTAATGGGCCACAAGCATCAAAGCCAGTTGGGGCTGGATGAAAAGCATGGGAGCCACCTCCTTTTGCTGGGATTTTTGATGGTCTCATACTAGCCCAATTATCACCCTAATAGAACATGTGATGATGTACCTCACTGCATATGTAAATAAAGGTGAATAAGATATTCACTGAACCTTCCTATCCAAAGATGCAAAGAATTTTGATAAAATGTAACTGGGTTGCTGCAAAACAAAAGAATCCTCCACGTTCCTAATTATTGAACTCTTTGCAAAAACATTTTCCAATAAAAAAGGCTGCATTGATCTACCATCCGTAAGTAATACTGTGTTCCATATAAATGGCTGTGCAAAGAAATCTAAGTATACTTCTTTATGTCTCCAAACGTTGTTTTTAATCTTTCTAGTGGGAATCCTTGAAATATCACTATTACAGATTCTTAATATTGTACTGACAGGGCTAAATAGCATGACAACTAAGAGCAGGAGTTTAAGGATGCAATAAATCTAGGTTATTTTGACTCTTCCACTTTAATTCATGTGAGACCTTGGAGAAGTTACTCTTCTTTTAAAGCAACATCTTGTTTCTTTTAAAGGAAAGATTAATACCTAAATCCTAAATCACAGAAGCACTTTTAGAATTAAAATATGTATATATATATTTATTTATATTCATAGATTATATAAATATATAAAAATATATTTAATACATTTAATATTTTAATTCTAAAAGCGCTTCTGTGATTTAGGTATTAATCTTTCCTTTAAAAGAAAAAAGATGTTTTTATATCTATAACAAGATATATAATCTTTCCTATAAAAGAAAAAAGATGTTGTTTTTTATATATATATAGAGAGAGAGAGAGAGTTTAGCATAGTTACTACCAAAGAACAGGGGTTCAACGGAAGGGAATGATAATTATTCTAATTGGATGGGCTACTTACTGTGTAGGACTCTGGTTTTATGCCAAATATTCCCAATAAGTATATTTGCTGGAGTTCCTTTATCTCTCACATAGGTTTTCCAGCAGTCTAACTCTAACTCGTGGCTTCTCTTCTATTGTCCTCGGAGTAGCTGCCCTTAGCAGCCCCAACCCATGTTCAATTTGCTATGGGCTGGGGAACCCAATAATCATAGCTGACGGATGTAGTCAGAATCTGGCTCTTAGCCAGGAAGATTCGATTCAAACTCAGTCCAAATGCATTAATTTTGCTATAGAATGTTTTCGTGAGTGGGAGAGTTTACTCAACAACAGGACATGTAGAGATGAGTCAGAGTGACCGATGTGGGAGTGCCCAAGCCCTGTCCAGGGGAACCACAGTGCATGGACTTAAAGTATTAGATCCTATTGGCAAGATCTTTTTAACTAGAAATGGATCCAGGGTGTTGCAATCTGACGGCTTCAAATACTAAGTTTATATGGAGTAGATTATTCCTGTTGTGGAGTGTCAAGTCTTTGTTCATTCATTCAGTATTTATTGGGCAACCACTATGCTAACCCAGATCCCTCCTACTTTTAAAACTCTTTGCCCCTGCTCTCCAAGCAACCTTCTGGTGGTGACTGGCTCCTGGGGTAGATCTCCCTACAGGGAGAGAATGCACTGGTCATGCAGACATTGTAAGGGACAGGACACTTTCCCAGGGTGAATTAACAAATGGACATTATGACGTTGCATATCAACATCCTGAGTTTGGTTAAGGTGTGTTTGGCCATGAGAGATGAATTCACTATCATGTGTTGACAAAAATTATCTAAGCCTGAAAACCTAAGGATGAGGCCATGACCAAGGAGGCTCACCCAGGTGGTAGGTCTCCCCTTGGGATTTCGCTTGGTGCAATGTGTTGGACTAATGTGTTCTTTGTGATACTGAATGGTGACATGAGGCGCTGTGGCGTCGTGATTCAGAAGAGGATCTGGGATCAGAAACACCTGGGATGGGAGGCTGGTTTTGCCTTTTATGCTCTGGTTTCTCCTAAATTACTTCACTTTTCTATGCCTCCTTTTCTTCATTCACAAAACCAGATGATAATACTTCAGGGTTTGGCTCTGGCTCAGTGTCTAAACAAAAGCAGCATACCAGAAGACCTGTTAAATTCTTAAAAACCTGCCTCCCTCCCCCACCCAGTTCCACAGCCTCCAATCCTGACTTACAGGCCCATGGCCATTCAGCTGCCCATAATAGGTACACGCAGCACTCCTCACAAGACTGTCTATGGAAACCCATAGAAGTGCTCTTAGACACACAGCTCATCTATACTGCTGTGCTTCCGTCTCTTAGATTTGAAAATTGCCTTCTTAGCAAACTGTCTCTTAGCAAATGTAGTTACAAATTTAAGGGAGCCACTTTAGTCATTGTCCCTACGGAATAATTCTGTTTACTTCAAAACAGCCAGCACATCTTCCCCCTCCTCAACCAACACAAAGACATCGTGTTCTTCAAGGATCCACCATCTGAGACCAGCTTGTTAATAACAAAATTATTCCAGGCCTTGGTGTTCTCTCATCTATGAAATAAACATCCGTTTAAAACAGACCAATCAAATGGGGTTTGGAGACTGCGTCAGCCATCTTTATTGCGCTCTAAAGAACAGCTCGAGACACACAGAGACAGTGGATTTTCAAAGAGGTGTTTTCTTGACCCAGTTAAATTTTTATTCAGTGAAAAAAGTTGACATTGAGACAAAAATTATCTTAAAGTTGTGCAACAATACAGTAAAACCTTCAGCAGATTTCAGTGACTTGGAAACTTATCGAGGCAATTGAAATTATAAATACTTAATTTCGCTTTGGAGAGAAACAAGTATACAGTGTTTCACTTTAAATAAGAGTAGAATAGGCCTTTATTTTGCCGCAAATACTTTTGATTTTGCCTAAAGTTTCTAATAGTTCATAACAAGAGTCTTTAAATGAGAAGTGACATAGAATATTTGAGGATAATGGTCCACTCCAGCATTCATGCTTATTCCATTTGAGCTATTACACATGAAACTCATACCATTCTTGGGTTATTACTTGGCTGTGACGATTTAATTCATAATATGGCTGCTCAAAATTAGTGGGCAGAAACATACATACAACCCATCCTCCCTCAACCCATTTTCGGTGCTGGTACTCCATCTGAAAACACACTTACTGTCCATGTACCCAGCAGTACATATCTCTTCCTATCTATTCCATATCTCAGTCTTGCATAGAAAGTAGTCTATATAAACTTAATGCACTGGCTTTTATTACACAAAAATTGTACCTGAAAGGCAGCACACACTCCAGTTAAGAAAAATAACACAACAGGAATGTCAAGATACAATCCCAACACAAGATTCTGCACAGAGTTTTAGAGTCAATTCCTAAAATCAATATGGGATGATATTCAGTTTAGTTATGTCTCTGGATGCCTTCTCTAAGGGACTCATCCAACTGTCTGCAGAAGGAAGAAAATTTTCAGGAATTCCCCATGACTCCCTTCATGAAGAAGGGACTGACCAAACCTGATAGGATGGTGTTTCTGCCCTAAGGAAGTGTACTGGAAATATAATCTTACTAGATGCAGTGACCACTTGGTAAGCATCTGAAGGCAGCATTCGCCAAGAAGGAGTAGGCGCTCATCTCTAAGGGGCTCACCATACTATTGCTCTCCCAAGCTTCCCCTGAAAATGGCCAGTTCTGAGAAGGGTTACATTCCCTAAATTGCTGAGTACAGCTTCATCTAGTGGGCCAAACATGATGGGCAGGAGAGAACAGGCAGCTGTGTGTCTTCTGTCTGTCCCACCCAAATATCCCTGGTGATGCTACCAAAGACAGAACCCCAGGAATTACTTGTCCAAAAGTCAGAGTTTCAACCAGTTACCCAGAATGATAACTATTTACCCAGCTTGTCAAGGTAGCCAGTAGTTCCTGGAGCTTCTCACCTGTCTGGAACTAGGACTGCACAGACATGGCCTCTTCCTGGAATCCTCTGTAGAACTCCACTCTCTAACATTTTATCCATGTGGACTCGTATCTCATAAAGCTCAAGGGGCATTCAATACATCCAGGAGTAAAATCGGTTTCCAGAGAAAACTCATAAGCAAACCCCCTGCCCACCAATTTTTAGAGGCCCATCGTGGTCCACATGGATGCAAGCATCTGACATTCTAATGTATGCCAGGAGAGAATAAAACCTTTTTCCTGCACAGTGTGAACTTCTGAGGTGGCATCTCCAACAAGGTACAAAAGCCCCTTCTTCACAAGCAAGCAGGGACTCCGATTGGTCACAGTGAAGACAGTTATGTGGTCACCTTCAGAGGCTGCCTGTAGTACAAGGCATTTGTTTTCATTTTCTATTGGCACTCCAACCTCTGGATTCTTTCAGACAGCATATATACATGAAATCCCCACAAAGCTACACAGAGGGAAACAGGAGTGTGTGCTTCAAAAGTTCATAAAAATATACAATTTACATATAGCTGCAGCTATCTAGCTTAGTCTTCAGGAACTTAGCTCTTCTGTTTATATAAAATACTCTAGCCCTAAAAGGCTGCTTTTTTTCAAACAGCACAGTGGCATTTTCCAAGGAGAGGGGTGATGGCCAGTCTACAGTACTGTGCACTAAGCATTGGGAGGCACTGGTAGCTAGAACCGGATGCTCGGAAATATCTCAAGCTGCCAACTGGAGACATATGCTCTGTAAAAAGGCTTGCCTATGGAATAACTGAAAATAACATCTCAGAGCCTTTTATATCAGCTTTTACAAATGCCACCAAAAAGTTGGCAGAAAAAGAAAAGAAAATACACTTCCTAGTGGTTCAATTAAATGACTTGCCTCCCACCAGGTTGTTAATGATTCAACTATTTAAAGAGCTTATTAAAGGGGAGGTGGTAGGGCTTAGAGTTTTGAACAAATCTCTACGGTAAGACAAGATAAAGCCAAAAAAAATTCCAGTCTTTAAAAAAAAAAACTTAGGAAAGTGACAGGAAAGAAGAGAAAATACGCTAGAAGAAGGCTTATCATTACCACCAGTTGTTAACATGAAATACAGTCCTACCCGTATGGCAAACTAAAGGTCGACAGCTTAAAATACTCATCTAAGTATACATATAAATAAAAATTTCAAAAACTAAAAAATTTAATTGGCTCTTTCTTTGTTTTCTAAACAATCCCTAAGTAGAATGAAACTATATTATCACCCAAGAATGATACTTGTGGTTAAAAGAAACTAAACACTTGTGAGAAGGTGATGCCTCGCACCTAAGCGGGGATGGGGTTTTACAAAGCTTGCACGTCAAGGACACATATTCAGAGACATGACTTTGGAATATTCCCAGACCTCACTGCTTCTTGGCTGAAAGGAAATTCTTCAGTGAGAATCATACAGCACAAGTCACAACGATGCTCGACATTGGTGCCCACAACACTAAGCCTAAATAAAGGGCTTGCATCAGCCCACGATGGATTCTACATAAGTATCAAGTGGCCATGGTTTGAATACACGGGTGGCATTTTAAAGGCAGAAGAAAAAAAGCACAGCTTGTTTTACAGAGAGAATAAATGAACAAACTCTAGTGCTCCTGCTGTTGTTAACTGGATTGAGTAGTCTCAACTTTTTAGATCTTCTCTATCTCTATGAGAATGTACAGCACTGTCTCTTTAGATTGGGTGGGGGCATGGGTGAGGGAGATGGAAGAAGAGGAGAAAAAAAAAGAGAAGGCACTGTCCAATTCAAAATGACTGCATATATCAGTATGGATTTTTAAGGACAATAAGTGGCCATCTCAAACCAAATACATAATTTTACATCTGAGATCCTTCAGTAGTAAGTAAAAACAAAAAATGGAAAATGGAAAAATTATGTACTCTATTAGCCAGTGTATGGATCATGGCACAGATCTAGAACTCTCCCCCACAACCAGGGTAAGTTTTTGCAATGACAATGAAACCAGTGTGTAATAAAGCAGTGTTATCATTTTGTAGCTCTCAAAGCTACATCTTGTACAGAGGCACATACAGTAAAATTCCATCAATTAATATAAGAGAGGAAGCTGTGGGCTTACAGGGCTTCCCAAGCTGCAGCTCTGTTGAACTGAACTCCAGCAATGACTCAGTGCTCTCTCCTGCCAAAGACCATTACATGACACACAAGTGAATAAAAATGGATTGCTTCCGGAATGGCAAAAAAATATGCTTCTCTTCCCACCCCCAACCCTATGGGTAAGGGGCTCATAACACATGTGGTGTCTAATGACCACTAAAGCCTGGCCTTACACAGAGTCCCAATAAATTAACAAAATAACATAAAGAAACCTTCCGCCATAATACATCCACACACTTTCCTATAAACTATATCCAAACAAAATGGAATATCTGTACACACTTTCAAGGAGAAGGGGTTCCACCCATCACTCTCTCGAGGTTTTTATTAAATACATTTCTGTGTCTTAGAAAAATAAAAAGATTGGCCAATTTACTGAACCGAAATTATCTCACAGACGTAAAAGCATGCCCAGCAAGCACAGCCCTGTAAGACTACATTAATGTCAAATCAAAGCAATTGGGTTACTAAAATCAACCTGGTTTGAAGTTCACAGTTGATTACTACAAAGTTTATTCATTCCTTTCTTTCCTTTTTTTTTTTTTTGTTTTTTGTTTTTGGCCCATATAAAAATAACATATTGCAACTCAAAGTGCATCTTTTAAAATAAACCATCAACTATCTTTATCAAATAAAATATTTACACCATTTGGTTTCTAGTGAGGAAAGCTCTTTCAGGCTATCACCATGGGGACGTCATCTGAAAATCCAGTTATCATAGGGGCATCTTCATCATCTTCCCCTAGAGACAAAACAGTCAGGCCTTGGTGAGTTCCAACACATTTTCACCTGACCCCATATCCCACCACTCTACCCACCCCTCAACCCTACCACAACCCTCTAGCTGAGAAGGTCAATGCCATAGCCAGGCAGCCACCATAATCAGCTGTGAAACCTAGCCCAGCTTCCCACTGTCCCTCCTGGCCACCTTCTACCCATCGATGGATCCTCACATTTATTTTAGTGGTCGTTTGAACGTAGCCAAATTAGGAAAACAAAGCTTCTCAGGAGAAGACTCTTATTACCTACTCAAAAGCTAAGTGGGTAGTTTGGGTTCCCCAGTTTGAGTTATCTATACCCTACACTAGCACAGTGAACTTCAGTGTCTGCTTTCTCTTCTGAACCCAAAGTGCTCTGAGGAAAAGGATCTGGGAGGAGTTTAAGCATTTTGAGGACAGCTTCCCAGACTAACAGCTGTCCCCTTGTGACGCCCGGTATAATCCTGTGTCACCAAGTGTGGACCGACACTCAGTGACTATCGCAGGGTATGCTGATGGGTCCACTCCTGTTGCCTCCAACGGCAGAAGCAAAGAAGCCGCCCCATTCACACAAGGCAGTCCAGGTGCCGGCTTATTAGGCAAGAAAGGAAACTGACAAGGAAAGGGAACAGAGCTAACATCATATGATCAGTGAAGGGGAATATACAAATGTCTTTATAAACATAGATATATAATTGTAACTAGTTAACGGAAAGAAATAAACTTGTACATTCACAGTGATTAGTCTAAGTTTGGGGAAGCCTCGTAACACACCCACTTTATTATATTACTATCTTACTATCTCTATTAGCATTTAGGGTTTTCATTGTGCAAAGATTTCAAAACGGGAAACTTCTTACTTTTTCCCTTGCTATGTGTTAAGACAGGGATCCCCAATGCCCGGGCCGAGGGCCATCAGTACCAGTACATGGCCTGTTAGGAATGGGGGGCCGCACAGCAGGCTGTGAGTGGTGAGTCAGAGCATTACAGCCTGAGCCTCGCCTCCTGTCAGATCAGGGCAGCATTAGATTCTCACAGGAGCACAAACCCTATCGTGAACTGAGCGTGCAAGGGATCCAGACTGAGCGCTCCCTATGAGAATCTAATGCCTGCTGATCTGAGGTGGAACAGTCTCATCCTGAAATCATCCCCCAACCCTTCCCCCTCCACCGCTGGTCCAGTGAAAAAAGAATTATCTTCCACAAAACTGGTCCCTGGTGCAAAAAAGGTTGGGGACCACTGTGTTAAGGTACATAAAAGAATGGCTGGTGAGGTTACACTAGCAACCAGAAAGAGAAACAGCAAGATGGAAAGGGTCTCCTTTGATAGAAGCTGATTGGGAAAGCATTATTTTTTATCTTGAGTTAGGATCTCCAGAGATGTCAGACCTCCAGCTCAGTGAAGGATGAGACAGGGGTCAGATATTCTTGAGGATTTTCCGATACTTTGGGAGTCTCAAGGCCTGGGGCAAGCTCCCTGTTTCAGGCCAGAACTACACAATCAAAGAGAATACAACATTTTAATTTAACTTAAAAGTTAAAAAGTGAGGGCTCTGAATGGTTTAACCAAAACTCATGGAATCAAATCGCTGGCTGATGAAGAGCTCCTCCAGGGTCAAAAGAGGAGCTGAAGGTGGGTGTTTCCTAATCAAGTCATTGGCTGCGTGGGGGTCAGCCCTGGGAGGAAGAACCGACTCTCCCTGCCCCACTTACCCAGGTCATCCCCAGAGGAGAAGATTGCGGACCCCAGCCTGGAGCTGTAGTGGCTGTTGGCGAAGGCGGTGAAGCTGCTCTGCAGCCTCCGGTGCTTCGTGTACAGGATGGCAAACCCCACCCCCAGGCTCAGCAGTATCAGGAATAAGATGGGCACCACCACAGCAGCAACATCCGTAGATCTGGCAGCCTGCGTTGCAGATGCATCTGCACCTGCCAAGGCAAAGTTCCCACCAATAAGCCCACCTGAGGGCAGGAGAACAGACCAGATGACTCCTCAAGGCCCCACCCACCAAAAAAAGCTGGGCGATAGCCACAGCTACACAAACTGCCTGTCTGGTGTGAGACGTTTCTGCATGTGCGTGATGCCTGATTGCTTCCCCACTACTTGCCATGAGCTGATAGACCAAGGGCCTTGTGCATGCAAATATGGTAATTACATTAGACTCCTAATCACTGCCTTGTTGGTTATTTAGATAATCTCTTGGAAGGGAGACCTTTGTTGGGGTATCAACATTGATTTCATTAGCATTATTACTTAAGACCACTTGCTTGCCTTACATAAGAGGATGTGAAATCAGACCACTAATTAACGAGATTGCAATTATTTCCCCCTACTTGGCACCAAAGTCACTCTGAACTGCAATTACCTGAAGCTCCATTAAGTGATACAAACGAGATTCCTACACCACAATACAGACTTAACAGCTCATGAAGTTTTATGAGGTTTTTCACTTAAGTGAAAAAGAGAGTGAGGGAGAAAAACAACTTTCCATATACATTTAACATTTTTTAAAGTTATTTGCAAAGCCGTTTCGGCATTTATAACCTAACAAACATGGCCCCTTCCTATTGACTTAAACAAACAGGCTCTGTGATGATTCACTAATAGATTTGTACCACCAGGGCTCTAGGGCAAAGCCATGCCCCACGTCCCATCCTGCTGGGGTAGGGGCCAGTCTCCTTGAAAACGGTAGACTTTTCATGTTAAAAATCCCAGGGTAAGTCTGAACTTGAAAATGAAACCTAGGAATCAGTTTTTGGCAAAGGAAACAGACTGGACTTCCCTCAGTCTAGGTCTCCATGAGGAGCCTCAACAGGCTCAGGGTTGCTCCCTGGTGTCGGGAGAGGTGGCGCAGGCCAGGTCTCTGCTTCACTAGAAAGCTCTGTCACTCCCCAGGCATTCACCCTGACAGGGTATTCATCAAGATGGGCCAGAGAACAATTGTTTCTTGCAAACCTAATCTAACAATTCAATATTCGTGTCTGTATTTACATTTCTTTCATTATTTCCTTGCCAGAAAAAAAAAAAAACTCTAGCAACATCTTATTTAATATGTTCCAACCTATTCCAACTGTGCAGTGGTTAATGAAGGGGGTGTGTGCGGCTGGAGCAGTGAAGAGGAAGTCGGCACAATGAAGGCTGGGAGCTCCAGGAAGGAGTGCCCTCCCTCCCCCACCCCACTTCCAAGGGGAAGGTGAACGTGAAGGGGCAAGATGTTGGCCAAGAGCCCTTCTGCCTGACAACCTTGGTTCCATAAAGGTGGCCGGGAGGGGTCTGCACAGGAATTTTTCCCAAAGCATATTTCACAGGTTGCCAATTAGTTTTGCCTAAAAATGGGGCTCTGTTGAGGAAATACTAGGTCAACAAGAGTTGGGCTGGTTTTTGTAGGACCTTCTTAGAACCTCTAATATGTTAAGATTCTCCCAAGGGAAGTGGCAGGCAGTGTTTCCCTCTCTTAGTGGGGGGTGCCAAGGATAAATATTGCACAAGATCTCACCCTGAGAAACACTATGAGACGGAACATTTAACAACTCTAACACAAGATTTTGGCTTGAGCACTGGTTAGTTCTTGGCTGAGAGTAAATGGAACTAAAAAAGACCAGTGGCAAAACATTTGTTGAAATCCTGGCCAAACTACTATAATGTAAGCAGACTTTCTGTATGAACGGAAGGGTCCTCTCTTCCATCACTAGCATGGCCCAGCATAAGACATAAGACAGAGATCCCAGGACAAATTCCAGTCCTAAGCTTATGCTGAGAGCTAAGATGAAGCCGGGGCGGGGCAGAGGTGTGCACTGTAAAATCAGTTATATGATTTTACATGTAAAATCCATGACAAGGAGATGATCTACTGGCTTGGAGATCCACAGGATATATTAGCATGTTAGAGGTGCTGAGAAGTCCCACAAAAAACAAATGAAACTCTTGTGAACCTAGAGTTTCCCTTTTTAAACAAAGCCTTGCCTTTCTTGCACTTTATGTTCAGAATCCGGTCCCCCTGTAATCTCAGCTTCCTGTACCATGTTCAGCTCAGGAAGTATTTGTTAAATACATCACTACCTGACCAAACTGATATATAAATGATTTTCTTTTAAGCTGAGAATATCTTCCATGTGTTTTAGAAAGACACATGGTCATGAAACCATATGACATTCTTGCTATTTCCCTAGAACTGAAGACAGAAACGGGCAGCAATCGCAACTCACCAGACCCCAGCTCATCGTACAGCAGGATGGCAGGCTCCCCACAGATCTGGTTGCCAAAAAGGCATCTTGCTTGGACGGTGAACGTGTAATTATGACCCATCTTCAGGTTGGAAATTTTAAAGAAATTGTCAGTAGTATTCCCAAGGTAAGCTGTGATATTCATGGCACTATCAAACATGTGTATCTCATAGCCCTGAAAACAAACACAAGAGATTGCTCAGGAAGTCGAATATGGAAACTGACAGCCTCTATTACTGGTTCCATCTTTATGTGAGCTCCTCACTGTGGGCTGCTACAGACGCGAAAGCGCCCTGGGTTTCTCCTTGTTCTTTTTACATTACCACTGAGATACTGGATTCAGAAAATGAAAATTTTTCTCATCTCCAATATCTCAAATAACTGCCACACCACCCCCCCACAACAAGCTATATCGTGGAAATGAAAACTGTGGCCCTCAGGAAAGTCATTTTACCAAAGCCACACTCAGAGATTTGCTCAGCAGTCTGCCTGTCTCAAGCAATATTAAATGCCACCAAGAATCTGAACAGTTTGCCATAATGGAATTTGACTAATAATAAATCCAGGTCGCAGTGGACTCCAGCAATGGGGTGAGAAAGGAGAACTTGCAATTAGAAAAGACAAGACATTTGTCCCCAGAACAATATGTAGGAATGACCTTGTCGGCTCACTTCCTGTCTCCCTGCTCTCTAGCTCCTTCTGAGCCGATCTCAGCCCCCCAACAACCTGGCCTTGAAATCAGAAGCACTGAAGCCAGCTCAGGCCCCTGTTCACTGGAGGAGAGGATGAAATGTCTTCCTAGTTACAGCCCTGGACTCTGGTGCTGGAAAAAGCCATCCTGGGGACAGCCCTGGCCCAGGATACTAGCTGGGATGAGGGCTGACAACCTGACTTCTCTGCTGATCCCCAACTATTCCAGTGTCAAAGCTACTGACACTCTCCACCATCCCCCTGAAAAGACTCCATCACTTTTCTCTAGCCACATATTGGGCCCCCTTGCATAATCACAGTCTCTTGATCCCAATACCACTGACCCATCTATTCTTGATGTGGTTTGGCTGTGTCCCCACCCAAATCTCATCTTGAATTCTAGCTCCTATAATTCTCCTGTGCTGTGGGAGGGACCCGGTGAGAGATCACTGGATCATGGGTGCGGCTTCCCCTATACTGTTCTCATGGTAGTGAATAGTCTCACAAGATCTGATGGTTTTATAAGAAGTTTCCCCTTTCACTTGGCTCTCATTCTCTCTTTGTCTGCCGCCATGTAAGATGTGGCTTTGCTCCTCTTTGCCTTCCACCATGATGGAGAGGCCTCCGCAGCCATGTGGAACTGTGAGTCAATTAAACCTCCTTCCTTTATAAATTACCCAGGCTTGGGTATGTCTTTATTGGCACTGTGGAAACGGACTAATACAATTCTTTGAACTCCTTGTCAGGGGAAGGGAAGAAGGACATGCTATGCCTATGCCAGACCCTCCACTAGGAACGAAATACTAACCTAGAATCTTAACCTAAGAGCCGGGCTCCAGCCACCCAGGAAGGATCCCCTAATGGCGACTGGCTGCCGAACTGGGATTCCCAATACCTGCCTGGAATCTCATCCCCGCATTCTTTCCTATAAGCCAGCAGTTATTACCTTCCACCTAATAGATATCTGGTGTCGATCATTTGTAAAATACACAAAGGTTATAAAGAAAATAATTGAGATTACACAACATCAACCACCCATACGTTATTTAACCCATCCTCTTCTGTTCGGCATCTCGGCTGTTTCCTCTTTCTTGCTGTCATAAATACTACACACAAATTCTTCATGCACGTTGCTGCTTTAGAGTAAAATCCTACAACTGCTGGATCAATGGGTGTGAACACTTTCAACGTTTTTGATAGGTATTACCCAAGAACCTTACTTGAGTTTGAACCAATTCATATTCCCAGAACGTTTACTTCCCCAACTACTATTCATACCAGTTATACTCTTCCCTGCAAATCTTTACCAATTTAACATGAGAGGGTTACCTCTTTGTTATTTAGATTACCGGTGAGGTTGAACTTTTCTCCTTTTGCTTACTGCTGCTGGAATTTTCCGCTTTGTTACATGTCCCTTCTTCAAAATTAGAATATTTCCATTTTGAACTTACTTGAAAGCTTTCCTTCTATTTAAGGATATTAGCCATTTAGATGTCATAGTTACAAGAGTTATGAGAATTCTCACAGAGTGTGTGGTGAGAATTTTCCAATTTTAATTTCACTTTGCTTTGGTATTGCACGGTGACTATTTAGAACCCATGGCTCTTTGCCTATGCTGCATCTCCAGGTAGCCATAGTTGATTCATCACATTCCTATTTAGCAAAGGCTTTGCTGTCTCTGGGGCCAACCCAGCTTTACTCAAGAATCTGTCCACCCTTGGGTGGTAAATCTACTCCCAGGTCTCACTCCTCTTCCCCTGTCTTTTGCTGTGAATACCATATTGGCCTACCAATAGCAAAACCAAACAAAATCAAGGTGTTCTTCATAAGTTAGCACAGTATCTTCAAGTGCCTCCTGCTCCCTGTAATTTATCTGGGAAGAGAGTGCTGAGATGCCAGGCTGAGAGTGCAGCTCAACTCCTGGTACTGAAGCCACAGTCCCACCCTCAGCGAGTGTGGAATAGGCTCCTGGTTTAACACCCTGAGCCCCAGCCCAGCTGCAGCTTCTGCGGGAAGCACAGCATGGCCTCCAGCCCATTTGTCTTTCTTCAGGGGAAGACAAGTCAGGATTGAAAAGTGCTTAGTGCAGAGATTCTCATCTTTAACGGGCAGTATAAGCATTTCGCTAATTAGCAATCCCACTGAAAATGGTCCTTTAATTCTCAAGTTCATGTCCATGTCCTATTCTTTTTCTTTCTTTTTTTTTACACTATCTATGCCAGCATGCTGTCAACAAGCTCATCTCTGAAACAGCATTTCAATTAAATTTCCAAAGTCATTGAGAATGAGGGAGGAACTTACCCTGCTTTCATTAAAATGCTTTTCCTTTAAAGCCAGGCTTTTCCAAAACAGAAGAACATGATCATTTTCTGTTATGATTTTTAAGGCATCAGGTGCTGATAATGAAACTGAAAATTAAAGATGAGATGGGATGCGGTTAGTGGATATACATTTGAAACTCTATTTTCTTGTCTATCAAAGAGAGATTAAATAATGCTAGCCTTGGAGGGCTGGGTTACAGAAAAAATAAAACACATAGATTGCTGAGTACAGAACCTAGCACATGGTAGATATTCTTTATTGGCATCTCTTTTATTGTTGTTATAACATCTTTAGCCAAGAAATTTGGACAGTACTTAATAGCCCTTGTAACCAAGTGTGTACAAAAACAAATGGGGTTGGGTAGAAGGGTGGTGAGGAAGGAATGGGATGGGATAAGGAGTTCCATCTGAAGACAGGACACTGGAGTGACAATGGCACATGGCCCAGGCCCACTGCACGCCACCAGCATAAATGGGGCTGGGCCTCCATTACCCAATATCAAAACTCCCAATAATACCTGCTGCTGTCTGAGCAACGGAGCTTACTACCAGCTCTCTGAACTTGAGCCTGACTGCCCTTTGATCTACTGCCCAGCTGTGGGTCTCCCTCCATTTCAACATGTCAGATTGCCACAATGGACCACTGAGAACCTGTCATCCAGATTCTCAGATACAGCACTTGGTCTTAGTGGCAACTATTCAGTTTTATTTCCTCTCTTGGGCATCCCTCCTCTTTTCCTTTAGTAATATCAAAACCAGCGAGGGGAGTTAAAAAGACTTAGAAAATAAAGAAAACGATAGCCACTCCCCAGCCCACTGTGCCCTGGCCACCACGCCACGGCTCAGACCCTGGAGCCTCTGCACTACTCTGCCCCTGTAGGAATATTGAAGGGCAGCGTTTGCACTCCCTGTGAAACAAACGCCTAATGAAAAGTCTGTCTCTGGAGGTCTAGCGGCACAGCACTGAGGGCAGGCTGTGTGAGAAGACCTCTAACCTCTCTCCTGCTTACCTGTGGTAATTTTTATGCTGGAATCTTTGCTCATGTTCCCCAGTTGGACAATGATGTGGTATTTCCCGCCAGGCTCCAACTTGTTAAGGGTGTATTCCACAGTGCTGTTACGGGATTTTACTTTGTAGCTCCTGTCAGTCTTTCTTATGAGATCTTTGACTGCAACTGCATACAACTAGGACCAAAAAAGAACAAGTGAATGATAATCAGAAAGTTGACATTTTTCACTCTTTGTAGTTCAATGGTGGACAATGTAGTATATTAATAGCTGGGACCCACAGCAACAAGAGTTTGAGTCCCGAAATCTGACTCCATTCTTTGGAAGGCCTTTGGAGTGACCAGATCCAATCTTAAAATAACTATTCACTCATAGAATTGCACATAGAGTTATCAACTAAAATTTTTTTAACCCTCTAGGGAGGGCCACATTTATCGTGACATCAGCAGGTAGGTTGGAACAAGCAAGCACATCCAAACTCAGTACTCAACTTCCACATCTCCACCACTGCAATAGTTCATGGATGTTGTTGGTGGAGAGAGAATGAACCAAAGTGTTCAATCCTGGCTCTAAAGGGCAAGGCTCTACTTACTTTCTCCCAGGCTGCTTCTGGGTATAGGGGGGCAAGGGGAAAATAACAGGGCATATAGTAAGCACAGGAAATTCAATCATGACAAGGAAGTGGAGAGTTGAGAGGAGTATTAGCAACCAAGCATTTTAAACCAACCACCGCTGGATGAAGGGGAGTGGAGAGAGGAGAGAGGGAAGAGCAACCCAGAGCAAGGAAAAAATGGCAGTTTTTTTGTTTTGTTTAGGATCAATGCTCCTTTTAAAGAGGGGTCAGAAACTTTTTGTAAGGGTCCACACACAGTAATACTGTAGGTGTTGAGGGCCAGATAGTCTCCACCACAACAACTCTGCTGATCATTGCATGAAAGTGGTCAGATATAATATATAAACAAATAGGCATGACTTGGTTCCAATAAAACTTTATTTTAAAAAAATAGGCAATGGGCTGTGTTTGGCCTGCAGGCCTTTGTTTGCTAATCCCTGTGTGAGAGGGTCAGGGAAGGAAATATCAGCAGCGGAGGAGAAAGAGGGACAAACCAAAATGGTAGCTAGGAATAATGGAGAAGTGCCAACTAAGAAGAGGTCCCTGTACGGACCCCATCTTTGGTCAGACTGAAATGGGAGAGAGACCTCCTGCTGAGCGCCAGAAACCAGGCCTGTGTTTCTTGCCCCATTAGAGGATCCCCTTCCATCCCACCCCACCCTAACCAGGCCAGGAATAAACAAAGAGGCCTGGAAGCCCAACCCACTCACCAAGTCCTGGTCAGGAGAGTCATACGGTGATTCCCACTTGATGACCACGGAGGTTTTGCCCGTATGAACCACATGCAGGTGACGGGGTGGAAGCCTGCTGTCCGGGATCATCTTCACTACAACGTAGTCAGAGGATGGCCCCTGGTAGGGTACCACTACACGGACCTGAAGCCCAAGCACACACGTAGGAAAAAAAATACATCATGGCCTTATGCAATCTTTATTAAAGTATTTTTTCAACAAAATAATGACAACAATTAAAATTCAGTTAGTACAAAAAACCATAAAATATAAAATAATTTCCCACCTACCCCAAATCATTTTCCAAGAGGTACCACTGGTAAGAGTTTTTGTGCTTCCTTCCAGAAATCCCCTATGCATATATAAGGAAGGATATGTATGTACGTGTATCCTTACACATATATGCACGTGTATATGAAGCCTATCTTCCTCAAATATTTTTTATACAACTGAGAAAATGGCACACATATTATGCTCTTGGCTTCTTTTATATAATAATATAGCGTAGAGATTTTTCCATATCAGTACATTTAGAGTTGTCATACTTCTTATGAACGGCTGTCCTGCATTCCATTGCATGAATAAACCATGATATGTTTAACCAGTCCTCTCTTCATAGACATTTAAGTTGCTTCACATCTTTTGCTATCATAAGAATAATAACGTACCATGTATCTTTCTCCATATATCTTGGCACACACATAAAAGTATGTAGGCTAAATTCCTAGAAGTGGAACCTGATAAAAATTTTTGATTTATCTATACTTGTGATCATCTGCCAAGTTATCAGTCCTCCATAACGGAGCTGCAGTTGGTGAAAGTGGCCGTTCATTCTGTATTTCAAGCAAGAACCTGATGATGCTTATGAAGAAGAGGAAGTTGCCTCTCGTCACACACATCAATCCTGGAGTCCAGGTATGCAAGCTCCCCAGGTCCTGGGTTGAGACCAGAGCCCAGGACTTAAGACATCCCTTAAAAAACTGAAACGGTATGGGAAACTTACCAGAAACAAATACTGCTCATCCTTACTGACAATGACCGTCTTGTTGTGGAGTGAAGTAGTCAAGCTCTTCGGGTTGCGATAGAGGTCAAGAAAGGACGTGGCATAGAAAATACCATAAACCTGGTAAAAGCAGAGAATGGAAGAGGACATCAGCTCATGGGCCGATGATCTCATTTCCTTGAAATCCCCAATTTAAGACCCTGGAACTGCTTCAAAAGAGCTCACAGAGAAGTCTTCATTCAACATTTATTACATTTACAGCATTTACAGAGAAGGCACTTGGGCCAGGCACTGTATGTAGAGCTACAAAAATAAATATGATGTGGTCTCTGTCCTCAAAGCGCTCCTTCTGGAGGAGAGGCGGGCAGAGAAGAAAAACATACATAATTATAAATAACAAGTGGCAAACATAGAGTGTTAGATGCTACACCAGAAACCCACATGATGAGCCAGGGAACGGGGGGTTATTAAAGAGGGGGTGTCATTCTACCATTGGCAGCACAGACGTGGGCTCCAAGGGGATGTGCTGAGTGGGAAGGAAAGCCATGGGAGCTTGCACAGTGGATGCGAACACCCCAGGAAGTATGTGGAGGGAGGGAAGGAGAGCAGACACGGCTGGCTGTCCAACAGGTACCCATCCTCCCTTTCTTCCTCAGAACTCTGGTTCTGATTGAGAATTGCTGCCTGGAAAAAGTCTAAACTGCGAACCTCCCTAAGCTAGAAGAGGCTAGACAAAGAGCTTCCAGCCATTGAGATGCAGAAGTGTCGCAGGAAAAGCTTTAGGAGGGCTCATTACAACAGAGGGAGGAGCCCTTCTTCCTGCCCTCTGGTCGCCTGGAATACAGATCATGACTGCAGGCCCAGGAGGCCTCTTGTACCATGAGGTGAGCTTGAAGACACATGCCACAGGCTGGAGATGACAGGGCTCAGGTGCCCAATCAAATCGTGCTGCCACGACAGAAGCCCTGCACTGCTCAACTCTAAACTTGTTTTAATTACAAGAGGAAATAAACTGTTCGAAGCCACTGTTACTGTCACTTCCTCTGCTCTATGCATCCCTGCTTAGTCCTAACTGGTAAACGTTGGAAACTGAGGGAGTTTCAAGCAGGGAAGTGGGAATGGGATGAAGTTTACAGCAGAAAGTGGAAGCCGAGGGAGTTTATAACTGGAGGGTGGGAGCTGAGGAAGCTTTCTTTGTAAGGCACAATCAAAGAGCATTTTCTCCAAGAGTTATGTGCACATGTAAGACATGGGCTTGACGAGGACTGTAGGAGCTGCAGGATCCATGGGATGAGCAGGAACTGAGCGGGGATCCACAAAGGGATTTCCAAGTCCCAGGCAACAGGGTGACTTTCTCCAGCACTGCTCAGCAGCTGTGAGGACTAAGCTCTGATTTTTTAAATCTTGCCCAAATCCCTATCTAAGGGGTCTGGGGAGTCATGTCCTACAAACCATAAATTCTCATCAGATGGGTTTTATTTAATCCTATATATCGTGACTTACTTTCCAAGTTGACTCTGGCATAACATTATGAGACAAGGAAGAAAATCAAAATATTTTACCCTAAAACATGTTTCTTTGTCATATCTTGAAATGGCCCTGAAAAGCTGTCCTTTGTGGGGGAACCTTCGCATCTGTAAAGAATCTCTATTAACATAGCTAGATCTTTTTCTTCCAGGCCCTCCCAATCCTAAAGACATTAGCTAAAAGTCTTGCACCTTTTAAAGATCTGGATAGGAAACATCTGTCATCTATTTCCCCTAAAGGCAGCCACTAAAAGACGTCAAAAGAACCTTGGTCTCCACAATCTTTTATCTTAACCTGAACATCTCCTTTCCGTCAATCTCAGGTCTTTAGACAAACTCAACCAATTGACAACCAGAAAATGTTTAAATTTCCCTATAGCCTGGAAACCCCTGCTTCCCCATGCCCACTTTGAGTTGTCCTGCCTTTCTGGACCAAACCAGTGTATTTCCTAAATGTATTTGATGGATGTCTCATGCCTCCCTAAAATGTATAAAACCAAGCTGCATCCCGGCCACCTTGGGCACATGTTCTCAGGACCTCCTGAGGGCTGTGTCACGGGCCATGGTCACTCCTATTTGGCTCAGAATAAATCTTTTCATATATTTTACAGAGTTTGACTCTTTTTGTTGACAGATGAGAAAGGACAGACAGATGGGAGAACACAGACAGAGAAACAGGAAGGGAAGCCCCGAAGGGGGTGATCGCCTGGGAGGATGTAGGAAAGAGAAGCGCTGAGGGACTCAAAGGGGTCCCAAAGCAAATGCAGGTGGAGCTGCAAAGCATGAGATGGGAGTAGGCCAAGTCGGGGCTTAGAGTACAGAGGGAGGATGACATCACCGAGGACAAGGCTGGTGACCGCCAGGGATGGGGTGTCTCTGGAGAGGAAAGGGGTCCACAGAGCCACGGGAGCCAAGGGATGAGAGGTTCCCCACATGCACAGTGACAATGGCACTTCTCACAGTAGACAGGAAAATCATGAGAGCTGCCAGGGTCCTCAATGAACTAAAGAGGGGCAGAAGCAGAGAGCTTCCTACAGGTGATCTCATTTGCGCTCTCACCTCTGAAAGCCACCTTTAGTGTGACCAGTGCATGAGCTGAGATGAGGTGCAGGAAGCCTCCTCCAACTTCATGCACAATTGGAGACCCTAAATCAAGTCAGGCTTCAGTGTTCTGTGCAATTGCCCTACTCTGGAGAGATAGTTGGGGGTGATGAGGCGGTCATGTGCTGCCAGGTATATAAATGGAAAGAAAGGGTTCTTTATGAGTAGACTCAACTTCCAGGTAAAAGAGAGCTCCGGGGATAGGTCAGGGCTTCTCATCACTGTCCCTGCCTCAGCGTCAGGTGCTGGGACACACAAAAGAGCAGAGGCTGTTAAATTAGCCAGACCTGAGCTGAAACTCAGTCTACTGCTTGTGAGAGCTTTAACTCTGGCAAGTTACTTCGCCTCACTGAGCCTTAGTTTCCTTGCTGGCAAAATGGGAATATTTACCCACAGAACCAATGAAAGGAATAAGGGGGAACAGGGGTTTATCGGATTTTATATTGTTCCTGGCACTTACTGGCTGCTCAGTAAATCTTACTTCTTCCTTCTTCTTCACTGATTTTACAGACAGCTACTTGCAAACTTTGGTTATTTCCCTATGACTCAGCCCTGTGACAAATGCACGCTGAAGATATCCTCAGAAGACCAGACCTAGGCTAGTTCCTCCGCTCATCACTAAGGATTTACTAATTCCTTATTATAAATTTACTTCTGTATGCTTTTCCATTGAGAAAATCCAGAAAACAATCCTTCCCTTCAAGGAACTTACAAACTAGTTAGGAAGGTAAGAGTAACAGACAAAAATTATCAAATAGGGTAAAGCTGTATTCAATGAAATATCATGCTATATGGAACCAACTATAAATATATTAGGAGTTCATAGGGAGAGAGATCAACTATAGAAGGGAGGATTTTCTTGCATAGCAAGAGGAGGGAAGGACACCAAGGAGGAGAAAGGGCATAAGCCAAGTACAGAGGCAAGAGGGGGACGAATGTGCCAAGAGCCTTGGGACGGTTGATCTAAAAGCAAAGGGGACACACTGGGGAGGAGTGGAAAGTAAAACAGTAGACTCAAAAAGGAGCACAGATCTGATCATAGTGAATCATAATGCACGTATGAAAACAAAGGAAAAAGAAAGGCCTATATCCAAGAGCAGCAGGGGCACCGGAACATTTGCAAAAGAGAGAAAAGCCCTGGAGTTGTGTGGTGGCGTAGCATTAGGGGACAGTCCACACTCACTTTGTGATGGTCATTCTGGCTGACTCACCACATTCCGGGGGCCGGTCCAGGTACATTCCACTGCAGTCTGGTTGATGGCTTTGGCCTTGAGGCTAGGTGCAGGTGGGCGAACCCCTCTGGTCATAACATGCTCAAATGCCAGAGGGCTATCCCCCAAGTCAGTCTTGGCCCAGGCAGAAATCTCATAGGATGTATGAGCTGTCAGATTGCCAACTGTGAAAACAGGAAAAGGAGATTCCAGGAGGAAGTTGGGGGTGTTAGTCAAGAACGTGTCTTGGTACATGCACTTTTTTAAAAAAAAATAGTAATCTCTTGACTTAAATGAGTCCCATGTGCTGTAGGACTGTCATTAGATGACAAATTCATTCAACGTTTATGTACTGATGATGACGGTACGTAACACACTGCACAAGCACTGGGTAATTTCTTTAAAGCTGCCCATCCGCGGATAGGAGTTGGTACAACGCTCCTGGAAGCCATTTGGCCTTGTATAACAAGAACCTTGGAAATCATACCCTTCAATCCAGTTATCCCATGAAGTCAGAGAAAGACTCAAAAGTGTGTTTAACAAGGATCCCCATCACAGTGTTACAGCAGGAAAAAACTGAATGTAATTTGATTGTCTAGTAACAGGATAATAATTAAATAATGTGCATTCCATCAACTACTGTGCAGGCACTAAAGGTTGTTTCAAAAATATTTGATGACACTGGAAAATTCTCACAATTTTATGTGAAGTGAAAAGGGCAGGATACAATACTACCTATGGCATTATTCTGATTTTAGAAAAAAGATATAAAGAGATCAATCCATGGAAAAATATATTAGAAGATATCTGAAATGTAAAAGTGAAATTATAGGCAATTTTAATTTTCATTACACTCTTTTTGTTCTCTCAATTTTCTGAAACAAATATGTATCCCCTTTCTGATCAGAGGAAATGCTATTAAAACTAAGAAAAAGAAAAGTGAGAAGGGGGAGGTTACGCTAACAAGATAGCCTTTGGAATCAGAAGGACTGGGGTTTAAGGCCTGACTCTATACTTTGTGGTTGTATAACCTTGGGTAAAGTATTTAAACTCTCTATTTCCTTGTTTGTAAGATGGAGAAAAAAATAACAGCACTTACAGCAGCTGCTGGCTGGCAGGGAGAAAAAAAGAAAATGCTTAGGAAGTGCTTGGCATAATGCCTAGCATCGCACTAGCCCTAATAGATTTCAAACAACAGCTAGTTAAGGCTTCTGCTCCTGACTCTGCCAGTTTCTACTGGGGCAACACTAAGGCAATGAGATCATAGGCTGTGGAGTTAGAAAGATGTGGGTTCCAATCCTGGCTCTGCCACCGTCTGAGCGTATGACTTATTCTTTCAACTTCAGTTTTGCCTCTGTAAAGCGGGCATATCTCACGGAATTATACTTGGGGTTATGTAAATAATATGCGTAGAATGCCTGTGTAAATGCCTGTACATGGTAGGTGCTCAATGTGCAAAAGTCAAAATAACAGCCTCCTCGGGCACCTTGTAGACTTTCAGTTAAAAAAAAAAAGTAACAATAGAACATTTGTAGTCTCTACTTTATAAGGCTATGACAAGGACTCAATAAAAACATGACTGAAAGTGCTTCACAGCCTAGAAGGAGGAGACAGGAAGAAGCTCCCAAGTCATTCTCAACAGTTACAGGCAGCTTTCGCCACTTAGAAATAAATTAAAATCCATCCTTTAGCACGTGCTTAGATAGAGGAATTTTAGCTGAGACTTGCTGCTGGTACATACGTAACAGGGACTGGACCACTCCTCCCTTAGTTTGTTGTCCATTTCTCCAGTCAACATGTATTTACTGAACACCAGTTATGCATAAGGCCTTCTGCTGTCTCTCATTAGCAACGGGAGAGTGAACCAGACTAGAAAGGACAGACAGGTAACTGTCTATATCTAAGAACTCTTTCTTTTGGAAATCAAAACTCATCTGCAGAGAATTAGTCTTGCCTCTGTCCAATTTTCCTCCTTATGGCCCCCAACTTCCACTAAGGGTCATGAGGTTGGAGGAGGGCTCGAGGGGCCACTGAGTGAATCCCTCTGCCTAGAATCAGCAGCACACTTATAGGATCCTCAATGCACAAGAACCTGTCAACACAGAACAGCTTCCAGAGAATACCTCCCCTTCCCTGGCACCCCCAGTCAAGCTCTACAGCGGGAAAGCATTGGTCCAGCCTTACCCCTTCCTGCACACACACTGACCAGCACCAAAGTGTTACCTTTGTGTGACAATATGCTTCCTCGGAAGTTCAAAGTTCTCCTCTCTTGCTTGTGGGTGTCAAATGCCCAGAAAAGGTTCACCACATAGCCATTCACCTGCCGAGAACCAAGAAGCATGTTAGATGAACAGCTAGTCATGGGGCACACTAAATACAAAAGGCAGGATTAAAAATACACCTCTTTCCTGTTCTTTCCTTGGGTATCTCATTCTTACAGTGAACAGGTTGTTTTTTAAAAATTTTAAACAGGTTCTACTTGTGCTACCATTAGCTAATATTTAGTTGTACTCCACCTACTTCTAAAAACAAACGAGACCATATTTAATTTATAGATTCAATGAAACAAAAAAGTGAATGAAGAATAAAAGGACGAGAACCAATTAATAAAGGTAGAAAGAGGAAACACTGGAAAGATAATTAGGCCATGGAAATTAAGGATAAATCCTTGCAGTCAAGGCCAAGAAGACAATCCATACAAAACAGGCTGGTTAGATCTCATTGTCTAACTACAGAAAATACATCCACCCATCAGGAAAGACTACCTTTTCCAAGTCCTGAGCTCATAAAAAGATTTGATCTGAAGATCGTTAAATATGGGACAACGAACAAAAATATTTTCAAGATCAAAGACTACAAGACAAGAAGCATATAAGCCCACTTCTTTTTTCTTTCTTTTCTTTTTTTCTTTTTTTTGAGACAGAGTCTCACTCTGTTGCCCAGGCTGGACTGCAGTGGCATGATCTTGACTCACTGTAGCCTCTGCGTCCCAGGTTCAAGCGATTCTCCTGCCCCAGCCTCCAAGTAGCTGGGATTACAGGCATGCACCACCACACCTGGCTAATTTTTGTATTTTTAGTAGAGACGGGGTTTCACCATGTTGGCCAGGCTGGTCTCGAACTCCCGACCTCAGGTGATCCACCCATCTCAGCCTCCCAAAGTGCTGGGATTACAGGCGTGAGCCACCATGCCCGGCCGAGGCCATTTCTTATATCAACCCATTCTGAAGCCAAGGTCATGACACTAAATGGCAGTTAAGTAAATGGCAGAAAGACTCTGAAGGTTGCTTGTCCCAACTTGTCCCAACACAAATTCATCAATGGAGAGGCTGTGAGGAGGGACAGATAAGAAGGAACACTATGGAAAGCGGATCTCAGCTTGAGGAACCACATGGGCACAGGTAACAATGATGAAGTCGGCTATGCAGAGGGCCAGTAGAGGGGATGGCGGTGCTGGAAGAGGAAGATCTTAGGTGGATGGAAAGTGAATATGTTTCCAAGGTATCCAACTCTCCCACAAGAAGGTTGTTCTTCCACTGTGAGCGCCTCAGCATTAGCGCTTAGCACCAGGAAATCCAATAAAGCTGAAAATTACAGGGCATACATATTCTGTTAACACCAACTCTTTATTTGCACTGTAGCTGTGAACCATTTAATTATATGGTTAAGGATAAAAAGGCACCAGGCTGAGGCAGAATAATTACATGTGAAGACTCAAGTTGTTCTTCATGGGGGAAGGAACCACCCTAGTCCTGGTATTTTAGCTTCACTAGATCTAGCCGTTCGTTTTTTTTGTTTTTTGTTTTTTGTTTTTTTCCAGTCTTACTGTGCTATGTCCTTTCAGTTCCCATACAAAATAAAGCCCCATCCAGCTGCTGGCTTGAAATTCCCACATTACCTTGATATCACTCTCCATGGTCAGGGTGAAGCTTAGATAATTTTCACCATAGCTGTCAATGTGGATATCTGGTGGTGGGATCACTGAAAACAAAAAGGAATTCAAAAACAGAAGCCACGTGATGAAAAGTGAGGAAGGCAGGACTTAATAGTTTTCAACTCAACGGACAAAGCCATCTTTCAGTCGGGGAAGAAAGGGTATTTCTTTGGCAGTGTTCCTCATCGATCTTTTTTTACCACTGTTTTCCTGAAGCTAAGGTTGGTCCACAGTTGCTTGGTGAACACAAAACTATCTTGGCTCAGTCGGCTATCCTGGCAATTAGGTCAGGCAGAAAAGTTCCATTTTGTAAAGGTCCCAAAACAGCCCAGCTTCAGCCTGGTTCTTAAAGGAACAGGGATCATTCACTGCGAGTGGCATCTTGATTGGCACTAACAAAGTCCCACCAATCTCAAGTCCTTTCGGAAGGCTGACAATGGAGTAAATCGTAAATGGTAAACGTGCGTGTGGCAAAATGGAAAGAATGTGGCCTCTGGAAGCTGGCAAACTTGAGTTCGAATTCCTGTTCTGGCATCTGTGTAACCTAGGCAAGTTACTGATCTTCCTGGAGCCTAGAGATGTTATCTGCATTTCACAGAGCTGGGAAGGTTAACTAAAATAATGTATGTGTGATGCCTAGCACTCAACTGATACTCTCTTTCTCTTCCTTTCCAATATAGCGTCACATATGGCCAACTAAACAACTAGAAACCACTGGTGCTCTCAAAAAGACTGGAGCTCAAGCTAAGAGTCGAGGGGGCAAGGAGAAGTGGCCAAGGAAAAGACCCCTCTCAGTTCAACCAATGAGCGCCATGCTTGTCATCTGGAAGGTCTTCCCACCAGATGGCTGACAGTGCTTGGCCCAGCATGATCTAAAAGAGCTCAATGGATCAATATTATCAGAAAATATTATTTAAACAACAACTTGCATATTAGACTCTCCACACATATGCCCCTTCTATAGACTGGGCAAGAGAGACTCAAAGGAGCAGATAAGATTTGGTGGCAAAAGAGATGTGTCAAAGTCTGAAGAGGTCTGTCCAGATGATCAATCATGTAATAAAACTAGGCTTCAGGAAAATGCAATAACCGGAAGAAGAAAGGATATTGGAAGCTTCAGGCGGCCAACACAGAGCAAAACAGTGCGAGTGCTGCATATGGTAAAGCTGACTTGAATTATAATCATGGCAACCAGGGACAAGTCACAATCCACTCCAAACCCATTTCCTCAGCTACACAATGAGGATAAGGATACTTATCTCATAGGATTCATAAGGATTAATAAGGGATCCATTCACGAGCAACAATAGCATGGTGCTTAGTGTATAAGAAGTGCTCAGGGAATGGTGGCTTTTCTCATTGTCATTACTAATCCACTACATTCACCAATTAACCTGGCGCGTCTGGCTGATGCCTCTGCTGTCTTTGTCCTTTATCTTAAAACGTTATTATGATACTATGTCACAGATATTTTACAACAAACACTTTTTGGATGTGGCACACAGCTGCCTTCTGTACAAATCCTAGCCCAAATATATGCAAGCAGCTGAGATTCATCAAAATCACAGAAAAGAAGTTAAAGAGAACCAACCATCCACTGAGATTTTCAAATGCAGTTGTGACTTGTGCCTTCGGAATTCAAGGTACATGTATTTGGTTGCTCTTCCAACATCCCTTCTTGGTATGTGTGGTCAGTGTTTTGAAACAGACTTTGTAGAGAGAAGAGATACAACAATAAAAATTCTAGGAGAGTGTGAATTCAGCAGGCTTTCTCTAATACCTGCAAGCATTCAGCTCCAAAGACCATCTGGTGGCACTACGTTTGGCCGCCTTGGGCCCTGATCTCAAAGGCTCCAGATTTTAGAGGGGACTAGATAGTGACTCTCCATGACCCAGAGCCTATTCCTCACAGGCTTAGGTTAAAGTAAAATCTTCCAGTCCTATTGCATGCCACAGTGTCCATCTGGTTTTAATACCTGGAAGTCCAGAAATGCAAGTCCCCAGTGTCAAGGCTAAGGTCAGGAAAACCACTCTGGAAAATGAGTTGTAGTCCATCTCCCAAAGTATGCCAGAACCCTTCATTTAACTGCTTCGATTCACTCAATCATCAATTATTTCCTTAGTCTCTACTAGATGCCCGTGATAGAGTAGAGAAAAACAGACCAGATCTCTGCCCTCATGAGGCACTCGTGCAAGATGCTGAGCCCGCCACCCCCGGCAAGCAGGGCGGTCCAGTAGGCCGCATGTGTCTCAGCCCAGAGAGAAGCGTGGAGCACAGTGGTTAAGAGCACAGGCTTTGGAGTCAGGCAGATCAGGTTCCAGGGCCAGCTCTGTCACTTACTGATTGTGTGGCCTGGGACAAGTGACATAACCTCATTCCAGTTCCTTATCCTTTCTTGTAGTTGTTCTGACTGTTCAATTAGATGAGCTGATGTACGCAAAGCAGTGAACACTCTAGAGTGTCCTGCCCTTGGCAAGCCATCAGTTATTACTAATATCAGCTCTAGTACAAGATAAAAAACCACCTACACACAGTTTGCCAGTGCCACTGGGAGAATAACAAGAGTCAGCATGGTGCTTTCTTTAAAACCCCGTAAGTGAACATGCACAAAATCATCTTCAGCTTTGGTGAGAAGGAAGGACTCCTTCTATTTTAGATATTTTGACTACTCACAAAGGGCTGCGCATGATGGCCTTTGGAAATCCCTTTGTATGTCTGCATTAGAAGAAATGCTCAATACTAGGAGGAAAAAGACACTCAGTCACCCCAAAAAGACTCTATCTAAAGCACTACAGAGACACCCAAAAATGTGCGTGTGTTGGGGAGAAGAAAGTTGTGTGATGTTTTTCTAAACTACGTTTCTCCATTTTCCGGTCATACTGAAAGTCATTTGAAAGGGTTTGTATAATATTTTCTCTAAATCTGCAAATGCTGGGATCATTTACCTTTTCCTTTTATGGTGGTAATGGATTTAGAATCGCTCCAGTTTCCTATTCCACGACTAGTCACCGCAGCCACCTTTTCAAATCAGAGGGTGAATTAATATGAAATAAAGGCAATACACCATACACCATACAGTAAGAATACTGAATGAGCTAAAGGGGTGAGATTTTGGCAGTGAGGCTGGAAAAATTTTATACAGAGTGATCCAGAATATTCAGAGGCCCCAGCATCTGAAATAAGAGGGCAAAAAAGCCAAGGGAAGGAGCTTGGGTAAAGGGCATTATGACAGTCCTGAGATCAGAAAATTTCTATTGATCCACAAATATCAAGGTTCTTCTAAAGGGCAGGTGTATGGGGGGGTGTGTTCATAAATACACACATATACAAAAAGGGTACTGACAAAATTATCAGTGTGAGAGTCATGAATGTGCACACTTAATGGTCTCAGCAAACATGTTGTTCACAAAATCTATCTCTTTCTGCTAAAAATACTAAAAATATATTTCATAAGAACCTCATAAAATCAGTTTAGAAAGACTACTTATCATAGCTCTGCATCATCCTGCAGCTAAAGATAAGCAGGAAAGAGCTGACTGCAAAAGTATAGGAGCTGGAAAGCTAGCAGAATACCGGAGTTAAAAGCAGGGAAAGCGGCATTCCCATAAACGCCCGGTTATCTACAGAAACTCTGATGTCAAGCTCTTTGTGGTGTCCATTTAAGAGACTGAAAGAAACTCTGAGCTCCCCCGTCCCAGGGCAAGAAGTTGGGTATTTTGCAGATTACTAATATGCATCTCACAAAGGTGAGTAGAGAGTTCTCACAAAACAGCAGCAATTTCGCTCAGTTCTAAGACTGCATGGATGGCTGGAATGGATGACGACACTCACTCTGACGGTGTATAGAGTGTTGACCAATAAGTTCTTGATTTCTGTAAAGTTACTAGCAGCCCTCTGGGAGGCCCACATCTTGGAACCACTCCTGCTGTATTCTACCTAAAGGGAGAAGAAAAAAAATGTGAGTAAAGGGAACCAAAGGTCCAGGGCATCCTAATATCTTGCAAGGAGGCTGGAGGAGAGAAAAGATGGTGAGGAGCAAAATGTTCTGACGGATGGGTCATCACCTACAAAGCTAAACCAAATCAACCCCCTCGTCATACAGAATACCCAGAAATCTCCTAGCACCCCCAACACACATACAGCCAACTCATGGAAGGTACTTACAATGTACTCACGGATGAGGCCATGGGTGTGGATGGGAGGAGCCCAGTGGCCTACAATCACACCTTCTGCTTCCCTGGGGAGTGACAGCTGGAGATTTCGAGGGGCATCTGGCACTAGAAAAAGAGTCAACTCAAGGTTAAAACCCATCTGCATAGCAGCCAACCAGAGGAATTTTCCTGGGCTTAGAACAAGGACAAGAACGACTCCACAGCCGGCATTGAGACTATCCACTAGAAAGGCTGCTAGCTTGGTCGTCACATTGAAAAGACACTTTTCCTCTTCTTCCAAAAAGCAAGGTGTGCCGTCCACACATCACATCATGGCTCAGTTGAGTGTGTGGTAAATTTGTGGCTCATAAGGGCTGCAGGATAGAATCACTTGGGCAGGCTGAGTCACCACTGACCCTGAGACTTCCATGCTGAGATCTTAATTGTCAATGACAGCACCTGCTGCCTCTGCTTCTTGTACAACAAAAACTGTACTGTGGGCATGACTACCAAAAAATAAGACTAATTTTGTAACATCACAGAATTTCTATATCCAAATGAATTTGATCATCTTCAAAGCAGGCTCCTTAATGAGTTTAGCGCTAGCATATTCAGGATACTTTAGGCAATGAAAAAAGATGACATTCAAGCAGACAGTTGCTCATGTCAACTACTTTGAAGTAGGGAGGAGGCGAGGAACTCTCTTAGACACATAAATTTGGTAAATTTCTTAAAAACTTAGCCACAAAGCCAGGTGCAGTGGCTCACACCTGTAATCCCAACATTTTGGGAGGCTGAAGTAGGTGGATTGCTTGAGCTCAGTAGCTCAAGACCAGCCTAGGTAACACGGCAAAACCCTTTCTGTACAAAAATACAAAAAGCTAGCTGAGCATGGTGGCACACACCTATAGTCTCAGCTATGCGAGAGGCTGAGGCGGGAGGACCACCTGAGCCTGGGAAGACTGAGGTGGTGAGCAGTGATTGCGCCTCCACTGCACTCCAGTGTGGGTGTCAGAGTGAGACCTTGTCTCCAAAAAGAAAAAAACTTAGCCACAAAATTGCTGATATGCCTCATATTTTAATGACGATGACCTCCTCCTAAGTACCAAGTACTAGGAAATATCTAGAGGAGGAACGTAGAGGTAGAAACTAGACAAAAAATGCAAGAGGGCAATGGTGGAGAGAATCTTAAATTAACTTAAGGTACAAGAACAGTCTCTGATGCAGTAAGAAGAACAGATGTTTGACAACTCTGGCAAGACTATAAAGCTTAGCCACCATACTTCTGTACATGTGAGGCACACATATGTTCCCACATTCCTGAGAATACTCAGAAAGACCCTCACAAACCCCGACCTGAGGTCTTACCCATGCCATAAAAATTAACTGAAACACTTACATCCCTCTGGGGTCCTCAGGGTCACAAAGTCATTGGTGTTGTGTGCCTTGCTGAGACACTGAACCTGTACTTTAACCTGATACGTGGTATCTGGTTTCAAGACTTTTAATACAGTGTTTGTCTTATTGCTGTGGGTCTCCAGAGTCTTCCATATGCTCTCTCCAACCACCCTGGCCCAAAAAAAAATAAAGATATTGTCACACTGGAGCAGCATGGGGGGCTGAGATGTCTGACTCCGTTAATAGCATGGTGCATGCCACTAGAGAGTTTACAGAACATCCTGGGGCAATGAAGACATCATTTTCATCTCCCATGACAAAGATGGGACCTACCTGTAGTAGACATTATATACACAAGAAGCAGAGGGCATTTTTTTGGGCCTCATCCAGGTCAAAGTCACATCCCCAGAGAAGTCAGCTGTCCACTGAAGATTCTGTACTTTGTACACAGTCAACTCATCTAGAGAGATAAAGGAGAAAAAGACAAACAAAGTTACATCTTGGCTGGGCGTGGTGGCTCACGCCTGTAATCCTAGCACTTTGGGAGGCCGAGGCGGGCAAATTGCCTGAGCTCAGGAGTTCGAGACTGGCCTGGGCAATGTGGCTAAACCCCGTCTCTACTAAAAATACAAAAAAAAAAAAGTTACATCTTACAAATCCTTAGATTTCAAAGGACTCCTGCTTTTAAACAGAACTACCATGATCTAGATTATCAGGAGGCCATAATCATTATCTGAAAAGAAATCTCAGAAAATGTAGTTGAAACCTCCCTATACAATCCCTCCTAGGGTCTCCTACTTTTCCGGTCGTGATATTTTCCCTCGAATTTCATCTTCCTCCTGCCTATGACAATTTAAGCCTATTTCTCCATAGAGAATGCTACAAGTCCAAGGACCATGTCATAGGGTCCATTACTAGACACTCCAGAGATAAGAACTGAGTTAATCCCACCAGCAGATTGAGACTGTGAGAGCCATGGTGTATGGGCATGAGGTGGGAAGTCCATAAAAAAAAAAAAATCCAAGACTAGCATTTCACTAACAGGGAGGAGACAGCTGCATGTTGTATCAGAGTCTGGCCAAGGCTCACCTCACTTGGGGCTCCAAAACTAGGCACAAATCTGTTTTATCCTTAGATTGAGCAACAGTTCAAAAGGGTCCTAGCTCAAGGTCTACACAGGAGGGGCCCTGGGGTAAGCGAGCCTCCCAGCCCAGCCCAGCCCAGCCCAGCCCGTGGACCGGCACTCACCACTGCAGGCCTTTTCATCGCTCTCGTCCGAGCAGTCCAGGAAGCCGTCGCAGCGCTCCGAGAGCACAATGCAGGCCTCCCCGTCCTCGCACTGGAACTCCCTGCTCATGCAAGTCAAGGTGCTGTGTGTGGCTGAAACACAGAGAGGCTTCTTAAGTCCACGGGGAGGGGCCGTATGGTACTAAAGGCTGGGCCCAAGTTTATTCCCATTTAGGCAAAGTACTAATTGGCTTCTGCTTCAAAACACACCTCTGGAATGACCAGTGGTGGAATCTATACCGGCACTAAGGTGCCATCTCATCTAACATTAACAACTGGAATCTGCATTCGGGAAGAGTGAGCACTTTGGAGTCAAACAAACTAGAGTTTAAATCCTAGATCTGCATGAGCTTGAGCAAACAGCTTAATATCACCTGAGTTCAGTTGCCCTATAAAAAATGGAAGTAACAATTCCATCACTATCATGTCTGCAAGGATCTAATGAGATCACACACCTGGAACACTGCCTGGCTCCTGGCCGGCATCAACAAACTGTAGCTATTACTCTATAGTACTATTAATTATTCTGCTACTATTATTAGTTTGCAATCTAGAAAGAGGAGCTGATTTCTGGTTTGAGTAACAGAAATAACAATGAGATGAATCCCAACAATATTAAGAGGCATGCATACTTTATGTAGTATTTAAAGTTGTTTGGCTTTTCAAAGTACTTGAACAGAAAATGAAATAATGCAAATAATGAGCACTGGTAAGTTAAGGGTTATGCAACTGTATGTCTAGGCTATTGACCAAAATGTGATGTGCTCTCCAGTTCTGAAAGTAGATTAAAACTGCACGGGAGGCTCCAAAAAGAAAGCAATGACCGTATAATTGCAAATGCTCCTGAAAAGAGAAAAGGTGAGAATGGCTGTAGACAGCAAATCTGCTATGCAGGCTGTGTACCTGGGTGGTACAAATCTGCTATGTAGCTGGTTGAGCCCAGGAACAGTAACTTGAGGCCTTCCTTATACAGATTCACACCTGCCTGCCCAGTCCTGGACAAGGAAGGGCTACATCAGAAATCCAATCCCACCAGTGATGAGGGTCTAAAATCAATCTTGCTCCTCCAAGTCAAAGACGTCCACATCCTAATCCCTGGAACCTGTAATATGTTACCTTATGTAACAAAGCAACTTTGCAGGTGTGATTAGATTAAGGACCCATAGGTAGGAGAGTTCAGCCTGGATTATCCAGGTGGGCTCTGTCTAATGACATGGGTCCTTAAAAGCAGAGACCCTTTTCTGGTTGTGGTGAGAGACAGAGAGAATACAGAAGACAGGTGAGAGACATGCAACATCACTGGCTTTGAAAATGGGGAAATTATAACAGACAAAAGGAGGCTGAACATGAGTGGCTCCATTCTGCTCCCCGCACCCTGCCCCCTGCCCATGGTGACATCTTGTAGGTTAACGGCCTCTGCCTATCTCTGCACGTAGGCCAAGCTAACTATGGAAGGAATTTTGTTTATAGTTTAATTTTAAAGCAAGGATGATAATAGTCCCTTCCTGAAACTAAGCCCTGAGGAAATAAAGAGAGTGTACACACAAGTAACAAAGTTATGTTAAAGGTGATATGAGCATTGTGACCTGAGCAAGGAAGCTTCATACGCCCCACTTCAGACCCAGGCATGTGGTCATGGGTCACCTCTTGACCTCGACCCCCTCCCTCTTCTCCTTCCTCCTAACATAAACAACCACACTTTGAGATATAGGTAGAGAAACTGGATAATGTTCCCATGAGAGCAACCAGGATGGTCAAGAGGAATGGATAAAGGATCCAGGGATATTTTCCTAGAGGTGAAAAGATACAAGGATGGGGGAGGTGGTGAGAAGACATGCAGACCACTCTGACAAGTGTTCTCCACTGATGAGTTTTCATGAGAAAGAAGAATTAAGACTTCTTTGCACGAGTCTCTAGGATGGAGGTACAGACTTCAGTTCACTACTTATTCAAAAACAATCCTGATAAAAAATTGTCAATAGAAGGGAACTATCAAAACCACTTATGAGGCTTTTCACAAACTATAATCCCCCATTCTCCAGGAAGATCATTGCATTTCAGAATTCTATTATATACTGAGCTGAAATTGGTTTGCCATGGTGGGGGGAAGCTCATGACAAATAAACGTGTATTCAAGAATTAGAGAAAGGTTTGAGAACCACTACTGTAATAGTCTCAGAAGCCCAAGATGGAATTCTGTGAACATTCATGGAGGTCCTACCATGACTCGGGCACTGCTCCAGATGTTAAAAATATGGGGATATGTAAAACAGATGAAGGACCTGTCCTCAGGGAGTTATCTTCTATTGAGAGAAACTGCAAACAAGTACATTAATCTGATCAGGTTATGCCATTTTATATAGGATTGCCAGGGAGAGACTATGCCCAGAGGGGATTATTTTGAAAAATACCAAAACCCCCATCACAGAAGTATTCTACTGGGTAACAATGTGGTCAAATATAATCAAACAACAGCTAAGCAGTAGAGCTGAGGACGTTGGAGGTTTCTTTATAAAGTATGTCTCAAAATTTTAAGAGCAAAAAAGCATGGGCTTTAGACTCTGGAAGTAAGCTGGGTGCGGTAGTGTGCACCTGTAATCCCAGCTACTTGGGAGGCTGAGGCTGGATTGCTTGAGTCCAGGAGTCTGAGACCAGCCTGGGTAACATAACCAGACCCTGTTTCTTAAAAAAAAAAAAAAAAACAATCATTAAAAAGTCAGGAAACAACAGGTGCTGGAGAGGAGGTGGAGAAATAGGAACACTTTTACACTGTTGGTGGGACTGTAAACTAGTTCAACCATTGTGGAAGTCAGTGTGGCGATTCCTCAGGGATCTGGAACTGGAAATACCATTTGACCCAGCCATCCCATTACTGGGTATATACCCAAAGGACTATAAATCATGCTGCTATAAAGACACATGCACACGTATGTTTATTGCGGCATTATTCACAATAGCAAAGACTTGGAACCAACCCAAATGTCCAACAATGATAGACTGGATTAAGAAAATGTGGCACATATACACCATGGAATACTATGCAGCCATAAAAAATGATGAGTTCATGTCCTTTGTAGGGACATGGATGAAATTGGAAATCATCATTCTCAGTAAACTATCGCAAGAACAAAAAACCAAACACCACATATTCTCACTCATAGGTGGGAACTGAACAATGAGATCACATGGACACAGGAAGGGGAATATCACACTCTGGGGACTGTTGTGGGGTGGGGGGAGGGGGGAGGGATAGCACTGGGAGATATACCTAATGTTAGATGACGAGTTAGTGGGTGCAGCACACTAGCATGGCACATGTATACATATGTAACTAACGTGCACAATGTGCACATGTACCCTAAAACTTAAAGTATAATAAAAAAAAAGAGCCTTAAATTAAAACAAAAAAACAATAGAATCTGGGAATAAAGTTGTCATTAACTCTGAAAATTCTTAAACTGATAATTAACCGATGATTAACAGGCACTTAGAATAGAACTTAGTCGCCTTCAGGGGACAGGTTCTCTAAAAAGAATCGCACCACACTAATCTCATTTCATTTTTAGATAAGGTTATCAAATTAATGTTGGAAAAAAACCGTGGATATAACACATCTTGATTTTAAGACCCTTTACCAGGCAACATCCCTGTGAATAAGCCAGATTGGAAACAGGCTGAAAACACTGATTTAAAGAATGCCAATTAATGAATTAATATCACCCAGGAGGGAGGTCCCATTTCTTTTCTCTTTCTTAATTATCTCCAATGTTCATCTTATTATGTGGTTGCTTATTCGCCTCAGATGTTCCTACTGTCATTTTGGTGAGTGTGGGATCAACCTGTCCCTGTTGGTTTAACACTCTAGGAGTCTACTTTGTTCATTCCTTTAATGTAAGTGTAGAACTGTACACTAATCCCTACTCAGTTCATCTGTGTTAGTTTTGGTGTATTCTTCCCTGATGAGAACTTTCAACATGGCTTTCAACCTAAATAAATAACCCAATCTGGTACTGGCTAGGTGATCCTCTTGGGACCTTAATTCTCCTATCTCCACAAAGGAGATAAGACCAAAATCGCAGTTATTTTGAGAATTAAGTGAAACGAATACATGATTTGCTTGAGAATAATGAATAGCACATTAAAACCCACCACCAAAGTTTAGCTTCCCTTTGTAAATCCTGAGTGTTTTGCCAGAAAATAAGCTATCTGGGTAACTCTGTATTACTTGCAAGTATGACAGGCATGCCTTCCAAGTTTTCATCTGGTCATTAATGACTTTGTAAAGAAGATAGGGCCACTTTAAAAAGCATCAGAAAATATTACCACAGCAAATAGAAAGAGTAAAGCAGAAGCAGCCTGAAAAAGACCACTTATGATAAAGCAAAGTGAAAAACAAAACAGCCAAAATGCAGGAAAGCAAACAGGCATAAGGCGACAGAAAGAGAAATAAGAATCTTTTAAGGTTTATCAAAGGCTGCCGCATCCTGCTAAACACCGAAGAACTTCAAAAAAAAAAAAGTACACAGCAGGAGAATTAATTATATTGAAGACAAACTCCATCAGCAAATCCAAACACTTATTTGTGCAAACTTGCATTAACTTTGAAAGTAAATGACAAAGCTCAACCTTACAACTGAAAGACATGACAAAGAAATGAGAAAGAGATGTAATATGGAAATGTTAACCAAGGAGATTAAAATATCCCCCACCATCTGAATTTATTTGGTTTATTTTTTTATTTATTTGACAGTTTCGCTCTTGTTGCCCAGGCTGGAGTGCAATGGCCCGATCTCAGCTCACTGCAACCTCCGCCTCCCGGGTTCAAGCAATTCTCCTGCCTCAGCCTCCCAAATAGCTAGGATTACAGGCATGCGCCGCCATGCCCAGCTAATTTTACATTTTTAGTAGAGATGGGGTTTCTCCATATTGGTCAGGCTGGTCTCAAACTCCCGACCTCAGGTGATCCACCCGCCTTGGCCTCCCAAAGTGCTGGGATTACAGGTGTGAGCCACCGCGCCTGGCCTATTTGGTTTATTTATATAGATTCATTTATTTATTTATATGGATTTATACACAAGTATCAAGAGATATCAAATTATCTTAATCTTTTTGGTTCTTGGGTTCCAGATAACAAGTGGCATGTTCTGGACAGAGAGAAATCCAACCCCAAAATGGATCTGAGTTCCAACAGGAATAGTTTAGTAATGAAAGATTCCTTATGATTTTCCTAAACTAAAATAAACAAACAAATAAATAAACAAAACAAAAAGAAATCACCCTACCTTGGAAATTGAAGAATTGGAAAGACTCAAAGGGTGTTTCTTGAAAAAAAGACCTCTAGGTAGCAACTTATCCAATTCCTTGACTTTTAGTCAAAGAAAAGACCCTTCAGGCAGCCGAAACAAAAGCAAAAGTGACATTCCTGGAGAGGAAAGGACGCATCAACGATGGGGGTCCTGGGACCCCTCCGAAAAGCCAAGTGTTAGGAGAAAAACCTATGCATGGTGGAAATAAATTAGTTTCATATTTCAAGTTAAGGACTTGGCCAAGATGATTTTTCTCTCAAGTCAGAGCACATCAAGGCCTAGAATGAAATTCGTCTCCAGAAGTCCATCACCGTAGAGATCATCACAAGGAACAACAAAAGTGTGAAAACTGGCAAAGACTCATTGCAACAGGCAAGCGAAGATCACTTGCATGGACAATTAATGCAGTAAAATGAAAAGGAAGACAAGAATGCCCCGGTTTCTGACCTCCCCTTTTCAGTTTCTTCCAGGATGACTTGCACTACCTCAGATGCTGATGTCAATCAATGAACCCACCATCGTGCTAGCCCCACCCAGGGAAAGCTGCGACTCCTCATCCTCAGTAACCCCCACATAGCTGGTAGCATCAGCTTTCACTGTCATCCTGGGGAAAACCCTCATTCTTCCTTTTTCCTTATTACCACAGCCAAAAAAACTCACTGGATGCTGTTAATAGTACCTCCAATATACAAAGAGGTCACTCTTCCTTTTTCATCTTCACAGTCCCATCAAATTAGCCTCCTAATGGGCACCTGGCTTCCAATCTCACCTCAGCCTTCTTCTATAACCCATTCCCCCCATGATGAAGTCCAAGTGATCTAAGATATAAACACCCCATCTCTGAAATCTTCAAGGGCTCCTTAGGACCAGAAAAATAAACTCCAAGCACAGGGGTCGCCCTATCTACCTCATGCCTACCTCTCTGCACTCACCTTTGTCCCACCCACAGCCACTCTACAGGTCTGTTTTCTTATGCCTCTGAGCCTTGGAATATACATGCTGTCCCTTGTGTCTAGAATGCCCATCATCTGCCACCTTGTCCCACCGTTGTCCAGGCACCATCAATGGGGCTGCCTCTCCTGGCCTGTCCCCACCTCTCCAGGAAGCTAGCCCACCTGCAAACTATGCCAGTTCCTTGGATAACTTCTGCTACTGCCTACACCACACTGTAGGATAGCTGCTGACTTGATGTCCCTCCCACTAGAATCTGTATTGCCAGTCACCGGGCGTGGTGGCTCAGGCCTGTAATCCCAGCACTTTGGGAGGCCAAGGTGGGCAGATCACTTGAGGTCAGGAGTTCGAGACCAGCCTGGCCAACATGGCAAAACCTGTCTGTACTGAAAACATAAAATTAGCCAGGCATGGTGCCGCATGCCTGTCGTCCCAGCTACTCGGGAGGCTGAGGCAAGAGAATCACTTGAGCTCGAAAGGCGGAAGCTGCAGTGAGCTGAGATCCCACCCGCCCCTGCACTCCAGCCTGGGCAACAGAGCGAGATGACATCTCAAAAGAAAAAAAAAAAAAACAAACAAACACACAAAGAATTTGTATTGCCAGAAACCTGATCAATGCCTGCCAGAAAAAAAACACAAAGAATTTGTATTGCCAGAAACCTGATCAATGCCTGCCACGCTGTGCATGATCAACAAAAATTTGTCCAACCAAACTGAAGATGTTACTGGATCCACACTCCTTCCTCTTAACCAAGCCTCTCCAGGGAGAGCCCAGTCGGGCACCCTGTGGAGAACAACGCTACAGACAGAGAAGGGACGGCCGACTCCCTCTTCCCTTTCCCCCTGAGCCTTACTGGGTGAACTATTTAGGACAGAGCAGTATTTGCCAATCTTGTCTGATGCTAAGAATCAGACAGGGCACCTCTGAAAAGGCTTGGGTTCCCGAGCATCTCCTCCACCATTGCTCTTGATTCAGTGGTCTGAGGTGAGATCACCAAATTCACATCTCTTATAAGCACTTCCACATGATCCTGCTAAGTCCCATAAATTTTGTAAATACTGAATTAGAGGAATTAAGAGATGACTAACCTCCACCTCAGATTCTATTCCATCTCTAAATGGTAAGACTTGGTAGGATTCCAAGTGAGGCTCAGTTTTTCATTGGTTGAGGAAGTCATTATTTTAAGATTAAAAAAAAAATGGGACCAGAACAGGGATCAAAGTGGAGGAACTGAGGCGTTTGCTGCTTAGGGTTAGGGCTTGGCGGCAGGGAGGCTCTCAGCAGAGAGTGAGAGGGGCGTCTTCTACATTCACCAGGACAGGAATCAGGCAAGCACGGACGAAGCCCTTATCCTGGCAAGGAAGGGAGTGTGACTGGCTAGGACGTCTGCTGTCTGCAGCCAGCAGGAGACTGGATGGAGGGGAGGCCCGCAAAGCAGGGATCCCCGAGCCAGAGCAGCACCCAACCGTCAGAGAGGCAGGCCGGTGGGGGGCTGCATAAGCACCGTCCAGCCATGCCCTCCCAAGTCTGCTACAGTAGGACAGACCAGCCAACGGCGGCATTAGCGTGCAGCCAGGGACTGAAAAGCGCTGACTGGTCACATGAGGATAAACGCTTGCAGAAGCCAGTGTCTCCCTCCATCACTCACTGCAAAGATCCTCCCTGGGTTCATCAGAGGACCAAACACCAGGACCCACCAACTCCAAACCCGTAGAGAATGCATGCATCACCTCACACTGGGCTCAGATGGCCCTGTGATTATTCCCCATGTGGCTCGGCACACTATCTCACCAACCATAATTACCCTAAGGACTGAGAATGAATTTTCTTAATGGGGTGCTAGAGGCAAACCCTCTAATAACACAGCTTCTACGCCCAGTAAGTGCTCACTAAATACTTCCAGAAGAATGAATGTACATACAGAAGAGTTGTGGCTTTCCCCAAGGGCGTTTTTAAAGAGTTAAACATGCTTATGAAACCTATTTAAAATATTTATCTTAGTCATTCAGAAAGTATTTTTATTGGACACGCTCCTGGTATTTAAAACGCAGTCAACTTATTAAAAAGAAGGTGACTAACGCAATGGTATGGGTGCACGTGGCAAAGCGCTTGTGGAGAATGCAGTAAGAGCATGGTTACGCAAGTACACAGACTCACACACAGGCGTGTGCTGATCCAGAAATGAAGCAGAAGCACCAGAACTGTGCTCTCTGCAGAAACGTGCCCAGGGGGTGAAGGGCTCTCTGACTACTCACGGCAATTGGCCTCGTCCCGGCCATCCTGGCAATCTTGGTGGCCGTCACAGCGCTTCCAGTTGGGAATACACGTCTTCGGTTGGTGGCATTCGAACTCAAATCGGTCACATCGCCCAAGTTGGGTGGGAGTGGAGGCAGCAGTGACGTTTGCTAAAATAAAAGATTTTTAAAATTTACTTTTTAATATTGAGGGAGCTGGCCAATAACAGCAACCAATCAATATGCTAGGAGATTACGGTGCTTTAGAAATTACAATGGGAACCTGAAGACAAATGCGAGTTCCGGATAGAGAGCAGAGTAGATACAGACATCTAATGTTGCTTCCCCACAGGATCCCACTAAAGCCACAGTCAAGAGATTGTTTTCAAAGACCTAAATCCACGAGGACATGGATAATGAGATTTGGGAGCTGGAAAGAAGACAGATAGCGGTATGTGACTAAAGAGGCCAGCGAAGGCTGCGTCCTACCCTAAGCCGTCACAGGAGAAAGCTCAGAACCAATCAGATCAACAACACACAGTCCTCCAAAAGTTCAGAAACTGGCATCTAACTGGAAGTGAAGAAGGAGTTAAAATAAGGGAACTGACTGAATGATGTTTAAGACGCAGCTACATTCCTTATATCCCCTCCTATCAGTCCCACGAGGCAACCAACCCATACGTCACCCCAATAGAAGAATGGAGGGTTGTTATTTGGAGAAAGTAAAAACAGAGAGTTGTTTAGATAGGCGTAGTTGACAGCAAGTATATCCTACTGATAAAAGGGGGATTAAACCTACATATGGAAGTCCCAGTCCTCTTCTCCGAGGATCCTAGCAATAAGGTAATTATTGTCTAGGCAGGAGATCTAATAATCTTCTCTGGGGAAAATGACCAGCTTCAGAGACTAACCCTGAAGTAACCAAGATTCAGAGTTCCCCCATGGTTCCCAGCCATGAACCTCGAAGTTGACAAGCCCACCCATGTGCTCAGAATTACTTACCAGCACTTTAGTCCCCAGCCTTAAATACAAGCAGCAACCAAGAACTATCTGAGAAAAGGCTTTGACATGAAAGGCAGAAAGCCAAACAGAGCCCTAACCCCCAAAAAGGCCATTTGGAGGAAATAGAGGCTTTGCAAGAAGAAAACTTCAAAAACAAATATCCTTAATACGTTCAGAAAGAAAGAATATATTATTTATCCAAGAAAAAAAGAAAACAGGATACCATAAAAAGGGACAGTGGTAAAAATGGAGAAGCTCTTAAAGTTAAAACCATGACAACAAAGATGAAAAACTCAGCAAAGAGTTGAAATATAAAGTTGAGTAAATCTCCTAGAAAATTGGGGGGGTGGGGGAAGGGAATTTTCAAAACTATAAAAGATTAAACAAAAAAATAAGGAAGAAGACCAGATCAGGAGACAATATATGAATGACAAGAGTTCCAGGAAATAAGAGAAAACAGAGAGGGAAATATCATTAATAAAAACTTCAAGAAAAATTCCTTGAACTAAAATATATAAACTTCCATATCAAAAAGCATGCAAGTGTCCGCTATGTTGGATGGAAAGGGTCTCAGAGCAAAGCACATCATTGTGAAATTTTAAAACACTGGTGCCAAAGGGAAGATTCTACAAGCTTCTAGAGGATTAAAAACAGGTTACATACAAAAAAAAAAAAATCAGAATCAAAATGGCTTTTGGATTTCCGAAAAGCTGCTTGAAGGCAGTGGAACAAAACCTTCAAAACTCTGAAGGAAAATTACTTACAATCTAGCACGCCAAACCCAGCCCAACTATCAATTAAGTCTGAAGACAGAATTAAAACACTTTAAGACAAGCAAGACCTCACACAGGCCTCCCACATACATTTTCTCAGGCATTTTCCAGAAAACGTGCTCTACTGAAACATGGGATTAAACTAAAAAGAGAAAAACTGGGACACAGAAAACAGGAGTTCCAACAGGAGATGGAGGTAAAGGAAATCCTGAAGATGATGATGGTGCAACGTCCTAAAAGGCAGTTGTGCCCCAGGTATACAGGGCAACCAATACAAACCAGAGCAGCAAAATTCAAGAGACAAACACCTGAGAGCTGTCATCACAGTGTCCTTGGCCACTGCGTCATCATATTCACCTGACAAGGCTACTGAAGGATGCACTCCACCCAAACAAGGGAGTAAACCAAGAAAAAGCAACACACAAGATCCAGGAAACAAGGAATCTAAACTGGGAGAAAGGCAAAGAGAATTCCAAGGAGGCAGTGAAAGTCCCTGGGTAACAGGCACACAGCAGGACTAGAGAACAATCTGTCCCGAAAGGAGAATCCACGTTGTTAGAAGGAGTATCTCCAAGAGAAAAACTGGACTTGATAAATCCCTGGACATGTTGACCTGTGGAAAGTTATCCTGAGTGGCGACTGAAAGGCAGAAAGCATTGGCAAATGGTACAAAACAACCTAAGCAAACAAATGAAAAAAGCAATTATTAACTTCAGGATATTGTGCATATTCTATAGTTTTCATTGGATTTTCAAAGGGGCTTTCCCTATATCTCAGAACCACTCTGCAGAAACACAAGGTACATGGAGACAGGTGATAAAAAATAAAAAGGGGGAGAATGCCAGGCCAAGGCAAATCATGCCCTGGACAATAAGGGAGGCATCAGAGGGCTCCAATACTGGGGAGGACATGAGCATTCATCAGTATGGGCCTTATCAGAAGAAAAACTGAAAGGGGGAGAAATATGAGGTTAATAAGCCAGTTAGAAGACTTCTACACTAAACAAAGAAGATCCACGAGCTACAGATAACAATGAGTTTAAATTTGTCCCAGCACTGCGCACAAAAAAGAAAGTACAAAAGCTGAACAGGATATATAAACAGAGATCTGATCACTGGATTAGTCAGAATTTGCTAGAGTCTATTAATGTCCTGGTCAGAGTTTCAATAAGCAAAAACAACTTGAAGAGGATAATCAAGTTATTCAATAAATATGTAGGCCTTGAGGAGAAAGGACAGACACAAAGTTTTGTTTTCTCTTTTACAATTCATTTTAATTTGAGAAGCATTTTAGGGGATACTGACTATTTGCCTATTATTGTAGGAGACACAGAGCAGGACTCAAAGTAGTAGACAGCATGATTCCCAAACAGGAAGTCCACACAATGGCTATGGAAGCAAAGATCAACACGCATGAAATAATTAGGAAGCAATATATGGCAGATCATAGTTAAGAATCAAAAGGTCAATGGGTAAGTTTAATGAGACTGGAAAAGAGATGGAAATCATTTAAAGGAATCAGTGAAAGCGCCACAGAGGTGGAGCTTGAAAGGAGAATAATACCCTACTTGTTCAAAGCAGAAATCCCAAACTTTTGTGAACCTAAGAATCATATGGGGATCTCCTGGGCTCCACCCAGAAATTCTGATTCTACATTTTTTTATAAACACCCCAGGCGATTCCATTAGGGTGGTCTTTGCATCACATTTTGAGAAGTTCTGATGATATGAATATATCAAGGTCTCTTTTGCTATAAAATCCATGCTTCTGTTTGCACTGATGGATGGTGGGTTTCAGTGATAAGGAAAGTAGGAAGACAAGGTTGAGGGTACAGGAGTTCCTGCTGAGGGCAAAACCTTGCTGCAGGTGCACAGGCAGGAAAGAAGCAAGTCTATCTGAAGAAGATCAGGAATCTAGCTTGGCTGATGTAAGGAATCCAGGGAGGCAAGGAGGAATCAGCTCACAGAGGGCCTGGAAAATAGAAATTGTCAAAAATTGATCTTCTAGACAGGAGAACAAGAGGAAACTCAATATGGCAAAAAGACCACCCTAGTAAAAACATCATTTTTATAATGTTTTATAAAAAACATAGAATCAGAATTTCTGGGTGGAACCCAGGAGATCCCTACATGCTTTAGGTTCACTAAAGTTTGGGATTTTGATGTTTTTAAACAAGGAAGCAATGGAAAGAACATGCTCACAGAAGAAGGGAAAAGATCATGCAAAGCATGCAAAAAATTATTTGTTCTCCTATTATAACTGAGTTTGAAGTAGACTCCTGCTTAGGAAAGAACACAGGATCCTCACCTCTGTTCCGCCTGCTGTTAGGAGCACACACGAAATGGGATTTCAAGTTCTACCCCACCTCCAACAATATGGTGACTACAGACCTTCAGCTGCCTCTTTGAGTTTAGCCACTAGATGGCAGTGCTTACCCTTCTTTTAGTTGGACAGGCCGGCCAACTAGCAAGCTGAATTGGGCTCTCTCCCCAGAGTTTAATACACACACAAAAAGTTCCACATTAATTCCAATTTGTACTTTCCCACTAAGAAGGCAGCAAAGGTGGCATAACCATAGCCTGGGTGGAAATCAGGGTGGCTGGCATCTTGCAGGAAGGTCAGAGGCCAGTTATAGAGGATGAGATGCTCCCATTCCAATTTCCTATGCATCTATGATCCAGGAAAAAATGCTAGAAATCAGCCTTCCCTGGAGGTACACCATTAGTAACAGGCAACCTGGCCACACAGCAGAGTCCCAGACAGCAGGGCATGGGGCCCGGTTGGATTGTGCCCAGAGCACACCCCCAGAAGGTCCTCTCCACAATAGCAGGTACCACAGGAGAGGACCTGGGCCAGAACTCACCAAGCAAGGGGCAGGCTTCCTCGTCAGAGCCATCTGCACAATCTCGGTACCCGTCGCACACCCAGGTGTCCATCACGCAGGTCCCACTGCTGCAGCGGTAGTAATTGGGCAGACACGTGGAGGGCCCAGGAGTCGAGAAGGGAAGAATATGTGAATCTGAGAAAAACACCAAGCACGGAAACCCAAAACATTAGAAGCAGCTTGATCTTAGACCAAATATGTCCCAAACCTAGTGCGGATGTCCCAGTTTTAGCTGTACCTGCTGAGGGAGGCCAGTGACTGGCACAGCTCTGAGCAGCGGCTAATCTAGAAATCATGTATAATGGGTTGTCAGAAGAGGCAATATTCTTTTCCCTTTTGGGGAGTAGATTTCCCTTACTATATTTGATTTCGGTTAATATTCAGATAAGTTTGCTTTTGCAGGGGCTGGTGAAAGAAACAGGTGGCTGAGGAGGCACAGGGTGGCTAAGAGAATTCCTACTGAGGCAAAGCATTGTGTTCTAGTTAATTCAACCGCAACTACTCCACGACCTGGTTCAGAGATGAGAATGCCAGAAAGGAAAGGGGCAAGTCTGCATTCCACATGAGTGCTCCTCAAATGCATTGTGGAGCACACAGGACCTGGGGGCTTATTAGCATGCAGATTCTGACTCTGTAGGTCTGGGGTGAGGTCAGAGATTCTACATTTCTAACAAGTTCCAAGGAGATGCAGATGCTACTGGTTGCAAACCATACTTTGAGTAGGAAGGCTCTAGACTTCTCACTCTGCCCTGCAAATACGGAATAAATAGCCTGAAAATAGGAGAAACCAACCACACTTATTTCAAAATGAGAAAGAGGAACAGAAAAAATTTGAGTCACTCCTCTCACAAAAATATGCCCCCCAAAACACGGAATCAGCCAGGCACATCCTGCATAGCTGGTGGAACTATTCTGGTGTGTCTTGGTTATGGGGCTAACCCAGGCCCCAGGGGCCTCTTACCTCCACAATCCTTCTCATCAGACCAGTCCCCACAGTCGTTCTCCCTGTCACATTTCCATCTGTTGGGGATGCAGTGGCCATTCTCACACCGAAACTGGAAGTAGCGGGAGCAGTTTGGGGCTTCTGTGGGGTTTTCTGCAGAGATCAACCACATCATCAGTTGCTTTCCCTGCATCAGTGTGAACACAGGGCTCCAACTCTAGGCATCCTCCTCCAGACCCAAGTTCCAGGGCAACCCACACTTCCCACCCATAAAGAGATAAGGCAGCTTCATGGACCCAATGGGGAACAAAAAATACACCTACAAACTAAACAAAACCCCATCTTCCCAGCCCCTAACCCATGTTCCTCTGATCTATACTACAATATCCTGAGAACAATCACCTGAATTTTAATTCTGACATTTTACCAAAGGAATAAAACAACTATTGATGGTAATCCAATCATGACAATAACTATTACATTGTGGCCTGTCACTTTTAGGGGGAGGTCACTCCATAATATTTACCATAATTCCTTATCTACCACCTTCCTTATACATAATGTGGTCTTCCCAACCACAGAAAGGAAAGGAGATCAAATAAACTTTTCCCTAGCACCTGCTGGGTGCCAGCTGCCCCCTTCAAGACTCAACTCGTATGAGTATTCAGGAACTGGCAGCAACTGCTGCTGAGTTACGGGAAGGCCAAGTCTGCAGTGGGGTTGCCGGTGAGTGTCCCTGTAACTGCAGGCATCACTGTTAACTAGAGGATTAGGATGTGAGGAGGCAGACTGGACATCTTACCGCAGTTGGCTTCATCAGAATAATCGCCGCAATCATCCATCCCGTCGCACTTCCAAATCAAACTGATGCACACTCCATTCTGACACTGGAAACCGAACTCATCACATACCTTGTGGAACTCAGGATCTTGGGCTACAGAGGGAACAAACATCCATGAAGTCCAGGAACTTCCATGCTGAGGGGTCGAAGCAGCAGTGGTGCCCAGAAGCAAGGGGGAACAGCAGTGAGTTCTGGCAAAGGACTGTCTGGCTAAACCATGCCTTGAAAGCAAAAGCCAAACCTAATCTAAACAGAGCACACACTTTGTTAATTAATCCATTCCATGAATCTTTACCGAGTCGTGTTATGAGCTGAGTTTATCCTCCCAAAAATCATGTGTTTAAGTCCCAACCTCTAGTCTCTCAGAAACAGGACTGTATTTAGAGATAAGGGCTTGAAAGAGGAAACGTTAGAATGAGGTGATCTGGGTGGCCCGAATCTAATAGGCCTGGTGTCCTTACAGAAGAGGAAATTTAGACACAGATGTGTACAGAGGAAAGACCGTGTGAAGAGCCAGGGAGAAGGCAGCCAGGCAGCCGTCTATGAGGCCAGGGAGAGAGGCCTCGGAGGAACCCAACCCTGCCGACACCTTGATCTTGGACTGCTAGCTTCCAGGCTTGCAAGAAATAAATTTCTGTTGTTTGAGCCATCTGGTCTGTGGTACTCTGCTACAGCAGTCCCAGGAAACAAATATAAGAGCTGCTCCAAGAAGGGCACTATTTTAGGAGAGGGCCATAGCAATGCACAAAACAAGCCCCTGCTCCTGTAAAGCTCAGGCAGCAAAATGAACAGACAGGTCCAAATTGGGGCAAGTTGTGACAGGATCATCGAAGCAGGGTAAGGGGCTACGGCACGCTGGGAGTGCCATCTGATACAGTACTGGCAAGAAAGGCCTCTCACTTTCAGCGACCCTTGAGCCAAGACCCTGGTCACTCGCCATCCTGCCCCTTATACATACACCCACAACTGAAAAGCAGGATTCCTTAAGCAACAAAAGAAAGTCTTTCTCAGAAAAGGCAAGCTTGGATGCTCAACCTAGACATGTAAGCTAAATAGAGGTGCAACTCCAGGGTGGTCAAACCCTCGACACTCAACCAAGACCTGTCAGTTATTAAATAGAGACACAACCCCAGGGTGGCCAAACCCCCATGCAAGTTCTTTAGTGACCGTGAGTCACCTCCCCTGCCTGCCCCAACTCACAGCATCCTGCAAACGCCGCATCCTCATCGGACCCGTCGCGGCACTGGATGATTCCGTCACAGACCATGGAGTGGAACAGGCACTGCTGGCGGTTCTTACACACAAAGTCCATGAAGTGCGTACAGAGGGGCTCTGTAAGGGATCCAGAGAAGGGAAGAGGCCATGAGCACTGCGGCTGGCTGGGCCCTCTAGCCCTGGGCAAGTGCACACGAGTACAGATGTGGCTTCAGGAAGCAACAGTAAAAGCCACAATTTATTGAGCACTTGTTTTCTGCCAAGCCTAGAGCTAAAGCATTTGACATAAAGTGCATCATTAAACCCTCAAGACAACATTAGGAGAGATTTTATTGTCGCTAATTCAAAATGAGAAAACAAGGGCAGTAGCATTAAGTATTTTGCCAAGAGTACACAGCTGATGAAGATGAAGCCAAAAGTGAAATCCAGAGCTGTCTGGCATCAAACCCCCAATCTCAAGCATGATTAATAGATACTGACTCTCTAATACGGGGGTAGGCAAATTTTTCTGTAAGGAACTAATATTATGGAATGCACTGTGTTCCCCCAAAATTTGTATGTTGAAGCCCTGATCCCCAATTTGACTGTATTTGGAGATAGGGCCTTTAAAAAGGTAATGGAGGTTAAATGAAACCATAAGAATGGGGCCTAAACTCAAAAGAATTCGTGTCCTTTGAGAAGAGAGAGACACCAGGAATGCCCACACAGAGAAAGGGCCATGTGAGGACACAGCAAGACCTTCGTACTTGAACTGCAACTGGCTCTCTCCAAGGTTTGCAGCCTGACAGCCTTTGGACTTGAACTATATAGCCTCAGTGTGTCCCTGGGTCTCCAGCCTGCTGGCTCACCTAGCAAATTTGGGACTTGCCAGCCTCCAAAATTGCATGATGGTTCCTTAAAGTAAATCTATATATATACATATGCATATCCTATTGGTCCTATTCCTCTGGAGAACCCCAACTAACCCCAACTAACACAACTAGAAAGCAACTATTGCAGGGTTTTCAGGTCATACAGACTCTGTCACAACTGCTCAAGTCCACCACTACAGCATGAGAGCAGCCATATACAATATGTAAACAAATAGTAGTTACTGTATGCAAATCAAACTTCATTTAATAGAGCAGGTTAGGGACTGGATTTTGCCCACAGGCTAGTTTGCCACTCCCTGCACTGATAACATTAGCTCTCAACCCGGACTGCACAGTAGAATCACCAGGAGCACCATAAATGTCCCAAGTCCCAGCCACACCTACGCTAATTAAATCAGAATCTCTGGGGGTAAGGTCCAGGCACCAGGTGGTTTTAAAGCTCCCCAGGTGATTCCAATATATAATCAAGGATGAGCACCAGTGACCCAAGGCAATCTTTCTGGGGCTAAAGAAAACTGAAGATAAAAAGGGTCATCTGGCCTAAAAATGCCCCCCCCCCGCCCCCCCCCCCACTCTACCCCCAGTGATACTCAGCAACACTAACAAAACCAATCAAGTAGAAATAAGTGGCCGATTCAAAACAACTGGTCAATTAATAGAACATATTTCAACTAAACAATAACTTTCACTGAAGTTCGATCTAATCCCACCATCGCCCCCAACCCTGCTTTCTTCCTTCCTGCTCTCCTTTAACCAAACCCTGTCTCTCTGCCACGATCAGCCTCCAGGAGTCCTAGCCAAGTACTCAGGGATCAACTCAGTTAAAAGCTAACCACAAGCAGGTACTGAGGAAATGAAAGGATTTAGTCCAATATACGCTCTTCACTCATAATCACTAGGCCTGAGTGCTTCCTGGGGGCAAGGAATGAACTCACCGCAGTGCTGTTCATCGGAGCCATCAGAGCAATCACGCAGACCATCACAATGTTTGCTGGATGGGATGCAAGTGCCGTTTGGGCAGCGGAATCCATTGCACTTCTTCTCTGAAATAGAATTCAACAACACAGAAGAATGACGAGGAGGAAACAGGCAGGCACTCACACACAGTGCTGGCGGGAGTACACACTGGTACCACCACTGGGGAGGGCAATTTGGCTGTAACTAGCAAAATGACAAATGTATACACACTTTGACCCAGTAATTCTACTTTTGTAGAAATGTATTCTACTTCACAACTGAAAAAATAATGTAAATAAAAGTTTACAACCTTGTACTTAATATAAGTACAAGGGTTGCATTACAACACTGTTTGTAACAGGTTGAAAACCGCCCACAAGTACAAGTGTTGCATTGCAAAACTGTGTAATAGATTGAAAACAGTCCATCAATAACAGACTGTTTAATAAATTACTGTACACTGGAACACAGACAGCTATAAAGAGATGCAAGAAGTGCTCTATAAAAATTATGCCCTAGATAAACAGTTCTGTGAAAAAAACAAGGTGCAAAACAATACGCAAAGTTAAACATTATGGGTATGAAATAGGACAATAATACAGAGTATACTTAAATTTGTTTATATATGCACAAAAATATTCTGAAAAAATATACAACTTGGTTTCCTATTAGGAAAAAGTGGGAACTGGGCAGGTGAGGAGATCAACCTACACCTGAGAGATTATATCTTTTTGTATCTTTTCTATTTTGAACATTTCCATTTTGATAAGTGTGTGTGTGTGTGTGTGTGTGTGTGTGTGTGTGTGTATATACATTTTTTTTTTTAAGGCAGAGTCTTGCTCTGTCACCCAACCTGGAGTGCAGCGGCGTGATCACAGTTCACTGCAGCCTCCACCTCCCGTGCTCAAGCAATCCTGCCACCTCAGCCTCCTGAGTAGCTGGGACCACAGGCGTGCGCCACTGTGCCTGGCTAATTTTTGTATTTTTGTAGAGATGGGGTCTTGCTATGTTGCCCAGGCTGATCTCAAATTCCTGGGCTCAAGCCATCCTCCCGCCTCAGCCTCCTAAAGTGCTGGGATTACAGGCGTGAGCCACCATACCTGATCTAAGTATATTTTTTAGAAGAAAAAGAAAAGCTTCAATGAATAGAAAAAGCACAATATGAATCTTGAGTATGAAATCCTAGTTTTATAAAGCTATTTAAATCACTCACCACCTTAATTCTGGAGGAATTCTAAAGCAAAGTTGTTTTGGAGAAAGTTTGCCTAGAAATGCTAAGAGCCTGAGGTTTCACAACAGTTCCAGGGGAAATTAAACTACAACTAAGGTATCTTGATCAGAATCTTTAGTACTAGGTCACCCTTTCTCCTGAGCAAAAAGTTATTGCCAGGCATTGGACTTGAAAATCAGTTCTGGCCAGGCGCAGTGGCTCGTGCCTATAATCGCAGCACTTTGGGAGGCCAAGGTGGGCAGATCACTTGAACCCAGGAGTTTGAGACCAGCCTGAGCCACATGGCGAAAACCTCATCTCTACAAAAAAATACAAAAATTAGCTGGGCGTGGTGGCCAACCCCTGTGGTCCCAGCTACTCAGGAGGCTGAAGTAGGAAGATGCCTTGCGCCCAGGAGGTCAAAGCTGCAGTGAGCCACAATCATACTACTATACTCCAGCCTGGGTGACAGAGTGAGACCCTATCTCAAAAAAAAAAAAGAAAATCACTTCTAATGAGGCAGTCATAGATAGCCTTTGCAAACTGAGCTCTGTGTAGAATAGTTCCTTGAGGATTAGGTATAAGTATGAAAATGTGTTTTAATCCTGTAAAAAGTAATCATTTCTGGGAAATTAGCCAAAGGATATCAAACAGAAACAGTAAACAAGCACCACTATTTGGAGAAATGGTTAATGTCACTAGGTAGAAAAAGTATTTTAAAAGAGGTATAAATCAAAACTACATGAGGCAAACACACATATTACATTAGTGGAAGCAACTAAAAAGATACAAATCTAATATCAAGGAGACTTGGGGAAACATGCAACGTTTTACTGGTAGAGACACATTTGATGTAATCCCTTGGAAACCCAATTTGGTAACAGAGAGACTCAAAAACTGGTCAGAACCTTTCACCTTACAACTCCATACTGAAGAACGCCTCTCAGAAAATATCTCAAAGAAAAATCAGGCCATTTCCAAAGACACGAATAGTGGTACTAGCATAACAGTATAAATCTAAAAACCTCAAACACCCAACCAGGAAGCAACCATGTAAACTAGGTTATGGTAGCATAAAGTGAATATGCATCCTCCATGAAAATGCTTACTACACAAAAACAGAGTTGCATAAACATCTTTACTTAAGGAGTAGAATGTATAACAACATGTAGACAACTAACATCCCCTGAAAACTTGGAATGTTTGGCAAAAGGATAGAGAACCTTAAACATATTTGGTTTCAAAAAACATTTTATATATTTTGTTTACGTGGCAGCATTTTATATAGTTTGTGTGTGGGGCAAACTGCTTGCCTGCAACTCTTAAGACTATATAATATAATCTGATACATCATATGGCAATATAACATAGAAAGTAGATGGGCTTATTTGGTTTCAGAGTGTAAATACAGGCATAGGAGAACAGCATTTCATCCCCTGGCTCTCTGTGGCCTCTCTTCCTGAACAGCAGACACTGGGGAGGCTCAGGGAGGGAGCTGGGGAATTTGCATTTACCACAGTTGACTGGATCCTCATCGGAACCATCCTGGCAGTCCGTATCCCCGTCACACGCCCACCGCTGGGGGATGCAGTGCCCGTTTCGGCACTGGAAGTTGGAGGCCTCACAGGTGTGATAGATGGCTGTAACAGAGAAGAGAGACACAGTCGCACACCCCTCATCTCCATCCCCCACCAACTGTCCAAGGGGGTGGGCTGAAAAGAGGTTTGCATGAGGTAGGAATAAGGTCTGAACTGTGGGAGCATCTGGGTTTCTCCTTGGCTGAGAATTGGGCACTTGGGCTGACCTTGGGCAGCTCCCTCGGTGGACTTGAGCCTATGGATTTATAAACATGACCCAGGCCATTGCCCAGGGACAGATGCACACGTTAAAAAATCACTTGCTCTTCACGACAACCTACAAGGTAAGGATTATTCCCCTTTCACAAATGAGAACAGGCTTAGAGAGAATAGGAAAATTAGAGATCATTAAGTAGTAACACCAAGGCAGTCCAAGGCCCAAGCCTGCACTTCTTCTGCTATACCCTGGTAGTTTGCCTTCTCACCTAAGTCCTCTTACTCATCCAGATGCTGAGAAATAAGGAGCGGCAGCCTGTGCTCAGGAGACGGAGTCCTGGACCTGGTGCAGCCACTGTGTGGTGATCTCAAATTCACCATCCTTACAGTGAAACCTAAGGGCCCTGCTAAGTTCTGGAAGGCCATACATTACAATTCTTTAAAAAAAAAATCCAATTTCAAGTGTGAAAAACCTCAGGCCAGAGGAATATAAAAGAGTCATCCAAAATCACAAAGAAAGCAGGCCTAAGAACTTGAAATTGTCTTTCTGTAGAGTTGAGAGGAACATCTACCAGCCAATAATATGTGGTGTCCACTATAATCACTAGAAGCAAAAAAGAAGCTAGTGAAAGAGAGTCACTGTTAAACATGAACAGCCTCCTCTGCACACATGGGCTGAGGCCACCTGGAAGTCATTTAGAACCACCTCAAAAACTCAGTCAAACACTAGTTCAAATGCGTAATATGTGCCTCCAACCCAACCAACACTCCTAACGGTCCTCTCCATCTGATTTCCTCTTCCTCCTCTGAAACAGAAAGCTGTTTGTGTCTGTTCATTGCTGAATGCAAGCCAGGACTGGCCTTGTTTACAACCAGCATAAGATAATAGAACCTAGATAGACGGACTCTCTGTTAGTTTAACTGTGTGGAGAGGATGACACCACAACGGAAAGAAACAAAACACACAGAAGTGGGTTGCTGAGAGCAAACTATAGTTTTCTATTCAACTGAGACAGTTGGCAGTAAGCTGCCCAAGGACTGGGAAAATTGGTTTATGATGTCCTCAGGAATTTTACTGCATTTGAGGCTATTTTTTGCAATGGTCAGAAATCCAAAGAACCTGATTTTTCAAACCACTTTAAAACAAGTGGTAGCTCATTATCTATGTCTTCCCATCTCTCCAAGGACCAAGGCTGTATTTGGCAGCATGTATATACAACTATAAGAAGTTTCAATATTTACAACCTTTGGCACTCAGAATCCATTAAACATCTTTAAAAACTATACTTATTTCTGATAAGAGGAATAAATGTATCATGCATGTTACATGAGTTTCTGCCCCAGTAACAGCCATCGCCTGGAATACTTTTGATTTATTCGTGTCACAAGTCTGACAGCCTTTCAAAACATCCCTCACCGACACCTTGCTCACATTCATAAAATATAAAGTTGCCTAAACCAATTGCCATACTAATCTAGTTATTATTCAGCCTCTGCATTTCATTTTTAATTGAAAACCATTTCAGAGTGCTAGTGAAGTTTCCAAATGACAATTCTGGGAGGCATGGCTGAGATCTCCAGATTCTATCACAGAAGCTGAGCTCAGAAAGAGTAATCAGTTTGCATTCAAGTGGCCAGGTATGGCTGGAATACATAACGCATTATCTTTTTCTAGATTTTTCTATCTTCTTAGTAACTTATGAGCTCTGATTTTGAGTGCCCGGTAAATACTGCATGCTTAATACATATTTTTTTTTTAATTACAAGGATGGAAGAGATGGACTTTAATCCAGACTGAAGAATTTAGGGAAGAAAAAGAATCCTCTGCATGGTAGGATTCATTGTAACTATAAGAATGGTGAAGTTCGTGTGGTAAACAATCGTGGAAATCTAACATCAGTTTCTAATATAGGTCAATATCCTACAACTTAATCTTTGACTCAGGCAGAACTTTCCTGATTCATCAAGACCTGCTGGAATGCCTGATTAAAAGCATTAACCAAACATGAGCAGAGTAGAATGGATGAAATAAGTAGTATAACAGGGAAAGTACTGCCTTATTTCTTACAAAGCGCTAGACTATAAAGAAACGCATGAGGCGTGGTAGCTCATACCTGTAATCCCAGCACTTTGGGAGGCCGAGGAGGGTGGATCACTTTGAGATCAGGAGTTAGAGACAAGCTTGGCCAACATGGTAAAAACTCATCTCTACTAAAAACACAAAACTAGCCAGGCCTGCTGGCACACATCTGTAGTCCCAGCTACTCGTGAGGCTGAGGCAGGAGAATTGCTTGAACCTGGGAGACAGAGGATGCAGTAAGCCAAGATCGCACCACTGTACTCTAGCCTGGGCGACAGAGACCCCGTCTCAAAAAAAAAAAAAAAAGTGTATGAGAAGGGGACCAGGTGCAGTAGCTCATACCTGTAATCCCAGCACTTTGAGAGGACAAGGTAAGAGGATCACTTGCACCCAGGAGTTCGAGACCAGCCTGGGCAATATGGCAAAACCCCATCTCTACAAAACATACAAAAATTAGCCAGGCATGATGGCACATGTCTGTAGCCCCAGCTACTCAAGAGGCTAAGGCGGGAAGATGGATTGAGCCCAGGAGGTCAAGGCTACAGTGAGCTGTCATCGCGCCACTACCCTCCAGCCTGGGAGACAAGACAAAACCCTGTCTCAAAAAAAAAAAAAAAAAAGTAAGTGCATGAGGAAAAAAATGACTATCATCACAATTTGAATGATTAATGACAGAGAAGAAAAAACATAAAGTATTAAAAAAAGAACACTGAAAAATAAAAGGCAGATTTGAAAAAGAACCAAACAGAAATTCTAGATACAAAACGTATACTCATGGAAATAAAAAAAACAGCTCCATGTATATGTGAAACAGCAGATTAGAGTTAGCTGAAAAGAGAATTGTTGAACTGGAAGATAAATCTAGAGAAGTCGCTCAGATTCTAGCACAGAGTCATAAAGAGACAGCAAATATAAAAACAGGAGGGAAGAGAACAACAGAATGAGGCAGTCCAACGAATGGCTTAGAGTAACTGCTGAAGACAAGACCAGAGAAAGTAGCCAACAGGTATAGTTGAAGAGTTAGTAGCTGTAACTTCCCAGAGTTGTCTTTCGAAAAATTCTCAGATCTTAAAACAAACAAAGTCTCAAGCAGGATAAGTAAAAATAATTCCACACCTAGGTAGGTAAAACTAAGAGCAATATAACCTAAAGGTAATTAGAAAGAAAAGAGTGTCTGTTATTATTTGAACAGACAACTAAGAGCAGAATTCAAATCAACACAAAAGAGGCCAGGAAGAAATGGAAGAATTCTATGAAAATACGGAAAATTACTAAAAGCCTAGAAACCCAGACCCATTTGAATTCAAGATTGAGGATTAAATATATGTCTATAATAACAAAACCTTGAAAGAGTTTGCCACTCATAGACTCCTGCTGCAAAACCCCTGAAGGATGTACATTGGTGGGAGGCATTAGCAACAAGACACAGAGGTAGTTGGTAATACCTGTGTGCCTATGCAGAAGTGTGGTTATTTAAAAAGAGTAACAGTGAAGTTTAGGATTTTTTAATATAAAACTAAAATACTAAATATTTAGTGTTTAAAATACTAGGTATTTTAGTACTGGAACTGTAGGCAGAGATTTGGATCAAATTCTAAAGTCCCCATATATCTAGGAGAGAGGAAAGATGTTAAGAATACAAATAAAATGTCTACAGGTAATTGTCCTAAAAAAACACACAGAAATCAGATGTACACGTTTAAAAACAATAGCGGTGGGTTGAGGTGAATAAAGAAACAGCCTCGTGGAAAGTAAAAGTGGCGAAAAGAAAAGCAAAGAGGACGCACAGCAGAGTGCGCATCCAAGCTGATGCCAACAGGAGGTCAGCTACCTTGACCTATTTCTTTTGGCACTGTACGCAGCTTAATTTAGTAGGTCTGAAAATGAGGTGTCATGCCACACATCACCATGAGCTCACATCTGACCTCCAACTATTTTGAGATGACAGAGAAGGTGGATCATCCTTGAAAGGTTTGGAAGAACAGCCCTTGGAACAAGGCTGCAGCTGAGCAGCAAGGACTCTTAAGTTTTCTCCAGTTTGCCTTGCCGGAAGAAAATCAGAGAAAAAACCAGGAGTTTATACAAGCTTGCCTATAGAAATGAAGTAATCAATTCATTCTGTAAGACCGGCACATGCTGCTGAAATGCAAATTTGAGTAAGGCAGTTGTGTTAACAAGATGTTCAATCATACTGCAATTTACAAACTGCAATGTCCAAGTGCACCCTTCTAATCTATTAACTAAGTATCCATCCAAACCCAAAGCTTCCAAACAGCATTCACGTGTTTCCTGTGCCAACGGCAGCTCCTTTATGGGCCTCGGTTCTTCCTCCTTCTGCAGACCATGCTTTAATATACAGAGAGAAGCATTTTCCTGCAGTCTTTTCAGAAGCAGAGGTGCAGACACAGAGGCTGCGCCAGAAAGAACATGGGTGGACTTTACAAGCGAACAGGATTTGGTAACACCACAGAATATCCCATGTGATGTATATGGCATTTGAAGAGATCTATTCACTCCCTTAAGGCCATATGAGGTCACCTCCAAACTAAAAGGAATGGAGGGAAGCAGTTGCATAAAATTACTCAATCCACAAAGGTTCTCTGAGCACATACTCTATTATGTGCTGGACACTGCAGAGAATACAAAAGAGTAAAAGAAGAGGTCATCTCTCTCCGTGGGGAAGCAAGTCTAAGCCAGAGCATAATGCACAGTTATTTATCCTTAGGTCTGAGATATAACAGATGTACCTTCTTTGTATTTCCTTTTACCAATTAGTAGGCGTGCTTTGAGCCGCCAGATGCCGGGCAGTGTAGGAAGTGCTGGGATACTCTGGGGGCAGAGGAGGTTAAGACATGAGATTTAAAAGTCCAATAATTCACAAGATTAATAGCTGGCTTCAGATAATTGAGAAGATGACTCAACAATGAATTACACAATGAAGTCTGAATTATCCGAGTGTAAAAACAGATCTGTCCTTACCATGAAATGTTTAAAGGAAACATCTTTATCTCCCTAGTCCAAAATCACTAGAGGGGTTCAAGACAGAACTGAATAACAGCTTCTCAAGGAGGCTGTAGAGCAAATTTACTCAATGAGTAATAAAATCTGGAACAAAAATTCCTTAATTTTTGTTTTTTGGACAAATTACAATGGGGTACAAAGTGATGATTATAAAATGGAATTTGTTTTCATTTCTCCACAAGCTTCTCAACTCCTTGCACTACCCACTGCCTATCACCCCCAGTCTGCCCTGCCCCATCATAATATATCTGGCCACCATTCATCCACTCATTCATAAAAATAATGTAATGAACATAAGCGAACCCAACAAAAGAATGAGAACACTACCCCTACCTTATAGCACCTAGCACATTCATGTTGTTTCCATCTTTACTTTTAATAAAATCTTACCCAAAACGGGTACAAACACAGTTTACATTTTCCTTGTCTGGGGAACCCCCTGATGCTCCATTTTAAAAAACATGAGCTAGTTCAGTGCTTACTCAAAGTATGGACCCCAGCCGAGGGGCTGGTCTGAAAACTGTTTAACACTGGTCCTGAATGAATAAGAAGCTTGAGCCAGAACATAAATCAACGATATCACTCAGAACACTGTTTAATCAGTTGAAAGCAGGGTGTTGATTTACATTCTGGCACAGGTTCCTTATCTCATCAAAGACCAGCTCTTTGAGAAGCATGAAACTCGCTGATTTCTAAGGTCCAAGCTAATTCTCAGAGCCTAGATTTTCCGATCGTTTAAAGCTATAATGTTAACCACTGCATGAACGGATGAGTGCTGTCAACTGAGTCCAGGAAGTACTGACCGGTACAGTTGGCTTCATCAGACCAGTCCCTGCAGTCGTTGTCCCCGTCACATACCCAGGAGGAGCGGATGCACATGCCGGAACTGCAGTTGTACTCGTCACTCCGGCACTGGTGCATTTCTGCAGGTGAGACCATAAACAGAGAGGTGAGGACAAAAGCTTGTTCAGAATTTTGTCTCTGGTGTCAAAGCTCTCATAAAGGATGGAGATGGACCCGTGATCACCAATGATCCACAGAGACCATGAACGAAGAGACTTTTACCAGGGACAAAAGGTCATTTAACAGCTTCCAGTCAGTGTGCTGCAAATGGGTTACAGGTGGGCTGAGATTCTGAGACCCTCAGACCCTTAGAGCTGCTTGCCTCTTGACAACAGCATCCTTGTCCATTCATCCCAGTGCTCTCCACATATATTATTTTCTATGCTTGCTATGATGGGAAGAAGGTTAGGAAGCAGTGATAGAGGAGGCCAGGAAGTAGAACTTTCAAGAAACAGAGGACTCCTACAGACACAGCCTGTGGTTTGAGAAAAGGAGTGCCGAGAGGTCTGCATGAGCTGATCACCGTGAGATGCTCAGTCAGAGAGAGTAAAATCAGTGCTGAGCTCCCAAAACGGAGGAAACATAACTCGGGACTTTCTGTGGGCAGAGCTCCAGGGACACGGGTGGATGCGCTGTCTCTAGAAGGGTGGGGGCCTGGTAAGAACCAACCAGCAGAGCTTGACCAAGAAGGGGAAGGAGGCTGCCCTGGCAATAGCCTTCAAAGCTCCTGGGGAGATCATGAAGACAGAATGCTATAGGCTGAGCTTATAAACAATAGCAATTTATTTCTCTCGGTTCTGGAGGCTAGGAAAATTCAAATGTTTATACTTCATATGTTGAAACTTCAAATTTGTATGTTGAAACTTAATCACCAATGTGATATTATTAAGAGATGGGACCCCTGTGAGGTAATTAAGTCATGGGGGCAGAGCCCTCATGAATAGGATTAGTGTCCTTAAGAAAGAGGTGGGAGGGAGCTGTTCACTCCTTCTGCCACGCTTGCGTACAGATAGAAGCATTTCCCTGCAGTCCTTCCAGAAGCAGAGGTGCCATCTGACGCTGCAGTGAAGGTACCATCTATGAGGAACAGGCCCTCACTAGACAATAAGTCTGCTGGCACCTCAGTCTTGGACCTCCCAGTCTCCAGTACTGTGAGAAACAAAATACTATTGTTTATAAATTACCTACACTAAGTATTTTGTTATCACAGCCCAAATAGACTGTGGCATAGAACTTTCACATGGAGTTTACAGAGCGTCAGAAAACAGGAGCAGCCAAGCGTGGGGCCCAAGGCAGCCGTCTCAGTCATTCTCGCCAAGAGGCTTGTTGATGGCAAAGCTAGTAAATCAGATATTTTTGAGGAAGAGTGTGGAAACTTACGAAGAGGACCTGCATCAGAGGAAGGGGCTAACCGGGACCCTGGGATGAATTCAGGACAAACTAGTAAGAATGAGCCATGAACAGAGGATCAGGGGGCTGAAACTGCTTCACAGTCAAACATGTACCCAGTACGTGAGCTCAATGATACCAGAAAGAGGGAACCACGTGAAGTTTCCTTCTTACTAGGGCAAAACTAGCTACACATTTCAACCTTCTAAGAGTGCTGGGAAGGAAATGGCAGGGATGAAGGGGAAATAGTTGCACATTCCAAGGACATGTTTTCAGGCACTTGAAGAAGGAAAACTGGGAATTTTTTAAAAACCTTCCAAGAGCCAGGCTAGGGGTATTTTCTGTGTGGAAATGGCCTAGGCTCTGCTCTGCTGGTTAACTTGCATTGAGATGATTTACAAGCTGCCCTTGCTCCCCTTATTTCAGCTGCTGTGAGTCAAACCACCTGCTCATAATCAAGCAGGCTGTGTCCATGTGCGTAAGCACAGCGTGGCTGGACCTGCCCCCCGTGGACAGGGAGAGAGGGCACAGTAGGGCCCCGCCAACTCATCACCACGTCTGGGTCAGCGTCTGACCTCCACTCTCACTTCCCTCTCATGCCTCAATCTGGCACACCATGCTGATTGCATAATGTCTCCTTCGGAGGTCAGCAACTATGAGTCTGGGACCAGGGACTGTTAACTAAGATGGGTCTCATGAAACTGACAAGGAGGTACTGTGCAACAGAAATAGTGGAGGATTAGAAAATGGGAGACATGGATTCCAGTTCCCCATTCTGACACAAACTAATTGTGTCACCTTGAATAAGCCCCCTGACCTCTACAGACCTCAGTCACTTTAGAAAGTAGAAATTAAAAGGATTGGACCAGAGAATCTCTATCATTCCTTGGAATTGTAACCCACTGTTTTTCTAAATATAAAAATGTCCATTCAGAAAACAGATGCTCACTCAATGCCTATACCATCTGCTAACTTCTAATAATAACAGAGTTGAATGAATTAAATTGGTTAAAAAAAAAAGAACAGTTCACAGAGGTGCAGATTTGTGTCTTCAGCAGGCTAATCTCACACCCACTGAGACATGTGGGCCAAGCCTGTAGAGCTGTTAATAACCCCCTGAATTCATTCAGAAATTTACTTCCTTACCATCACCTTTCATCCTTATAGCATCTCTCCAAGGCAAAGCAGGGTCCATTTCCCCATTTTTCAGACTAGAAAACAAAGGCTAATCTAAGAGTAAGTGACAGGAGCTGAGTCCAGGCTCCATCTTTTCTGACCATGAATCATGAGGATTCAGTTCTGCTGGAGACACTTGATCCAGAGTTAATGGGAATCTAGGGTCCCATCCAGAGTTAATGGGAATCTAGGGTCCCAGTTCGCAAGTGTCTCCAGCGAACTGAATCCTCGTGAAAAGCAGCAAACAAACTCTTTAAGAATGGACAGAGAAATGACTCAACCCCACCATGTGGATGGAGAAAGCCATTCAGCTAGAATATCATAAATCCTGAGACGGCTATCAGAAAACCAGTACATACCAGTACAGCCCTGTGAGGGAGCACAATGACCCCCCTCTCCAGAGCAGGGTTTCAGGATGTGATGTCCCCTTACCACAATGACTTTCATCACTGTTGTCTCCACAGTCATCCTCAAGGTCACATTTATAGGACAGTGGGATACAAGTCCCAGACTCCTGGCAACGAAACTGGGTGTCCAGGTCACAGATGGTGGTAGCTAAAATGGGATAGAAAGACAACATATTCCTTAGGTACAATTGATTTCCCACAAATGTAAACATCCTACTGGAAAACCAATTAAAAAATAGAAGAAAGCAGGTATTAATTGTAGCAACAGAAATTAAACCTAGACTTACAGAAGACATAAATTACATGAGAGCTTGAAATTTACAACCAAGAGAGATAAGGGCATATCTTTCTGTGGACAGCTTCCAGATCGGAACAGGACGGGGAAAAGTGAGAAACTGTCATCTGTTGGCGAGAGAGAGTGACAGGCTAGGTGACCTCCTAAGATCCCTTCAGACGCGAAAAGTGTCTTCCTAAATAAGTGACAGAAATACCTTTATCTATGAAACTACGATTAGAGAAGCTCAATTTCACACAAGAAGTTAGCACTTCATTGTACAGATGGTAAAGGCAGCATGGAGGTAGAATTCTACAGTAGGAACATAGGCTCTGTCTGCAGTCAGTCAAGACTGGGTACCAAATCGTGGCTCTACCTCTTCCTGGGGAAATTAATTTTAATCTCCCTACGGCTGTTTTCTCAACAGTAAAACTGGGTAAGATAATGTGTCCTAGTGCTTGAGATCACAGTCAGAGAGACTAGATTTGTTTTTCTGTTTTTTGAGATGGAGTCTCGCTCTGTTGCCCAGGCTGGAGTGCAGTGGCGCAATCTCGGCTCACTGCAACCTCCGCCTCCCAGGTTCAAGCGATTTCTCCAGCCTCAGCCTCCTGAGTAGCTGGGATTACAGGCACCCACCACCAGCCCCAGTTAATTTTTGTATTTTTAGTACAGATGGGGTTTTGCCATGTTGGCCAGGATGGTCTTGAACTCCTGGCCTCAAGTGATCTGCCTGCCTCAGCCTCCCAAAGTGCTAGGATTACAGGCATGAGCCACCACGCCCAGCCAGAAAGACTAGATTTGAATTGAGTCTGCAACCTACAACTTACTTAACCTGCCTTTACTTGGTAGCATTATTATGAAGATAAACCAGGGAACAAGTTTGGAACCAGAGCCTATTAAATAGGATGTAAATATAATGGGCTCTAAACAAATGTCACTTCTCTTCCTCATCATTCCTCATGTCCTTCTGGCATTAGAATGGATACAGAATTAGATTTTTCTTCCTCTCCTAAGTAGATATTTCCTGTGCTTAAGCACAATCCCTGGCACCCCGTGAAACACCCTCCAGGAAAGGCGAGGGGAAGGCAGGCTGCTCTCAGGAGAGTGAAAGGCTGACCCAGGAGGTAAAATGTGGCAGAACAGAATGCTGGCACGGGGGAGGGGTTGTCGTGCACGAAATGCCAAATAGCAATGCTGCCGTTAGACATCCTGGCAGCTCTTATTTGAGGCTCCATTTCTTCTCTGTAATTGAGCTCGTGGTGGGAGGCAGGGGATGAATGCAAAATGACAAGACTGCAGGGATTCGCGTCAAAACCCTGAGTGCCTGACAGTCACCCAGCTAGAGGAATCTGTGTAAGAGGGAGGGAAACCCACTGACAACACCCTCCTGCATCCCGGTGTCCCCCCTCCTCCACTGCTCCCTGGCAGCTGGCAGGGTGCCTCACTTAACTCCCCACATGGCAGTACTCAGTCACTGCGGTCCAGCTCCTGCAGCCCTGCTTAGAAACAGGGAACCTCTCTCCTCCACACGCAACCTCCTTGATGAGGGAGACACACATGCAGGCACAGATAAGCCCCTCTCTCTTGACTCCCAGTCTCTGAGTTTTAAATCCTTCTGGTTCCTCCTCTCCACGCCTCAGCTCCATCTGACATGTGTAGACCTGAGCCAGGTGAAACAGGGAGACGACGGAGCAGAAAGTAGGTCTCGGGGTCTCTGGAAAGTGAATCCCAGCTGACATTCACGCCAAGCTGGGAGGAGGGCAGGGCCAGCTCCATCCTTCATGCACAACTGTGCAGTCTGCAACAGAGCTCAGGGGCTGGGTGGGAGGAAGCCATTGGAGGCAGCAGGTGCCTCCCAAAAGATGCAGGTCTTCATTCCTCTCAAAACTCGGAGCCAATACAAGATTCAGCTTGTCCATTTAGTAGAAACCAAGCCCAAGGGCACAAGGAGGAATGCTCTGCCACCTGTGTCCCTCACTCTTGGATATGAGGTCATCTGGTTTGTATCTCCCTGCTTCCACTGTGCCTAATTATGTCTGGGCAATTTCCTTGTAACTTGTTAATTCTAAGAAGCATCTTCTATCCCACCCAGATATGTAATAAACTCCTTTCCATTATCTGCTTCAATGCTGTTAATAAGCATTAATGTTTTTAAAGAGCTTTGGCTATTCCCCCACAAATATCACACCTTCCTGCAACTCTGATAAAGGAGGCTTTATAGGCCTTATTTTTTGCAGAAAAGACACAGAGAGGCTAGTGCTTTCCCAAATCTGCCATTCAGCAAATAAGCTCTACTCCCTCGGTGTGAAAGGCACCCTCTGAATCCAAGGGAAAACGATTAAGGAAAGGCTTTGTAAATAACCCTCTATCAGCCAAAAGGGGGAGTCTATAGGATTGCAGGGCCCAGATGTGTTTAATGAGCTGGATATTTCACAAGTTGCTTTCTGGGTGAAGTGGCAGGGGAGCCGGGCACAGGCCCCACGGATGACTGGCTAAATGAGTATCTAGAGCTTCCCATTAATCTGTTCTTACAGTACAAATGGGTAAATGAGCCCCTGGGTTGCCAAAGGTAAAATATATAAAAGAGAAGCCTCTGACTTGGTTCCTGCTTCTGGTCTCTCTCCATCAAACGCATTCTGCCCACTACTTATCCTTCCAAAGATGAACTTTCATCACATGACATCAGTGGTTCCCAACTGCTTCTCCGATAAAGTCCACAAAGCCCTTGCTGTCCTGGGCGCTGCCCACTCATCTAACTTCACCTTGGCCCCTGTGCCCATGCCCATTCTCCATAACTCAAACCAGTTTCCTGGCCATGCCAGCTTCCCCACATGCTGCTCCCTTGCCTGTGAATTGATTCCCTCCACCTCTGCTTGGTTCACCCCAGACACTCTCCAGAGCTCTTTGCTAGGGCCTGCCCAAGTTTGCTTTGGGTGCCCATCCTACATGCATATGACACTTCCGCATCGCAGTGCCCGTCACTCTACTGTAACTGCCTATTTTTCTGACTCCTACTTCAGACTGTGAACTCCGTTTCTGCCTTGATCGGCAATATATATGCAGGCCCAGCACAGAGCCTGGAACACAGGGTGTATAGCAACTGCTTGTTGAGTGAGTGCATGACTGACAAAAGGGCAAATCATCTCCTTATAAGATAATGTCGAAGCTATTAAAAATTAAGTGAAGAAAAGATAGTGAAAATTCATGGTTAATAAACTATCTGTTATTTGTGGTTGTTTGGTTTTAACTTCTGCTAACCACAGTCTTATACTTTAGAAGTCAGATCTTAAAAATTATACAGCCTAAAGATGACACTTACATGGCATGTACACCAATGGCCCCACACTGTAGGCCAAGCTATGCATTACTAACCAATGAAAACAATCTCTCTTGAGCCTGGTAGGTAGCCAACATCAACCAACTGGAGTAAATACTCATTTCCCATCCCTAAAAAGGCTGAATATTGAATTTCCAAATCAAAGAATATCACCTGTTTACTCGCCCCAAGTCACCAGCTTTATTACAGAGCCACAGCCAAGATTAGAGCCCAGATTGCCAAATCAATTCAGTTTCAGCCATGTGACGTTTATTTATAAATCTCTTGTAACGAGTGGTACTTCTGGGGTGGTTAAAAAAATATTATGTATATAATATTAATCCTATATATCTAATATCTACCTGTGTATGGAAATATGTTTTCTCTGTCATCTAAGCCCCATCAACTTAGATGGGCATCACCAATCATGGGTGGCCCTCGCCCTAGACCTTAGGCCCTCAGCCTGGGAAGAGCCAACCAGGCTTCTGAGTAATGGTAAGTGCTTAACGTCCAATCCAGAAGACTCACGGCAGTTTCTCTCATCGCTCATGTCTCCACAGTCGTTGTCAAAGTCACACCACCAAATGCTGTTGATACAGTTCCCGTTGCTGCAGCGATACTGGTTGCGAAGACAGGTGTTCTCTACCCATCAGAGTGCGGCAGGGGAGGAAATGAAACCAATATTATTCTTACTGCTGGACCACAGGTCTTTCTCTTTTGAGTTTCCCTCCCTTTAGTAACTATCGGGGGAAATTCAGCCAGATATCGGGTGAAATTCACCCCCGATATTTCACATAGGTTCTTTTCTATTTTCCCTAAGTGTCGGCCGGTCTGAGAAATAAAGGGACAGCGTAAAAAAAGAGAGAAATTTTAAAGCTGGGTGTCTGGGGAGACATCACATGTCGGCAGGTTCCGTGATGCCCCCTGAGCCGTAAAACCACCAAGTTTTTATTAGTGATTTCAAAAGGGGAGGGAGTGTACGAATAAGGTGTGGGTCACAGAGATCATGTGCTTCACAAGGTAATAGAATATCACAAGGCAAATGGAGGCAGGGCAAGATCACAGGACCACAGGACGGGGCGAAATTAAAATTGCTAATGAAGTTTTGGGCACGCATTGTCACTGATAACATCTTATCAGGAGACAGAGTTTGAGAGCAGACAACCAGTCTGACCAAAATTTATTAGGCAGGAATTTCCTCATCCTAATAAGCCTAGGAGCACTACAGGAGACTGGGGTTTATTTCATCCCTACAGCTTCGACCATAAAAGATGGCCGCCCCTCGAAGCGGCCATTTTAGAAGCCTACCCTCAGGGACGCATTCTCTTTCTCAGGGATGTTCCTTGCTGGGAAAAAGAATTCAGCGATATTTCTCCCATTTCCTTTTGAAAGAAGAGAAATGTGGCTCTGTTCCGCCCGGCTCACCGGCAGTCAGAGTTTAAGGTTATCTGTCTTGTTCCCTGAACATTGCTGTTATCCTGTTCTTTTTTCAAGGTGCCCAGATTTCATATTGTTCAAACACACATGCTCTACAATTTGTGCAGTTAATGCAATCATCACAGGGTCCTGAGGCGACATACATCCTCCTCAGCTTACGAAGATGACGGGATTAAGAGATTAAAGTAAAGACAGGCATAGGAAATCACAAGGGTATTGATTGGGGAAGTGATAAGTGTCCGTGAAATCTTCACAATTTATGTTCAGAGACTGCAGTAAAGACAGGCATAAGAAATTATAAAAGTATTAATTTGGGGAACTAATAAATGTCCATAAAATCTTCACAATCCACGTTCTTCTGCCATGGCTTCAGCTGGTCCCTCCGTTCGGGGTCCCGGACTTCCCACAACAAGTAACATGATGGTAAAGGGGGAGGAGGAATGCCAAGCACACGTGTCTACAGGGAAGGAAATGTCCCATACTAGCCTCTTGCTTTCCTCTTTTAGTTAAAATCAAAAGAGAGGAGGAGGCTGGAAGAAATATTTAGAAGCAGATACAATGCTTTAAGAAGGATAACCACAATACCAGTTGAGTCTATTGGGTAGTGAATACAGTACATCAACATTATAAAATACTAATTACACACAGAACTCCTTAATGGACTGTGTCTACACAGAATTAAAACATACAGATTCAATATATCTATAGGTATGTTTTTATATACATAGTTATATATATCCATATATATTCTATCTATCAAGCAAATGAGTTATGAAGATTTTCTCAATACTCTGAGAAATTTTTCTGCCCCATGACTACTTTAAAGCAAGCAATTAAAATTCCTTACAGAAAAAAAATGTATAGTTTGGCAAACTGCATCAAGGACATGCGATGATTGGTCTCATATTTGGATAATCAAAGGCATTCTAATGGGAAATATGGAGTAGCTTTCTTCCCCTTCTCTTGGAATTTAGTGTTGATTCTATTTCTTTCCAAACAGTTTTAAGATTGTATCCATAGCCTGAAAGAAAGTCTCTTGTTTCTAAGAAAGAAAGGCTCATCTTTTTTCTGTTTATATTTCTTAAGGAAGATTGACTAAAAGGCTTGTATTGTGTGTTTCACTGCCTTGGACTTGGGCCGCTGTGAGAAGCAGGGTTAGGATTACAAAGCAAATAGAGTAGGCACAGTGGCTCATGCCTGTGATCCCAGCTCCTTGGGAGGCAGAGGAGGGAGGATCCCTTGAGCCCAGATGTTCAAGACCAGACTGGGCAACAAAGTGAGACCTCGTCCCTATAAAAGAAATTAGCTGGGCTCGTGCCTGTAGTCCTAGCTTCATGGGAAGCTGAGACAGGAGGATCCCTTGAGCCCAGGAGTTTGAGTTGAAGCTGCAGTGAGCCGTGAATGTGCCAGCCTGGGCAATACAGCAAGACCCTGTCTCTTTCTTGTCTCTTTAAAATATATATAAAAAAAAAGGCAAATAGAATCACAGATAAGGAAAAGCAGAAATTCTGGCCATCAATCCATGCACTTCATGGCAAGGTGCCCTTGCAGGGGTTCACCTCACTCACAGAAACGTGATGCTGGAGGCGGGGGAAGTGGTGACAGTAAAAATTACACAGGAAGGAAAAACTTTTTAAATTTCGGAGGAAAGAAATGTTAAATCTCTATATTCAAATTCAGAGGGGGAGTGGGTGTAAGGCTGCTCTTGCTGCTTGGTCATGGCATAAGGTCTAGACTCAAAGTGCTTTGCAAACATTGGTCTGAAAGTTCAGGACACACTGGGCTAGGCTACGGTGAGAGGATGGACAACCGTTAGGTGAGAGTAAACGCGGAAGGAGTCACACTGGTTATTTTTCCCAATCAGGTTGGTCCAACTTATGCAAAACAGGAGCAGGTAAGAAACCTGGATGTGAGGGATGGGTGAGGAGAGGAAGAAGCAAAAGAATAAAAAGGGAGACCCTGAAGAAAGCCTGTGCCATCTGACATGAAACCAAAAACCACAGCTACTACTTAGAAAGGTACAGCATAGGCCTGTTCTGAGTGAGGACTGAAGGGCCTCTTTGACCCTTACCAGGACTTAGAACCCAAACCAGTATTCTTATGAGTATCTGGTAGGTTTGATTTTTACCTTGGACTTTTTCCAATAACACGAAAAGGTTAGGAAACAGAGAGCTATCCCTCCCTCCCCTGGCGGGGAGCAGGAAACAAAGGAAGGAGGATGACAGGCAAAAAAGAAAAAGGGAAGTACCTTGTTTGACACAGGTATTGTTCTTGAGCTGATAGCCCTGAGGGCAGTCACACATCAGGTCCCCTGATGGAAGCACACTGCTGGACACATCCTCTGGACACCTGCAGCTTCTACTGTTGTTGGCCTTGGGCAGGCACAGCAGGCTGCATGGCCTGGGCACACAGGCATTGCTTCCTGGAGGGAAGACAAACAGCAGCAGGTAGGTTAATACACACCATGAGGGAGGTACTGAATACAAGAAGGAGACCCACTGCAACCTCCTCGTCTTACGGAAAGGACAGCGAGAAGCTCTCAAGGGTCAAGTGGCAAGCTTTGGGGCGCCTACTGTGCTGAAAACTTCTGCTCAGTATAACCAGTGACTTGCATCCTGTCTTCAGCCAGATCAGACTGCCCCAGAGCCAAGCCAGGCAGCAGGGTTCCTCCTGGGAATTTGTAATTGGGTCACTGAAAGACAAGAAAGCAACCAAGGAGCTGGAGCCAGGGAAAGGGTCACAGAGCATGGGTGTTGAAGTGGCACATGGCAAGCCAAAACCGTGTGGAAGTCAAAACTCTGGGTATGCAGATAAGCTCAGTCTGCAGACCGTCAGGAGACTAAAAGAGACTTAAGGAGGCCAGGCATGGCAGCACGCACCTGTAGCCCCAGCTACTCAGGAGGCTGAGGCAGGAGGATCACTTGAGCCTGGTAGCTCGAATCCAGCCTGGGCAATATAGCAAGATCCTATCCCTTAAAAAAAATTTTTTTTTTTAATTTAAAAAAGAACCAGAATGTCTTTGGACTTCTCAATTACAACACTAGTGGCTATAATATAGTTGAACATTGCCTTCAAAATTCCGAATAATTTTTTTTTTAAAAAGAAAGAGGCTTACAGAGAGAAGAGGCCTAATGAGAGGGAAAGAGAAAGAACAGCTCCAGTCCCCATGAGGCTCTCCTAGACTTTCATCTTTGGGCTCCTTTATTCATTCCATAAAACCATTCACTTGAGCTAGCTTGAGTGGGTTTCTGCTCCTTAGGGCCCCAAAGGCCTTAATTAGAACATACACCTGGTTAATGGTGGGCCCAGGACAAAAATCCAGGCCTCCCCTTCTCAATTCCTTTGTGCCAGAGTGCCCCTCAAGAGCTAAAGGAGGAGCCAACCACAGTACTCATCAGCCACTGCTGTGCAATGTGTTCAGGTAAGGACTAGTTCATGCTGATCTAGCCCACTCCTGCCAATCTTTTCTCTGGTTCAGCTTACTAAAGGCAGCACCGGAGAGAGTTCGTAAAATCCACCACTGCACTCTTGAGAAGGAGCCTTTGTGGATGAACGAGGATGGCAAAAGTGCCATCCTATCCCCTACATCGTTCCGGGGATGGCAGGTAAGAAGATGCATAAACCATTTTATAACAATCTGAAACATGATACAACTATGGGGTCACAGAAACTATGAAATCATGTTTTTTCTTTTGACTGCAATTATTAATCATGAAAATGGGAAAAATGAACATAAAAACTTAGATAAAACTCAATTGCTAATTCTTCATTCGTGCTATGTCATGGACAGAGATGCCCTCCCACACTTCAGCACCATATCCAAATCATCTGTTGCCACCCAGCCAAGCATTCATCTAAGCCATGCCTATCCTGGCCTACAGGTTAGACGAAGTTCATGAATGATAATCAGTGTCGATATGGATAATATACGCAGTAGCTTTGGGTGTGTGGGCACATCATTGGTTAATTTACATTACAAATAAAAATAAAAATCACAATGCTATGGCAACAACGTTATTATGATGCCAAGGAAAAGAGTAAGAGGTATTACCAAAGAGAAAACACACACATCCAGAGGAAGGGAGGTTCATATGATGAAACATTCCAAAAGATTCAGTAAATAGAGAGAAAACATACACCTCCAGAGGAAGGGAAGTCCACATGATGAAACAGTCCAAAAGGTTCAGTAAATAATCAATCATAACAGCTTAATTACCATAGCAGACTAACCAGCTGACTAGAGCAGAAGTCCCAGACATCCCTTCACTCTGATCCATTAGTGGGCACAGATGGCTCCTTTAGTTCAAAGGTACAGGCCACTGGCTACAAGAGGGAATGCAGAATTGACATAGAGCCACCACTCATGAGAAACAACTCAAACAAGGATGTGGGAACATGTGTTTTGTATTCAAAGAACAATATATCACTCAATGTTCCAAGATCCTGAACAATAATGGAATATGATGTTATTTTAAAATACTCTATTACCGGCTGGGTGCAGTGGCTCACATCTGTAATCCCAGCAGTTTGGGAGGCCGAGGTGGGAGGATCACTCGAGCCCAGGAGTTCGAGACCACCCTGAGCAACATAGTGAAGACCGCCTCCACAAAAAAAAAATAAGCAAAATTAGCCGGGTACACATCTGTGATCCCAGCCACTTCAGAGGCTGAAGTGGGAAGATTGCTTAAGCCCAGGAGACAGAGGCTGCAGTTAGCTGAGATGGCGCCACTGCACTCCAGCCTGGGTAACAGAGCCAGAGCCTGTCTCAAAAACAAACAAACAAACAAAACGAACAAATAAAAAAAACTACTCTATTACAGGATGATTTTTTTCACAGGGATCATGTCTGTAAAATCATTTCACTAACCTTTTCATATGCAGAGCAAATATTCCTATCCAAACAAGCAAGAAGAGCTAAGAGTAGAGAACTCAAAATGGGGTATCATATTTCAGGAGGCTGATCTAGGCAGAAATGTATGAAACTGTACTCTGAGGCAGTAACCAGGGGCAAACTGCAAAACAAGCTAACCAAGTCACTGATCCTAAGAGGTAGGCAGGGGCAGGAATGTCTAGGCTAGTCTGAAGCCAGAGAATGGAAAATGGGAGAGCTGCATCAGAGAGAAGCTGGAAGAAGATGGAAGGGTAATTCACCAACTCCTATGATGGCAGTTCTACCACAGCCACAGACCCTTTATACAGGATGACAATTGTCTTGAGTGGACCAGGCAATATGAAAACCGTTATCTCAATGTGAAGAGTGGACAATCATCTTCAAAGACATTCCCTTAGAAGATCAAACACATAGCCCCGTGATGTCTTCACTGGGCATGTTCAGAACATTTTCACATTTCCTGTTTGGAAAATTCCTCCAGGAATACTTTAGGAGCCAAAAATGTCATCATCTCAAGTATCTATACACTTGGCAATTATCAAAATCAAATCTACCTCAAATAATAAATATGTGCCCTCATTATAGATACTTAAAAGCACATACTTACTGCAGGCTCTAAAGGAGAATTCCAAAACTGCAAAAGAATTCCAAAGCTCCAAGAGCCATCGCAGGAGCAACTGAATACATCAACAATCTTGTAAAGTAACCTCTTTAAAGAAAAAACACACTTTACAAAGAATAAATTCCAGTTATACCATTTAAAAACCAGCTAGTGGCCAGACACAGTGGCTCACACCTGTAAATCCTAGCACTTTGGGAGGCCGGGGCGTGCAGATTGCCTGAGCTCAGGAGTTCAAGACCAGCCTGGGCAACATGGTGAAACCCAATCTCTACTAAAATACAAAAAATTAGCCAGGCATGGTGGCACATGCCTTTAGTCCCAGCTACTTAGGAGGCTGAGGCATGAGAATTGCTTGAACCCAGGAGGCAGAGGTTGCAGTGAGCCAAGATCACATCACTGCACTCCAGCCGGGGTAACAGAACGAGACTCTGTCTCCAAAAAACTAAACAAATAAAAAATAAAAACCAGCTAGCTATAAAGGACCAAATATTTCAAATTGATAAATGTTGCAACTGAACAACATTTTTATTATGAACCATCATCAATCAAAATCTAGAACAGTACTTCTGAACTGCTGTCATACTACCAGGGCACTGCTATTCTAGCAACACATGACAGAGGGAGCAGAGCCGGGTGGTTTTATCGAAGTTCAGGCTTTGAAGTCAACGGGCCACAGTGCAAATTCTTACCACTTACTAAAAGTGTGACCTACACAAGTTACTAAACCAGACTTTCATATTCTCACCTATAAAATGGAAATATTGATAGTACATATAGAAGTCTTTGGGAAGACGAAGTGAGGTTATACAAGCCCACAAAGCACATTACTGTGGTACTTATAACACAGCAACCCCTCAATACATGTAGTTACTATCAATTATTATTATTTAACACTTGGTTAATATAGTAGTCCCCTCTTATTCCAAAACCCCCAATTCCAAGACCCCTAGCTGACACCTGAAACTGCAGATAGGACCAAACCTATACTGTGCATGAATTTCTTTTTCTTTCTTTACAATTTCAGAGATAGAAGGTTCGTTCTTACAGCAGATCTTAGCAAACTCGGTGTAAGATTTTTTTTCCTCCCTTATTAAGTCTAGAACTTTCACCCTTTCCCTAAAGGAAGCACTTTACAACCTCCCTTTGGCATATCCAAATTACTGGAATCACTACTCTTGAGGTGTAGGGTCATCATGAAGTAAAATAAGGGTTCCTTGCGTACAAGAACTGCAGTACTTTGACACCCTGATAACCCAGCCGGCTCCTAAAGGGACTAATGAGCCGGCAGCATCAACAGCATGAGACGCTGGACAAAGGGAGGATTCACATCCCAGGTGGGACAGGGAGGAGACAGTACAAGATTTCATCACACTATTCAGAACAGCAAGCAATTTAAATCTTATACATTGTTTATTTCTGGAATCTTCCATATATATTTTTGGACAGTGGTTGACCGCAGGTAGCTGAAATCACAGAAAGCAAAATGGCAAATAAGCAGGAGACTACTGTAGAAAGTCCCGAATGTGTTAGGAGGAGACAACAAAAATAATAAAGATGGACAGGAGTCACATTCTTTCTTAGAGGAGTCACCTGTTTTAAAATAAGGAGAGTTGAAGGAATCTTGCTTCTCAGCTCCAGTGACTGAAATATTCAGGCCCTTGCTTGATGGAGGACATCCACCCCTACTGATCTGACTTGCTAGCTAGCAGAGTGGATTTTTAGCATTTCTCCAAGTGCTAGATCCAACACACACCGTGGATCTGTAATACAATGTCCAAAAAAGCAAGTGTCCTATCAGTGTCCAAAAAAAGCAAGCAGGTTAGAGCAAACAAGTTCAAGGCCAAGAGGTGCGGAGTGCTCATAGACAGTGCTGACAGCCAGACACCACTGCAAAAGCTTTGATTTGACCCAAACTGGGCTGCAGAGAAAGACAAAAACGTCTTTCTCCAGCCCTGTGTTTGGAGGCAGTAGGTCTCCTGGAAGTATCCTGCTCACAACCAAAGGACAGCAAGAGAAAATCCCAAAGGCAAACAGAAAGGAGCAGAGAGGCGACAACTGGCCATGGCCAAAGGGACAGTCACAGCCGCCCATGCACAGGTCCAGGTCTGTGTTCTACTCACCAACACAGATCTCCCCCAGCCTTTTTTTTTTTTTTTTTCGGTGACAGGGTCTCACTCTGTCACCCAGGATGGAGTGCAGCAGCACGACCTTGGCTAACTGCAGCCTCAACCTCCCGAGCTCAGGTGATGCTCCCACCTCCGCCTCCTGAGGAGCTGAGACTACAGGCATGTGCCACTATGCCCTGCTAATACATATCTCCCTTTTAAACCAGCCTGTCATCTATCCAGACCTCACTCTGGGCCCCAAAATGACTCTGGCTAACTTAAATGAAGATGACTCTTTGAGGCATGAAAGGGAAACTACACCTAAGGTGAGGATTGCAGACCTGTCTGACTGGCACCAAGACACCACGTTTGCATGTGCTGAGACCACAAACTCTCTCCTCCCGCACTGCTCCTCAGTCACAGGTGTGACTGCATGTCAGCTGTGCCCAAGTTCTTGGGATGAAGTGGACAGTCAAGACTGGGAAGTAAGTTGTGACCGGGTAGCCACTGGCTTCATCTGCACACAGTGTTTCAGAAGCTCCTGTGTGCAAATCAAACAAGCACATGCATACAAGCACTTGTAAAAATGAAGACCCACTCTTCTGGACTAAGTGGTAACATGGAGAAATGCTAAAAATCCACTTGGAGAAATACTAAAAATCCACTCTGCTAGCTAGCAAGTCAGATCAGTAGGGGTGGATGTCCTCCATTAAACAAAGGTCTGAAGATTTCAGTCACTGGAGCTGAGAAGCAAGATTCCTTCAACTCTCCTGATTCTAAAACAGGTGCCTCCTCTAAGAAAGAATGTGACTTCTCCATTTAGCGGCAGAATTGCAACAAAAGGCCAGCCCCTAAACTAGTGAGGATATTTTGGGAAAGCTAATTCATATCTGAGATTTAATTCCCTAATCTATAAACCATGGATCATAATACCAGCCTTCCCTACCTCACAGGTCAGTGGTGAAGACATAACAAATAATATCGTCTTACATTTGTAAGACACTTTATAGTTTTCCCAGGGTGTTCTCATGCTATCTTCACAATCCCAAGAGGATAACAATGATATCTATAACAGTATTATTTCCCCTGTCAATTTTCTCCTAGTATAGGGTCAGCCAAGAACCATAAAACAATATCAACATTCCAGTTAAGAACAGAAAACTTAGCAGTTTGTCAATAAAGGAGAATCAGCAAACCCAGGATGCCATTTAATCCTGCTGAGATAAAGAGGGAAATTCTTAAAGGGACTATTCTTCCTGGTAATCCTCTGATCTTTCTCCTCTAGAATCAATAGTATGGCTGGGAGATAAGCAAAATCAAAGAGCAGTCATGAAATGATAAAGGCTTTCCACTGAATAGTCTCAGACTCCAGGACTAGCAGGTCAAAGCCTCATAGCAGTTCTTGAAGCCTCACCCAGTAGATCTCTAAGACAGCTACTGTCTGCACCCACTGCAATTCTTCCCCTCCCTTTTCATCCCTTATTCTTTCAACAAATATGAATTGAGCACCTACAAAGTGCTAGACACTGGTAAAACTATCGGGGAATAAAAAAGACCATCTCTTTCTTCATGGGGTTTAGGGTTTCATGGTGGGAAAAGTTAATTAAAACAACACCTAACTACACAGTGCCATTCCAGCAGAGGTAGGTACGGTCAATGAGCAATAGGTCATCTGGGCAACCAGAGAACAAGCAAGAGGCCCTGTCAGGAAGCAACAACTATCTGAGCACCCAGCACAGAGTCTCTTCCTGCAAGCATGCCAAACAGGGATTAAGCACATGTTAGGACTCTCCCAGCTGCAACAGAAGCCGCGCCACCAATCAGTCAGGGGCCAAGGGCAGGAGGAGGGTGTAATTACCCACCAAGCACCAACACTCTAGGCAGGCAAAAGCATGCTGTCTTCCAGCTGTTTGTGTATCATTAGAAAAGAAATTAAGATGTCATTAGGAAGAAATTAAATAATGTGCATGTTGTCGTGACAACAAAGATGCAGGCTGCCAGCTCCTACTCTGAGCAGAGATTGGCCACACGCAGCCCCTTTCTTGAGATCAACTCTACAGAGACAAAAGAAGAGACTCTGGCTTACCAGTGTTCTTCCCCTTGTAGAAAATCTTCATGTCCATGAGCCCCGTGAGCTGGTTTGCCAGAATCTCCATCTGGGACCCACTGTATTTGGAAGCTCGGAATATGCTGAGCTGTGACCAGTCATCCCAGTAGATTTCATTCTAAAAAGAAAACCTTTGCCCATTAGTCCAGCTCTTTCGTTCTTTATTCTGGTTCTCTCTAAGGGTAAGAGTTCCCCCAGGCAGGAGACAACTAACATTTATTGGCTGAATGACTAGCCTGATCAAGATTCTACTTAAATGCAAAGGACAGCAATTTTATCCAAACCTCACCATATAACCCCACAGAAGAAACTGCCCAAAAGAAACTATCTGATAAGCATTCAAGTTTATGACACAAACCCAACCCCCTCAGTTTGAAATCTGTTTCCCAGAGTTGGGAAGAGCCATGTTGCTCTCCAGAGTCGAAAAAGAACTGCAAGGCACTATAGGTGGTGCAGAGCTCACCGGAAGTCATCAGAGAATAAAGTGAGCAAAGCGCACAAAAAATGAAGACACCACCCTGAAATGAGGCTACTGACACTGAGGGGCAAACTGGGAATGTTCATGGGAAGAGCCTTCACTTTTAACCTTTTGAAATGTGAACAGCAGGGGAGCCTGGACCCTTGGCGCCTCTGCCTGGCATCCCTCCATAGGCTGAAAATAAGTTATCTCAAATTTGGAAAAAAGGCAACCTTTAAGAAGTTAAACAGCTTCTCTGCAAAGCCCAGGGATGCAGGCTCCTGATCTCATATGCTCCTCACCCGCTCTAGCAGACTGTCCGGCAGCAACAAATGGACTCACCTTAAAGACAGCAATGGCATAGGGGTGCGGGAGGTTGTCCAGAATGACAGAGCGCTGCTGGCCACTGAACGTGATCCGCTCTATGCACTCCAGGTAGGCATCCGTCCAGTAAATCCACTGGTCGTCCACAGAGATGCCATTGGGCCACTTCACATCCTCAGACACCAGGTGATAGGCAGCAGAACCATCCATATTGCTCCGATAAATCCCAGGCTTCAGGTCTCCCCAGTCTGTCCAGAACATCACCCTAGCGAAAATGGGGACAGAACACATACCTCATCAATACTAGAGAAATGGGAGCTCAAATACTACTCCAGAAAAGGTCAGAAACTCCTTTCGAATGATCCGGCTGGTTATTTCAGCATTATTATAACAATATGTAATGACAACACCTGAAACTACTTAAATTCCTTCACCTGGAAATTCCTTTACTAGAATTTATCTATAGATAAAATCAAATTATGCAAAGATAATATACAAAGAAATGTATATGTATGTATATTAAACTAAATGTTAATCAGCAGAGGAAGTGACACATTATGGTACATATAATAGAATACTGTGAAACCTAAAAATCTATATATGCTCACACAGAACTATTTTCAATACATATTAAGTTTGTTTAAAAAGGTACAGAATAGTAACTACACTACAATCCTATTTGGCGTGCATGTGTGTGTATATGTGTGTGTTTTAAAGATAATACTTGTACATAAGTAAAAGCAATCATGAAAGATACACAAGACATTATTAACAATGATTACCACTAGGAAGTGTGAGGGTAAAGGGTTAAGAATGAAAAGGAAGAATGCAAATTTTTTTCATAAAGTGCTGTTCTCTCTAAATATTGTCAACCAAGTACATACATTACTCTTAGAATTTTCCTTGAAAAAAATTGTGCCAATTCTCTATCATAAATGCTACGAGAGAGGAAAAGCCAGAATGTCAAATCCAGAATTTCCCTCTTAATTATGTTTCCTTCAGTTAATGAGTTAATAAAAAGCACCTTTGCCTTCCCCAAGTGCACACTGATTGTACGTAAGAAAACCTACACATGCTGGGAAGGCAGGGGAAAGATGGAATGAATTAAATGTTTGTACCATGCATGAAACTCAAGAGAAAGTTCTCACAATATCCAAGCAGGCCTGTCTATGTCTACAGAAGCTCTCTTTTAACATCAACTTTTCTAGAGAAACAACCCACAGATGCAAGACATCTGGATGCCTAAAGAGACTCTGACACTGGCTAACAAAAAGCGAACGGAGTTACCTGACCACGATGACTAAGCTGTGGTCTCAAACTTCTCAGTTAATAGACCATTTCAACCACCATCATGAGAAACAGAGTTTTTGTCCCGCAGTCTGTGTTTCCATGAGAATCTATTAGTGTAGCATTGGACGCAAGACTGATTTCCTTTTGGGGCAACACTTACCCCTCTTGGGGCACGAGGACCAGAGCCCTGGGACGATCAAGCACAGAGGAATTGACGATTGTGAGTCGGAAGTCGCCATCTGGATTAGCTACCTGACAAAAACAGGGGGAAAAGAGGCTGAGATGGATCGGAGCTCCTTAAAGACCCCCATTGCCAAAGATGGCTACTCAGCTTCTGCTACAGACATGCCCCCTCCATGCCTGCCTATTTCCCTGACCTGACCCATCTGCGAAACCTGCCCCAACTTCTAGTCACAATGCGCTGTTCCTTCCTCTGACTCATGGGACAATTTTCAAGTGGTCTGAAAGAGGAGCTAGAACCATGTAAGCCCCAGTTTCCAGGGCATGATGATCTGGACAAAGCAGTATCAATAAGTAAATTACTCAAATAAGTAAATAAGCAAATGAGCATTTACTTATTTCACCATCCCGTGTCACTCCACGTTCCAAGGCAATCGATGACTCCACACTCCCATAAAACAAATTCTCAATGTCACAGCCTTGCAATGAAGAGTCCACAGGTGGGACTCATATTCTTGCTCCTTCCCGTCAGCCAGGCTGGTCATCTCTTGCTTCTCCAAGCCTGATGCGGACTCACTGCTGTCTGCTCTTGCCACATCCCATCCTGGGCCTACCTGCCCCACTGCTTAATCTAATCAAGGCATAACTCTCCTTCAAACCTCACTGCCAGGCCTGCCTACTTTCCTAACTCTTCTGACCCACCTGGACCAATAAGCATCAGTAGCTCTGCACCTTGGCTCATCTGACACCATTTTGCACCAACAGTATTTGAGTTGTGCAGTGGTCGCCCCACAGCCTGTGAAAAGGTGGGTGCTTGTGCATCACCTGCATTCTTTTAGCCCCTAGCCAAGTGCTGACCACACGCAATTAAAGAAAGGAGAGAAAGAGCAATAACATAACCACCGAGGCAGCATTCAGTAGATGCCAGTTCACTTCTATCAGCATCCCCAGGAGGTGGACAAAAGATCATCCTCTTCTCAGCCAGGGCTCAGCTAAGACATCAACCTCAAGTTGCCTGCTCTGTCTGCCTATTCTAATGTTGCCCCACTCTCCAAAAGCGCAATCACACTGCACTGCTTCAGAGTCTTTGCAGCATGTACCACCAACAGAACTGATTTATTATTTTGCTTCCTCCACTAAAATCTAAGCTCTACTGGAACAAGAACGTGTGTGTCCTGCCCACTGCTTTATCATCAGAACCTAAACCACATGTATCATGCAGAGAACCCCTGTCAAATGGTTGTGCGAATATATGAATCTCCATCTAACGCATGAAGCAACTGAAGTTTAGAAAGCATAAGCACCTTGCCCCATGTCGCTGAGCTAGTGGAGTCAAGCCTACATCTGGGTCTATCTCTCGAGTCTGTGTCTTTCGTCTTGCAACTCCTCTTAGCCCTCTGCATCTCCCTGCTTCTACTGCACTTCCCACTTCACCCACATGCCGTCTCTCCATGCAGAGTCAGTATAAAGAGGTGCTGAGGCAGTGAGCTGAGCACACTACATTCCCCCAGACAAAGATTTGGCAGTTTAGAGGTCACTCATCATCCTTGCCTTGGGTATATAAGGTGGGACAGGTTACTAGGTAGCTAAGTTGCAGAGAAATGGGGATTAATAACAGTGGCAATGATGATGATGATGATGATATTGTTGCTATCACTCTAATCGAATAAAATAATACTAGACGATTATTGTTATAGCATTATAATAATACCATGATATTAGGCTGATGCAAAAGTGATTGTAGTTTTTGCCATCATGTTTAATAAAAGTAGTAAAATAAAACAAAAATAATATATAAATAAAATAAGTAAGTACATATATAAATAAAATAAAAATATTACCATTTATTGTTATTAGCTAAGCTTCTGCTAGCCAAAAGATCAACTCACAGGTACTTACCCCCTTTTCTCTCCTCTCCAGAGGCTCAGCTGGTCCATTCTCTGGAAACTCGCAGTAAATTTCCTGAGTAATCTGACACACTGGCCCTTGCCTCTGTGTCAAATGTGGCTCAAAGCCCAGGTGCCCCGCCTGCTCCCTTAATTAAGAACAGCACGAAAATACACATACCTCAATCTTTTTGAAGCCTGCATCTACCCAGTAAAGCAGCTGGCTGAGGGGTTCAAAAGCCAAAGCTTCTACTGTCTCCAGGCCAGAATTGATGATCACCTCTTGCCCTGTGCTTCCATTCAAACAGAGGCGCTTAAGAGAGAAAAGTAATAATAAATGCTAGGAACTGTTCAAACGACCCCCTGCCAAGTCAGTCCCATGAAGGGTAACCCTTTATTCAACTGGCAGGACTGGCAAGGGATGAGATGTTTTACGTTAGTAAACTTTCCAGACACATGAAGCCAGGTTTTCATGAAAGCATTTCTAAAATATACTACATTTTTGTTTTTTAAAGCAGAATAAAGAGAATTTAATCATATATATTACTCTGCATTATCATTATGAACACTGGTTACTAAATTATGCTGTATGGCAATAATAAAGTCAGAGATTACTGAGATTGTATGAGTCTGTTTGCTTTTAAAATAAGTGAAACCAGACTGCTGTTACATTTCAGTTCTTGTGTCTGCTTTTATACTCTTTCTTCCCTGTGAGGCTCTTAGCCATCAAGTGCTATTGTTGGACAGCTCCATTCAGCATCACCGCCATCCCCCACCCCAAGCCCCTCAAATACCCAGGCACTGTGAAATTTCTGTTGGGTTGGAATCTAGATAAAAATTTGTTGGAATTGCTTTTCTAAAAGGATTAAGTAGACAATGAATAAAGATCAAAGAGCTCTCCTTTAAATGCATGGGTGTGAGCGTATGGCTATCCACCTGGCCTGTCCAGGGCTCTTTAATGCTTACTTCCTGGTTCTTACCTGTGTTCAGAACAGCTGAAGTGGATAATTATGTGAGCTATGGGTAAGTCAAGTGTTACTGTATCATGGCTTGGGAAGAAAGATGCTCAAGAGGCAGTTGGCACAATAGGGGGGCAACTAATCATCCTACATTACTAGTCCCAACACCTTCCCAGCAGGAAAAGCAAGACCTCACTTTCAAGCAGGTCTGTGGATTTAGGGCTTTCTTTATCCTTCCTATATGAACAGATGAAGACAGAGAAAGAAAAATACTAACACAGAAGACTGGAAACTTTCACCTGTCAGCCCTGAGATGAGTAACACTTACAAACTTCTAACTGCCCATTTCCATAGGCCATTCTGCATGCAGCTTATCAGGACAGGGCAGTCACGATGCACAGCTCCCACAGTCAGACCAAGCGCTGACTCACCTGGATGACGTCCAAGGCCAGGTCGGACCAATACAAACAGTTGTGCTCATAGTCAAAGTCCAGGGCCACTGCTGCCCGTAGCCCGGTGAGAGGCAACTGCTCGGTGGCTCCCGAGGCCAGGTCATAGCGGTAGATGGATTTCCTCACAGCATACAGAATGAACTCGTTCTCTTCTGCCAGACACACAAGACACGTGGGAGGTTGGACCCAGGGGATGCTGAAGAGGTCCTAGCACATCTGACCTATTTGTTTCTCATACACAAACCTCAAATTCATTGGCATGTGGTGTGGACCAAGTGAAGAGCACAGAAATCAAGACTCAGGAGGTGTGTAATGGAATCACATTTCTGCCTCAGGCAAGTTACTTAAACTCCAGTGAATCTGTTTCTTCATCTGCAAGTGTTTTACTTGTTATGTTTTTCTTTATTCTAAATCTCCCAATATGCATGCTTCAACAACCATACTTCTGGGCTAAGCCTGCCAGTCTTCAAGTCACACTTGCCAACCTAATTACACCAATCGCCCTGTTCTCCCTCCTCACGTGACTGTATCACCACAGCATCATCATCTTGTTGACGAGAGACCATTAGTCACTGAAGCTTTGTAACTAAGCTCTCTAATCAATTTGCTCACTTATTCATATTGTTCACAACACCATATGGCAATTCTATGAACCTCTTAGATCTCCAAAATAATACTAATAATGCATTTGTTCTTGGCTATTTACAAAATGTTCCACAACATAATCACCACAAAAATTCTGTTTCTACTCAACAAATATAAATTGTGTACATATTGTGTATAATGTGCTTACTACGTATCGGGTATTGTTTAAGACCCACAACAACTGCCTGATGGTAGAACTCTTGTTAACCAAATTTTACAAATGAGAAAACTGAGACCAGAGAGGTTAAGTAACTCACCCAAGGTCACACAACTAGCAAGTGGCAGAACCAAGATTGGAACCCAGGCACTCTGGATCCAGAGTCTATGCTTTAACCACTACACTGTGCTGCCTGTTATGATACAGACGCTACCGTGGATGATTTTTAAGATGTAGAAATGAAGGTCCTGAGTGCTGAAGATACTTACCTAATGTCAGACAACTGGAAATAGGAAGACCCAGTACACTGTCTTGTCCACTTAGGGAACGGCTTGGGAAACATCCAGATTCTTCCCCAGGAGTGGACACAAGCAGCACACCAGCATCTGTGTCTAAAGTGTGCATCTTGACAGTGTGTTGCATATGGGACCAAGATGCAAATCGGAATTCTTTTGCTGCATGCCTGGGTTAGCCATTCCTGCCCACTTCCTGATTCCATACACTCAGTGACTTAACATGTACCACTCACCTTCTTTATAAAAGCTGTAATATAGATAATGCATCAAAAAATAAATCTACCTACAATTTTTAATAAGGTAAGTTTTCCTTCTTTTCCTTTGGTTCCAGGTCACTTTAGAAGTATCTATGTTACCATCACATGGTAACCTACCTCCCCTTTTGGTTGTCAAGGAAACCTTCCCGCTGTCATTCCCAGGGAGGGGGCCAGCTAAGGTATAGGGACATGAAAGCTACATTTGCAGCAGCAAGGCTTTTGCCCCACATCTCTCTCCAGCATCTATAAACCTCATTCTGTCACTCTGGGCTTTTTTTTCCTCTAAGAAACTAATACCCATAAAGTAGAACCTGAATCCAGAAATACGTGTTTTAGGATTATGTTCAGAGCAGCATGCGGCATTCCAGCGCGCAATGCTTAACCTGGAAAAGGAATGGAATTCTTGGCTGGTCCTGGCCAAGGAATGTGTGTTTTCATAGTAATTGTAAAGGAAGAAAAATTCTTGCATTTAAAAAATCCTTCCAGATGCCCAGATTACCTCATCTTTGCAAAGATATTACGGCCCCCATTAGTCCTGTGAAAGCATCTTTTTCTTTCCTGGTATATCCCTGCCTCCTATTCCATGCCTTTTTTTTTCTCTCTTTTACATAGGAGGTGGCCCACAATGGAATGAGATTTCTCCACTTCGTTCCCTGTTCTATCTTCCAGTAGAAGAGAAAATAGCTTTCCTGCCAGTTTAGATGGCTTTAAACAAACTGTTTTGTCCCTTGCTGAATTATCTTCAGAAATATTTATTACAAAAGTAGGCACTCCAGCCCCTCAAGAGCAATCACTCAAACCCTACTAACCCACGCCCTCATCAATAACAGCTCTTGTGAGGGAAATATTTGAATATTATCTGCTCATTTGTTGGAATTTGCTGAAGTGGTGGTTCTTTTCAAGCCTCCATAGTGAGGTATGTTAATTACTCTGGTAATGATGAAAGATTAAATTAAGGGACTAACGAACTTAGCATGAAAAACACCAGGGCAAGCTGGCGGCAGTGAGCAAAAGAGAGGGCTGCCCTGCCCTGCCTGTGGAGACCACACACTTCTTTCATGATTCATTCGGTGCTTATGGCTGTCCACGTAAGACACCACCACCCACCACAGACGGAAGTTAACTCCAGCCATTTACCTTCACCAAGAGGTAATGGGCAGGAAAGAGGGCACAGAGGGAATAAAGAAGCTTTAAATGAATAAGAACTGGAAACAGAGTGAAGAAAAGCAACTAAGAGATTATTTTTCAAAGTATCATAATTTCATGTCTCTGTGGTAAAGACCCCATGTTACATCACCACTAAATCTAGCAGAAACGTGTTTTAGAACACACTATACCTTTATAGCATGTGAATCATTTCAGAGAAGTTTTTCTTAATTAGCATGCATAATGATTATCTAAAATAGTGAGAATGATATTTATTTGCCATTTGGGCAATGTCCAATGAAGAGCATGGGGCTTAGAGTCTGAATTTCAACTTTGTCACTTACTAGATGTGTGACCTTAAGCCATTTAACCTCCTCTGAACATGCTTCCTCGTGAAAAAGTAAAAAACAAAATTGATAATATCTGCTTCCCTGAGTTGTTAAAAGGGTTAAACTGGCAACACATAAAAAGTACACTGAAATCTATAAAATTCCATTAAAATTTTAGTTACAGTTAGTTTTATTATAAAATTAACATAGACTACTTAGCTACTTCCTAAGAAGTCACACACCTCTTTATACTCAACTTTGACAAACAGATTAAGGAACACACAAAAGCCTGTGGGGATCTTTCTACCCCAGTGGATGCTGAATAAATATTTTTCAATTAACAAAGGGATTTCCCTCAAAGAAACTGAGCTGACACAAAGTACTTTCCATTCCTAAAAACGGGTATGGCTATGTACAAGTTCAGTGTGGAAACCAACCTTAGGGAAAAGAGGAAGCCCTGTGATGCTTGTGACGGCCATTGTTTTTCTCCACTCAATTAAAGGAGCCACAAGCCCGGACTTGGGTGAGATCGTGATACTGCTTCAACCATGTCTCAAGAAATGAAAGGGAAGAAACCACCTCTCTTACCTGCCAGGGGACAGGGGACCAGCTCTCCTTCCAGTCGCGCTTCAACATCTCCTCCGCTACAAGTGTCCCCAGAAATCTTCCGGTAGCTGTCACCCCACCCCAAGAGCAAGAGGTCAGAAACATGGAAGAATAGCCACAAAGGCATCCCAGCTGGGAATACACTTACTACCCACGGCCAGTAGAGTCCATCCACTCATTTCTCTTTAGAACTAGAAAGAGGATGTTCGTAGTTCTGAGTCAGTTCTCCTTATAATTAGACTAGGCAGGCCCAGACAATTTAGGGCACTGTCCTGGCCAAGATTTTTAAATATATCTCTTGAATACATTCCTCTGAAGATGTTTCCCTGCTGAAGTTGATGACTTAAGATATTCCTAGAGTTTCAGGGATGCTTACAGACTTGCAATGTGGAGGTAGGAGAGTTTACAAATACCATAATTTATAATGTTGCCCAAACTACTTGCAGGCTGTTAACTTGGAATTCTAGAATTTCGAGTGTAGAGCAATCCAGACGGTCCTCTATGCTCTCTCGCTCCATGTGCGGACCGCTGAGAACCTGACAGGGCAACCTCTGTGATACATACCCTCTCGTTCTCCTGTAAGTAGAACCCACAGGGCAAGGCACAGGAGGGGAGTATGACTTTCCAGAAAATTCCGGATCTGGAACACAAACCTCTAATGACAAATCTTCACTCATCTTGAAACCGAAGTCACTAAAAAGGCAATTGGGCTTTGTTAAGGCCACGGTTTTATACATTTCAGGCATTCCTGTACCAATTCTGCTGACTTTACCTTACTACTTTTCACTTTTATTATAAGTTATTTAACATGTCCCTTTAAAGAATATTTACTTTTTATATAAAATACATCTTCAAAAGAAGATTTATATCAGAACCACAGTTGGAAAAACACAATCACATGCCATAAATAGACCAAAAAAAAAAAAAATCATCATGCCAAATCAAAACAGTATTAAATTTTAGCCAGATCCAGTTCCCAATTTAAGACTCTGGACCTGCCCTCTCTGTTAAAAGGGATTAGGCAAATGTTACAGTTACTAGCAACCAATGAGACGTTCTTTTTGACAGAATCTGAAGAAGTAAAAGAGGAATTTTAAAAGAATAACCTTTTTAAAAAATTATTTGGGGCCGGGCATGGTGGTTCACGCCTGTAATCCCAACACTTTGGGAGGCCAAGGCAGACATATTGTTTAAGCCCAGGAGCTCCAGACCAACATGGGCAACATGGTAAGACCCTGTCTCTACAAAAAAGAATAAAAAAAAATAGCCAGGTATGGTGCTGCACACCTGTGGTCCCAGCTACTTGGGAGGCTGAGGTGGGAGAATCATTTGAGCCCAGGAGGTCAAGGCTGTAGTGAGCCGTGATTGCGCCACTGCACTCCAGCCTGGGCAACAGAGCAAGCCCCTGTCTCAGAAAAAAAGAAAAAATTTGACTAGGGGTTCAATGTTATTTAAGAGTATATCCACATACTAGCTAAGTCACCCTGTACTTTGAGATACAGTAGTTAGGTTCATGAGACCTCTTGTGATCTGGAGTCACATCTGCCAAACCTCCCAGCTTGAAGGGCAGCATCCTGGAGTAGGAAGCAGGAGGCCTCAGTCGAAGACGATTCTAAAACGAGGTGACTGTACTATGAATGTTCTAAGGCCCTTCCAAACCTGTAAATTCTATAATTCAATGAATTACAGAATATATTCAAAGAATTATAGAACAGAACATATATTCCACGTTCATGTGCTCTACCAGAACACATTTATTTGCTCTATTCAATTCAACAAATATTTAGGTCCGGCATGGTAGCTCACGCCTGTAATCCCAGCATTTTGGGAGGCTGAGGCGGGTGGCTCACTTGAGGTCAGGAGTTCTAGACCAGCCTGGGCAACATGGCAAAACCCCGTCTCTACTAAAAATACAAAAATCAGTTGGGCATGGTGGCACGCACCTGTAATCCCAGCTACTCTGGAGGCTGAGGCAAGAGAATGGCTTGAACTTGGGAGGCAGAGGTTGCAGTGAGCCAAGATTGCACCACTGCACTCCAGCATGGGTGACAGAGTGAGACTCTGTCTCAGAAAAACAAAAAACAAAAAGAAAAACTCCAAATATTCATTAAACATTTCTGACACAAAAAGTATTAACAGATACACAGAGAGTGATTTGTGTGCATTATATCATAATCCACATTTAATAGTTTGTAAGAATTGTTCAAAAGGCAGCAGTTTTGTCACTGTATCAAATGTGCCTCTTTCATTACCTCAGTTCGTTATTACTGAACGGCCACTTTAAATCTTTTTAGGAACCAGATAAAGCATTAGCTAATTACTTATTTGCCTCCAATAGCAAAGCACTCTTCCTGGGCAGCTTTCTTTGACCATAGGTCATGACCTAGTGGACTCTGAGAGTACTTGGGAGGCCCAAGACTAGATTCTTCCCCTCCCAAAAAAGTGCAAAAGATTGCAAAAGGCCCCATCATACATTTAAAAGTCAATGTTGTCTCCTAAAACTTGTGTTTTAATTATATGTGTGTATGTATCTACACGTACATATGTAAGTACAGGGTCATAAGAGAAAATGTATTATTTACTAGGGGTTGCAGTCAAGAATGTGAAAGCTGTATGACTTGGCAATGTCGAGAAATATAAGAACATAAAAGAATCTACCATGGAAATCAGGAAACATGGGCCAATAGCTGGGCTTCCCAGTGTGGTCTAAAAGGACTATCAGAAATAACCTGGTGTTCAAACACAGTTGTCAACCAGTACCTGAACTAATGGAAAGATACTATAAGCTTGCTCATTCTCATCTCATTTCCTGACGTCCATCTTGGGACCATTTTCCTTCTCAGTGCCATAGTCCAATGCCATCAAACATCTCCAAGAGCCATATAGTTGGGCTGGCTGCCTTCCAGCAGCTACAGCAAGCAGAGAAACAATTGGGAGGGGTGGAGCGGGGAACAGCTGACATCCATATACCCCTTACCATTTCAGAGGGTCATCACCCCACGATCTCATTTGGCCTGCAACCCAACTCCACAAGGGGCAGAGCAGGTGGTTTTACTGGTCTACAATAAAAACACTCCACATACAAGCAGGGTGAGCATACAGCAGGTTCCAGCAAGGCAGATGGGGTGGGCATGGTAGACCAGCAGGTCCCAGGCCAGTTTACCCAGGAGGGCACACCAAGCTCCATTTCTTTTCTTGTGTGTGTGATTTTTTTTTTTTTTTTTTTTTTTTTTTTGGTGAGGGTTGGGGAAATGTAGGGCAAGAGAGAAAATTTTAATGTTATTTGTTTTTAAGCCTAAATGTCATGAAAAAAAAAAAAACCCCAAAGATTTGTTAGACTTTCTTACCTATTTTTTACTTAGTCTTAATTTTATTTTGAAGTACATATTGGGGATAGGAAGAGGGGAGAGAGAGGGCACTATGATCTTTTCAGGGATTAGGACCTCTCCAGTCTCAAGCTGGTCTGGGGAGGACTACCTGGAGCCAACAAAGCTCTCAGATTAGATTAGACTATAATGCAAAAGTGTGTAAGAAAGAGCAGAAGGCAAACAGCATGGAACTGAAGTCACCAAGAACATCAGCCAGCCCTGTGCTTTTGCTGTTAAAGAGTCTGTGTCGTTACCTTGGGAGCACACACCTTTCTAAGGAAATGACTGTCTTCTCTGTTCTAAGCCTTGCTGCTCAAAGGGCGAATGTGCAGATAAGCAGCATCCACATCTCTTGGGAGCTTGATGGAAACGCAGAGCCCCAGAACTCCTGAGGCAGAATCTGCATGTGACCAAGGCAGAATCTGCAAGTGATTCATATGCACCTTAAAGTTTCAGAAGCACTGGTTGAGAACAGAAGTGGCCAAACCTGGTTGGCCATTTTTGTAAATAGAGATTTACTGGATCACAGCCACGTTCATTCCTCTAGAGCTGCTTTCATTCACCCATGGGCACTGCCATGGGCAAAGTGAGGAGTTGTAACACAGATCATAGAAACCATATGGCCTACAAAGTCTAAAACATTTACTATATGACCATGTTCCAACCTCTGGTCTAGAATACATCAGAGGTTTCTGGCTTTAGTCAAGACAAGTACAGCTGCCCAAAGCAAAATCTAGTTCCTCTGTGCCTCAGCAACCACTGAAATATGAGTTGTGTATTTATATTAAATACCCATGGCTCTCTTGGTGCTCCTGACTAAACTACAATGATTTCATGCTGAATTACAGACTACAGTGACTGTCCAGGAGCTCTGAGATCCTCTGTACTCTGCCACTAGAATCCTCTTCCTACAGCTAAGCTCTGTTCTCATCATCAACTCTCCTCAAAAGCTCCTACAGCTAAGCTCTGTTCTCATCATCAACTCTCCTCAAAAGCCGCTGAAGGCCTCCTCCTAATTATAGAATAAGGTTCATCCCCTCTAAGGTCTTTCTCCCCTACTGTATTCTATCTTTTCAGCCTCATCTCCAATTGTCATCCCCATGTCATACACCCAACAAGGCATCCCAATTCAACTCCCAACCACACCCTGCTGCCTCTACACCTGACTGTTGCAGACACATGGTCTCAAAACACTGCTGTCTGCAAATATTGATGCTCCCTGAGAGCCCAGCTCAAACAGCACTTCTTCCAAAAATCTCCTCATTCTCCAACAGCAATCCACAGCCCTCTCCTTCCTTTCAATAGTCACAATAAAAGTACCAGTTCCTCCTCTGAGGCACTTGCTCTCTTCTATCTCCTGTGCCAATTAGCCATGCACAAATCACTTCTCCTACTTTTAGCATTCGCAGCAGTGCCTTGGATATTTTGCTTAAGGAATAATAAATGATGCAAACACACACACATATACACACACTAACATCCCCTCGTTTCAGATAAAGAAATAAATCCCCTCTAGAATAGGGTCCTAAGGAGAAGGATTAAAAACAATGAAACCTTCAGCATATTTTTGGGTTACCCTAATAGAAATAAATCCCAGAGCTATCTATTCCTGTAGAAATAGCTGCAGCTCTCCTAGACACCTCTACCGCATTACCTGGCTATAAGAACTAAAGAAAACAACTTACATGAAACATGCTTAGCACAGTTCCTGGCACATAAAAGATGCTTCACAAATACTTGTTTCCTTCTATTCCCTTCCTTTGCTCAGGGAAAGGGACCATGCCTAATCTCTTCCCCCAACACTGCTGAGTGAATAAAACACAACTCAGTCCCCAGCCATCAAAGAAGAACTGACCACTCATAGTCCTCCCGGGTGCAGGAGCAGTTGGACACGACCACCGGCCTGTCAAAGTCCTCTCCATTGAAGCATGTGGCATGGGGGGTCCGCCGTTTGAAAACAGTCTTGTGTCCCAGCAAACACTCATTCCCCCGCTCATCAGATGGTGACCACAGCTTGTAGTCATTCTCTGTGCAGGGAACTCCTAAAGAAAAAGGAACACAGCACGAAGCATTAGAGGCAGGCCCATGTAGGGTTTCCTGCTATGCCTCAAGGTGCCTGGCCTCAACCCCCACTTCCTGTCTATCTGTTGCCACCCCGCAAGCACACAGACCCTCCAATCAGCTTGTTTTGAAGCTGGGCAGCCCTATGCCAATGAAAAGGATACCTGAAACGCAGGCATCTGCCTGGAAAAGTTGGAAAGAAGCAAGCCACCTTTAGGCACTATCCAAATTTCCGAAACATTACAGAAGAGTCAGCAGTGCCCTTTAGAAATGAGTACTCAGAAGTGTTTCTCTCCTAGAGAACTAGGGAACAGCTGAATCCTTGATGAGCAATACCATTGGGGGTTAATGTTCCTGGCCTGCTTCCTCAGGCAGTGAGGGCACATCTGGTAGTGTGGCCCGAAGGCAATGGAGGGCTCGCTGGCCCTACTTGAAGGTACAGGATCTCCATGGAAAGAGGCTGGAAAATGCTAAGATACCTTGCACCATCACTCCATCTGCCACGTTCATCGAAATGTCTAAGTAGGGTGCTTTCTACAAGCATTCCAAAGTATGCCTATGTCTATGTTGGCACTTTGTGTCTCTTATATATGTGTCTTCAGTCAGATTAGATACTACCCGAAGCTGATACACAACCTTTGACTCAATGCCATGCAAATCAGTAAACTTATTAAACTCCTACAGACTGTTAGGCTATCAGGCTTTCCAGTAGGTACAATACAAATATGCACAGGGCAAGTTCTTATCTTTAAGGGCTTTATAATCTAGTCAATGGAAGGTGAAACACACCGAGTGACAGACACAAAGTTATGCATACACTTATGTTCTGGACATAGAGAAGAAGGGAGACGTCTTCTGGTTGGGATATCAGCCACAAATGTGTTGGATCCTGAGATATGAAAAGGATTTCGAGTAGGGGAGGCTGAACGGGTGGAAATGAGAAGAAACAGGGCACTCCGGGCAGCTAGAATCAGGTTAGCCAAGGCTGAGAGGTAGGAAAGGGTAAGATAAGATGGGGAAGCAGGGAGAGGATGCTGAAGAGTTTCACTTCTCCCTGCATACTTATGCATCCTGTATCTAGATTAGCAGATCACAACTAGATCCTAGATGGCTTTGAGAGGACCCTGTGTCGCTTGGCACACTGACTTACAGACAGTCAGGCACACTCACTGAATACGTCCAATTGGCACTGCTGATTTGGAAATATGTTTTTCATTCATGCATTTATCTACATATTCAGCAGACATATATTTAAACTTCTTATGTGCCAGGAACTGCATGAGGAAACTAAGATACAAAGAATAGCACCCAGTCTTACTAAGAAGAATTGAGCAGGCCTTCAATTACCTCCCTATGCTTTTTGCTAACTCTTATGGGCCCATCTCCCCCAATGAATGTCAGGCTCTTCTGAGTACACAGTATCTAAGCTGGTGCTTTGCACATAACAGGAAGTCCACGCATATCCATGTGAAAAGGTCCAAGGAGGCAGCAGCTTACCCAAGGCATCCGTGGCATTGACCTGGAGGATCAGCCAGCTGTGGACATTCTCTTTGTTCGAGCCAAAGATGGTGAAGACAGTGCTCTTCTCCCCAGGTTCTGTGAGGAGGCCATACACAAACACTGGCTTCTCAGAGAAGATGAATGTTTTCCAGGTCTCCCCTTCATTGGTACTGTATCTGCCCAAATGCAAGTAAGAGAATCCTTGCAGTGAAAGTCTCTAAGGCAAAGGCTTGGTTTCCATATAACATTCACCAGGAACAGGAACCAGGGCTCCTTGGAGAAATGGCTGATCCTGGGCTAAGGCAGGGAAAGTTTAAGGAAATGCTCAGAAATAAATGCAGTCATCTCAAAAGAACACAGGAACCAGCCTGATGGGGCTCCAACTGGCCGAATTTAGGAGAATTCAAACATAAAAAAGAAAAATGATGGTAACAGATTACACATTGAATGAAAATAGGACATGGGTCTCTAATGATACTAAAAGACAGAGGAGCAAAAGAGAAATTTTTTTCTTTTTTTTTTTCTTTTTTTTTGAGATGGAGTCTCACTCTGTCACCCAGGCTGGAGTGCAGTGGCATGATCTCGGCTCACTACAAGCTCTGCCTCCTGGGTTCACGCCATTCTCCTGCCTCAGCCTCCCGAGTAGCTGGGACTATAGGTGCCCGCCACCACACCCGGCTAATTTTTTTTTTTTTTGTATTTGTATTTGTAGTAAAGACGGGGTTTCACCATGTTAGCCAGGATGATCTCGACCTCCTGACCTCGTGATCCGCCTGCCTCGGCCTCCCAAAGTGCTGGGATTACAGTCATGAGCCACCGTGTCTGGCCCCCAATTTTTTTCTTATATTAGAATGGCACTTAATAAGGGTTGGACACAACAATATATATATTATAATATAATATAATATAATTACAGAAAAATTATCCCCACTGCAATAACTAAATCACACAAGGATCATCACTGGATGCTAAAACCATTCGGTGAAAGTGTTGGGGCCAGGATGTTCAGATGATCTGAACAGACAAATCATTCACTACAAATGGGGAAATAAAATTTTACAAAACATAATCTTACAATGAATGATCAGAGAGTCACAATCTTAACTAAACATCATCAATAGCAGGACAACTTGATATTAGGTGCCTCCTGAATAAAGCATTGAGAATAACACATCCTCTGTGTACTATTCTATACAATTGGACAAATCCAAAATGTGGGATATTCTACACGATAACTGCTCCAGATTCTTCAAAAAAAAATCAAGGCCACAAAAACCAAATAAATAAAGAAAAAAGGCAGATAATGTGTTATAGATTTTAAAAGACTAAAGGAGTATAAAAGCCAAATGCAATGACTAAACAAATTTGCAATGTGTAAATCCAATCCAGGATTTAGTTCAGGACTGGCTAAATCCCGGATTGAAGGGGAAAAGTGGCCATAAATAATTTGAGACAACTGAGAAAATATAGTCTATAAGTCATACCGAGTTCATGTTAATTTTCTTAGGTGTGAGAATGGCATTGTGATTATATAGGAAAATGCCCTTATTTATTGGAGATACACATTTAAGTAGCTGTGAGGGAGCATGATGTCTGCAACTTTCTTTAAAATGATTCAGCTAAAAAATAATGGATGGATACACAGGATAGATAAATAGACCAATGATAGAAGTAGAGCAAACCGGCAAATGCTAACAATTTGTGACTCTAGGTGAAGGTTTCATGGGTGTTCGTTATACGGTTTTTCCAACTTTCCCGTGGTCTTAGAAATTAAAAAGTAAAAAGTTGAAGGAAAGTATATACTGAGGAAAGTCTCCAAGACAGACTATAACAGAAGCAGGAAGCCAGCCCTTGAAAAACTAAGCAGCATTTGAGTAACTGCACTGATTTTACATTATCTTTGGTGTCGAAGAAGGAGAAGAGGGACGGAGAGGGAGGCAAGGAAGAAAATCTGCCCAACACTTGTTTTATCACCCAGTGAGCTGGTGAGACGCTTGACATGAGAAATCACTCAATTCAAGCCTTCTTTAGAATCACAGGGCTTCTGGGTCCTTCTTAAATCCAAATTATATGCAAAACTTTTTCTTTCACCTTTCTCATGTTTTTGAGATTTTAGTTTTACACCTTTGGGATTCTAATCCTTGACAGAAATCTTTTCGTGACATCATTCTATCCAAACACTTCATCTCATATTGAGATTATTAAAATCGATTTGGCTAGGCGTGGTGGCACATGCCTGTAATCCCAGCACTTTGGGAGGCCAAGGCAGAAGGATCTTTTGAGGCCAGGAGTTTGAGACCAGCCTGAGAAACATAATGAGAACCACATCTCTACAGAAAATTTTTTTAAAAAATTAGTCACGTGTGGTGGTGCCCCCTGTGGTCCCAGCTACTTCTCTGGAGGCTGAGGTGTGAGGATTGCTTGAGTCCAAGAGTGTGAGGCTGCAGTGTGCCATGACTGCACCACTGCAGTCCCACCTGGATGACAGAGCGAGACCCTGCCTTAAAAAAAAAAAAAAAAGATACTGCTACAAAAAGGCTAGGGGTTAAACCAACTGGTAGGGTTACAAGGCAGAATAATAAATGTCAATGGGAGACTAAGTAATCTCCCCCTACAAATCTCTCACAAGGGGAGAAATCTCACCTGGCAGATATGCTTTTGGTTTAAGAAAATTTTGAAACAGATATTTGGATAAATTAACTCATTCAGTCTCCTTCTTGTAACCAGTGTGAAGCTAAAGGTTTATATTACTTTTAAAGCAAACTGAACCAACAGAGTCAACCTATTATCCAGACATGATGGCAGCCATCTGCCCACTCAGTGGTAATGCTAAAGTCTATCTATGTGTACGTTGCCAAGTTAATTCTCTTTAAGAGCTCCTCGAACCCAACATAACCTCAGGAAATGAATCACCCCATTTCTTGAGAGTTCCCAGAGGACTCTGACAATAACTCATTAATGAAATAACAAGCAGGTACATGACCAAGCATAGCTTGTATCTGAAAATACACTGCTCATTTAGAAAATGGTGCTCTTCAGAATTTTGGGGAAAAGGCTCTTGTCTTATCAACAGCAACAGTTAAGAGAACACGCATTTTGGACTGAATTCTGACCCCCAAAGGAGAACTTGTATTGGTAAAAGTAAGTGACAAGAACCTTGTGAAGAAACAAAGTCATCTTTGCATTCTTTTTTTTTTTTTTGTATTTTTAGTAGAGATAGGATTTCACCTTGTTGGCCAGGCTGGTCTCAAACTCCTGACATCAAATGATCCACCCACCTCAGCCTCCCAGAGTGCTGGGATTACAGGCGTGAGCCACCGCGTCTGGCCCATCTTTGCATTCTTAAGTTATGAAAGAGGATATAGGGCACTAGCCTTTAGGAATGAAGAAATCAAACTGTTCAGATAAAAATATAGACATAATCCCAGGGCCAAAAACTCTCAAGAAGATGGGAAGGTCAGATAATATAATAATAAAACATAATATAACCACAGATACTCTAAAAGGAAGAAGTGTGGTAGATACCCAACTTAGGACTCTAGCAGGCAGCTACCCAGAAAAGTTCCTGATGAGTTCAGGTTTCTAAAGAACATATTCAAGATGGGAAAAAAGGTCATATAACCAAGAGCAACAAATTCAGTTACTGCTAGCTAATTCCAGCTGTAATTCTCATAGCCAGTAGTCTGTTGGAATAGTAGCAAGATAAGTTCAAAATGAATCAAGGTTTATGTTTCAAATTACCAAAATAATTGGCAGACTGGTGGGTCAGTGGATTGGTTATCTGGCAAGTTCTATAAAGAATTAGAAAGGAATAGGATCATTGCTCTGATGGCCAATAGAATAAATAATAGCAGACATAATCATATGTATCAATTTAAAAAAACAGAGCACTTGATACACATTCATCCATTCGTTCATTCATTCATTCATTTATGAAAACCATCACCCAGTTCTTCCTATCTTTACTAGAACTTTGAATTGAAAATACTTTATGTTTTCTGGCTGATTGGAAAGCTGAAAACAAAAGAAATAAAGACTTCGTTAGTAAAAAAAAAGAAAAAAATCTTTGAATAACAACATAGTAGTAAAGCTGGGTCTAAAAAAAATAGAAAAAAAATTCTATTTTGCTTTTATCTTTATCAAGGAAAATAATCTTCAAATTGGACAAGAAAAACCATTTAAGTTAAAGGAAAATCAGTACAAAATAAATTCTAAGGAACTGAAAGACTTAAAGATAGGATGATTATAGCATCCTTTTCAATAATCTCTAGGAGAATTATGAAGAACAAAGATCTCAAAAACTAGAATAGGGAAAATACTTTTATTTCCTTAATGAAGAAAAGGTGGTTTCAAGAATGGATTATGAAACAGTTTATTTGAGAGCACTCAGACGAAAAGGAGGTCAAGGCTAAGAACCCAAATGGTTTCACACACAAGTCACAACAGACTAACTCCATTTCCTTTCCTCGTGGTAATTCTTGATTTGAAAAACAGGACAATGACACAGAACATTCTTTTTTTCATGAAGATCTTTGTGGACCACGCAGTCAGATAAAATTCACTGATGGTAAAATAAGCACATCCCAAGAGTGCTGACGTATGGTTTGATCTCAACCCAAGATAAGACTTCTAGTTCTCACAGAGCTCAACACATCTGTCAATGATCTGGATAGGGATCTGGAAGGCGAATCTGCCAAATTTGCAAAGGGTAAAAGGCTAATTGTATAAATAATATAATAAATGCCGGGGCCAGGCACAGAGGCTCACGCCTGTAATCCCAGCACTTTGGGAGGCTGAGGCGGGCGGGTCACAAGGTCAAGAAATCGAGACCAGCCTGACCAACAAGGTGAAACCCCGCCTCTACTAAAAATATAAAAATTAGCTGGGCGTGGTGGTGCATGCCTGTAATCCCAGCTACTCGGGAGGCTGAGGCAGGAGAATCGCTTGAACCTGGGAGGCGGAGGTTGCAGTGAGCCAAGATGGCACCACTGTGCTCCAGCCTAAGCGACAGAGTGAGACTCTGTCTCAAAAAAATAAATAAATGCCAAAAATACAATTCAAACCAAAAAAAAATAAGCAAAAATAAAAATAAAGCTCCACATGTAGTTTCAAAAACCTGTTTGCTCAAATACAGGACGGGGAACATCCGTCCTGTTGATTGATTGATTGTATAATAAGATCCATAAGAAAGAAGGATCTCAGGTATTTTAGTTAAAGTGAACTCAGCCTACTGATACCAGTTAAAAGATTGATAAATCTCAAAATCATTATGCTGAGTAAAAGAAGCCAAATACAAAACATACAAACATGAAATTCTGGAATAGGCAGCTACAGTGATAAACATACCAGTGGTTGCCTGTAATTGGGGCAGGGGTTTGGGGGTGGAGAGCACTGACTGGAAAGGGGCACGTGAGTATTTTCTGGACTGATGGAAATACTCTACATCTTGACATGCACCCTTCAGAACTGATTAAATGGTGTAGTCAATATCTGAGCATCCTGTGGTATGCAAATGATACCTCCTCTCAAAAAAAAAAAAATAGGAGCCACCAGTTTGAGATGGCTGTTAAAAATGGAAACACTGTCAGAGGTTTTTATTAATAGATACAGAGTGTTCAGAATCATGAAGACAAAATCTCAACATCTTCTGCATGTTTCAGGCTATTGGGGCCAGATCCAGGTACCACATTTTAAGGCACTGACATCGTGAGGCAGACCTAAGGGAGAACCTAGAAGATAGAGATTGAGGATCTATAGAATATGAGGAAAGGAACCGAGGATATTCATCATGAAATGGCAGACACTCAGGAGAACATGACAGGGTCCTTAAATACTTGAAAGGCTTTCATGCAAAAGGAAGTATCTACTGTGCATCTCCAGGGAGCAGAACAAAGTCCACGAATAGAAGCTGGAGGGAGGAGAATCTGGGCTCTCCCTTACCAGAGAACTTTAATTCACAAATGAATTAGTGAACAAATGAACAGCAAACTGTCCCAAAGTAAAATGGAAGCACCTTTTGATATGGCAAATTCCCCATTAATAGAAATGTTCAAGTATAGAACAAAAGATTGTCTATCACAGATGGCACGGAGAAAATTCTTGCAAAGGGTGGCGGAAGGCTGCACCAGATATTGTAATATGTCCAGATTCCTGCTGGACATCGCCCCTTGGACCCACAACAGAGGCTTCAATTCAACCTGTCCATGTCTGCATTTAATATACAGCCCTGCAAGCCTACTCCTTTACCTCTGCCTTTCTATGAGCGGTATAATCACTTCTCCCATCATCCCAGGTGAATCAGAAACCATGCCCTGCAGACTTAGTCCTCAAACACACCCCAGCATCAGCTCTCACCTCCAGTCTCTCTCCACTGAATCCATCCTCTCCATTCTGCCAGATCCATCATTCTATAATGCAAGTCTAGCCATGTCATTCCCCTACTAAAATCCTTCAAAGGGACCCTATCACCTCAAAGCAAACTTTAATCTCTTTAGTAAGGCACAGGTGAGGTCCCCCAGGACCTGGCCTCTACATAGATACCTTCCTCCAGCCTCGTTTCTCACTACTTCCCACCTGGAAATTTGCATTCTATTAATACTCAAGAGCCGTGCACATTCCCCACTGATCATGCTTTGGCCCTTGCTCAAGGTCTCTCTAGACCTGGAAAAGCATTCCGACCTTGCTTTGTATCCTTTTAGGTTCAGCTGGGGTTTCCTCTCTCAGAAGTCCTCCTTTGTCCCCCAGATAGCATCACCTGGCCCTCATTCTGGCTCCCACCGCACCCAGCGCTCTCCATAATCTTATACCTCACTGTATTTCAGTGACTTGATTTTGCGAGTGTTTTCTACTGGATTGCCGTTCATCAGGAATAAGACCTCTTACTTTTCTGCCCCTGGCACCTCGAATCTTTCCTAGCACACAGAAAGGGCATTATTCATAAACGCTTGTTGAAGGAAGTTAAAGAAACTGCACTGCAACTCCGTTTCTCGGTTTCTTAACAGTTAAAAGGTGATAAAGACCAAGCTTGGTGGCTGACACCTGTAATCCCAACACTTAGGAAGGCAGGTGGATCACTTTGAACTCAGGAGTTCAAATGAGAACAACCTGGGCAACATGGCGAAACCTGTCTCTACCAAAAAAAAAAAAAGATATAAAAATTAGCCAGGCATGGTGGCTCCTGCCCGTGGTCCCAGCTACTGGGAGGCTGAGATGGGAGGACCGCTTGAGTCTGGGAAGAGGAGGTTGCAGTGAGCCGAGATCGCACCACTGAACTCCAGAAAAAAAAAAAAAAAAAAACACAGTGATAAGAACACCTGCTTCTCTATACCTCAAGGGGCAGAAAAACCACAGGGGTTAGGATAAAGTAGGGGTGGCTCTCCCGACAACTGTACCATTGAGAGGCGCTGCAAGCAAGTGAAGACATTAACCACTGCCTCCCACATTCTGGAACTGTGGGGCTGCTTCCAGAGCCCAGGTCCAGAAAAGACAGCTGCTCTGCTGCGTGGAGTCTTTTCAGGGGCTTTTCAGGATTTCCAGAGAGAAGCCCCTATGAAATTGGATGTCTTAGAAAAAAAAGATGCTTTGGGGCAAGTTCAAAATATTATTACTGACTACGAAAAATATCATCATGCTGACAAGCAAACCGCAGCGAAGAAACAGAAATTGATCTTCTCTTCCGTGATCAAGCTGACAAACGTGTTTGAATCTTCTTCGGTCAGGGTGCAAAAATGCAACAGCCCCTTCTCTGACGAAAAAGCCACTGCTCCTATGCCTCCCGTGAGCAGGTTCACAGGAGCAGCGGGCTGAATGAACGAATAAGTGGATCCCCAGTGCAGGTTCTTATTTACCCATTTCAGACATGTAGACACAAGAGCAAAACAAAGTGTTCCACTTCTTGCTCTCAATTTCAATTAACAATAACAAAGGTAACAGTCTCAGAGGAGACTCAAGGCAGAAGCTGAAACAAATAACAGTCAACTCCTAGATATCTGTGCTAATCAGGGAGAGAAAGACATGCATAACTTAAAAGAACATCGACCAAAAAAAAAAAAAACCCTAATGTTTACTTTGAGCAATGCTTCAATTGCTGTCCCCACTACAACCTATTTGAGTTACTAATGCTACTTTACTTGGCTTCCCTCCCTAAAGATGAGTAAAATCAGAGCAGAAAGCCCTCTTTCAAACAACCCCCTCCTCCCAGCCTCTCTCTCTGCATCTGGCTCAGAAACATCACAGAGCCACAGTGGGCACAGGCAGCTCCCGATCAGTGCCCCACTTGCCTTTGCATCCTTGGTATCCAGCACAGCATCCGCTTCATTGTAGATGTTCGACAGTTGTCTGTGTAATGGACCTGAAATGATTCCTAACAGAAATATGCTCAAGTTCCAGTGTGGGCATTAACTCCTGACTAATCTCTTATTCCCTCATGTGAAAACTAAGGAAAGTAGATTAGGTCATCTCTGGTGTCTCTTGGGTACTACCGGGTTGCACACATCCAGGGAGCCTCCACTCACATCTGTGCTCTAGGGGTTGTCATTGACATGGAGCACAGTGGCAGTGGTCCCCTTGGAGCTGTGCAATTGGCACACTAGCTCGGTCTCCTCTAGTTTTATAAATCAGTTAAAAAAAAAAAAACCATAAGCAATCTTGGATGATTAAGTATGCATGACCTATTTCAATCAAATATTTGCTAAGTGCCTGGTAACCTACATCGAGCAGAAATATTTACCTACAAAGACCTTACTAACGAGTTGCAGAATTCAGGCGCATCATGTAAAGGTAACTAACATAAGGAGTCAGAATATGATCAATGCCAAATGAATGGGACAGCCTATACATGCTACGAGTCATAAAGGAAAAGAGATCTCTGTGACTGGGGAGGCCAAACTTAGAAGGGGCCTGAGGCCCTAGCCCAGCAACAGATATCCAGTCTTGTCAGAAGCCACCTGTCCTTGTGCATGGGTGTCACAGTAAATCACCATTGTAGTCTGAGAATATCAACTAACTTGAATATTATTTCTTGCTTTTCAGAGCAGCAGGGGAAGAAGCAAAATACCTCTGTGAACAACACACTGAGTAAATGCCAGGTGGCTACACAGATTTAGGCCAAGCTCAGGTTGTTATGTGGGACACATGCACCTGTCAATAGGAGGCTTGTATGTATTTTCGTATTTTCAAATGCTTTATTTGAACTATTCAAACAGACACCTCCAAATGAAACCTATACAAATAGAGGAATGCTACAGTGACCATAATCCCCCAAAGTCTACAACCCCCAAGTCATTTCAAAATGTCTGGGGAAGGCTTTATGATTTTCTGGCAGCAAGTTTATTTTCCTGATCATGTTTTGCTCCAGCTCGTGCAGAATGACGCTGCGTTCCCTGAGCACATATGCACCGACAGATGGTGTAAGAGGACTAGAATCACACTAACTCCTTCAGAGGAGCCAGTTTGGAATGCAAATTTAATTTTCAGAGAAGTTAAACAAGGCAAATCGAGAACTGACTCTGAAATCTGAAAGCCATACAAAGAATGAAATGTATTCCTAGGAAGCCAAACTATGTCCCCTACGTGCGTATTACACACATAGCAGTATACCAAACACTACAATTGTTTCGTCGCCCACCTTTCAACTACAGGGTGGCAGGCATCCTATTCATCTACAGATACACAGCATCTGGCACAATCGGTGCTTGGTGAACATGTGAAATGAAAATTAAATTAATGGGTATATAAATGATAGCACAAATGTGGGAAGTACTGTGCTCTGTGATGGTCGTTGTCTGAGCAAACACCAATCTGAATATGAATACAGAGTGTTGCACACAAACAGGACCTCTTCGGAGTATCACCTCTAAAGAAATAGCTAACCAGTGCTACACAGAACAGAGAACAGCCAGGTGGAATGCCAAACACCAGTACTTTGCTTCTCTCTCCTTCTCTGAGGCCAGGCTGCTCAGCACATGTCAAATTAACCACAGGGAAAAAAAAACAGCTGCTAAGATCTCTTTTTCCAAACCACCCACCTCTCACTTACTGCTGGCCCCGTTTCTAAAAGGAGCAAAGAAAAAGAAAGCTTTGTCCTTGCAATAAACAAGAGAGTTACAGAAGCCCTCTCCAGATCCTTCACCAATCCATCTAATGGGTTCAGCTCAAAAACAGGGAGAAGTGTGGTCCAGCATGAACTTGACCTAACATGAACCATTCAGAAACGAGCCAAAGGTAATCAGAGGACTGGTTCTGATAAAATCAGAACATAAGGGTGTAGAGGTTACAAACTCTTGACAGTTTTGCTTTTCAGAACAATATATTGCAAAGAATGTAGGACGCAATCGAAAAACCCAAGTGCTAATCCTGTCTCTGTCACTAACAAAGGGAATGACCCTGGGCAAGTTACTTTGCCTTGCTGAGCCTGTTTTCTCATCTGTGAAATGATGCAGTTAACCCTAAACACCCCTTCCAGCTCCATGAGACCCCCCACCAACCTAACGCACCAAAAGTCAATGGCTATCAAGTTGTATGCATTCTGTAATTGTTACTGATGTATTATTATTATTATTATTGCTATTTATTATTAGTCTTTCTATGTAATAAAGACACAAAGCAAAGAAGGACAAATTAAAGAGCCTCCACTTAATTATTTGGCCATTATTATTAATTGCCCTCTTGCTCACAATCTCCCTTTGTGATAGAAAGGACAGGTTCTTATATTCCCATTTGGGAGATAAAGAGTTTAAATCGGGGTGGGCACAGTGGCTCACACCTGTAATCCAAGCATTTTGGGAGGCCGAAGCAGGTGGATCACCTGAGGTCAGGGGTTCGAGACTAGCCTGATCAACATGGTAAAACCGTGTCTCTACTAAAATTACAAAAATTAGCCGGACGTGGTGGCAGGTGCCTGTAATCCCAGACTCAGGAGGCTGAGGCAGGAGAATCGCTTCAACCCAGGAGGTGGAGGTTGCAGTGAGCTGAGATCGCACCATTGTATTCCTGCCTGGGGGAGAGAGCAAGACTCCATCTCAAAAAAAAAAAAAAAAGTTTAACTCATATCCAGAGATCACAAATTGTGCTGTCAACAACATAGTGCTATAGAGAGATAATCCAATTATAATCACAGACGTAAATTTCTGGGAGAAAGTTTGATGTTAAAAGGCCTCATCAGAGACACTTACTTTAGCTCGTTGGTTTCCATGCCCTGGGCAATGGCCGTGATGATTCCGCCGTGGTCTCCCCATGTGTAGTAGTGAGGTCCAGGAAGTGCCTGAAGAGGAAAAATCCATGGTGACACCACTGCTGTGGAGGTAATTGTGCAGAAACCATGTACACATGCCCACAGGCATGCACACACGTGCACATAGACATAACAGCAATGACAACCACTTGAAAACAATTTTTCCGTTTACAGAAGACATTGACATCCATTATCTCATCTGTTCCACACAATCCTAGGGACAGGTGGAGCAAGTTCTAGTATCTCAATTTTTTTCCCAAATGAAGAAACACGGGCTTAATATTAAAATGGTAGACTGTGAACAGCAGAGGTAGGACTCAAATCCAAATCTATGACTCCCACCAACCCTTGATTAAAAATTAAGTAACTGGGGTTTCAGTTCTACTATGACAGTATTAGCCCTCTATAGCCCATCCTTCCTGCTAATTACAGCTGAAAACTCTGGACAAAAAACAACTACCAGTGGATGCTGAAAAGTAAACGAAAGCAAGCCGCTTGTGGAGATTTAAAACCTAGAGAAGCTACACACACAAGTCATGAATATCCTGGTAAAGCTTTGCCCGAAGGAAAAGTCCCAGTCATGGGGTGCACCTCAGTCTCAGTCACAGCTAAAACTGCAATAGATATTATTTCCCCCAAAGGAACCAGAGAAAGGAGCCCCTATAGGGTAGGTAAAGTGTGGATGGAATCCCATAGCAGAGAGTGTCAAAAAAGTAAATCCCCTAATTTTGTATATGAACTTACGCAAGTCGCAGCCTAACCCCTGAAGTGTACGTGCATGAAACAGACACAAACCAGTGTAACAAAGGCTTAGCATACTGAACTGAGAGTTAAACTACCACCTACAGAAAGCAAGACAGAACTCAGGGTCAGAACCTAAACAGGCTGATTACATGCTGAGACAAAAATATCAATATCCTCCAGAAGGCTTAATTTCATGAATTTCATTCATATGTGCAGAATACAAACCAAAATTACTTAACATACAGCATACAAACATATCCATAAGATGTGTCCAATTCTCAAAGGAAAAGATAGTCAAAAGGTGCCAATCCCAAGTGACCCATATATTGGAATATTTTTTTAATTTTTTATTTTTTGAGACAAATTCTCACTCTGTTGCCCAGGCTGGAGTGCAGTGGTGCAATCTCAGCTCACTGCAACCTCTGCCTCCTGGGTTCAAGTGATTCTCCTGCTTCAACCTCCCAAGTAGCTGGGATTACAGGCATGCACCACCACGCCCAGCTCATTTTTATAATTTTAGTACAGACAGGGTTTCACCATGTTGGTCAGGCTGGTCTCGAGCTCCTGACCTCAAGTGCTTCCACCTGCCTCGGCCTCCCAAAGTGCTGGGATTATAGGCATGAGCCACCATACCTGGCTGGAATTTTAAAATAGCTATTATAACCATGTCCCATGAGGGAAAGAAAAATACACGTGAAATGAATGAGAGAAAAGAATTCTCCCAGAGAAGTGGAAACAATTTTTAAAAAGAAACCAAACAAATTTTATAACAGAAAAATATAATGTCCGAAATAAGAAATTTACTGATGGGCTCAACATCAGAAAAGCAATGACAAAGGAATTAGTGAACTTCAAAATAAATATAGATCTGTAGAAATTACAGATCTATCTGTGTGTTCTAGAGAACATACAGGGGAAAAAGGATTTCAAAGAAAGAAAGATTGCCAAGGACACAAGGAACAATAACAGTAGGTCTAATATGTAACTGGAGTCCGAGAAGAACAGGAGAAAGGGATGGGAGCAGAAAAAAAATATTTGAAGAAATAATGGCTGAAAATTTCCCAAATTTGTTGAAAGATATAAATATAGATTCAAAATCAGCATCTACATAGAGAATAAACTCAAAGAAAAGCCCTCCTAGACACATCATACCAAAACTGCTGAAAACCAATGAAAAAAAAATCTCCAAAGCATCTAGAGAAAAATGGCATGTTACACACAGGAGAATGATAGCTAAAGTGAAGAGAGGTTTCTCATCAGAACCCACGGAAACAAGAAAACAGTAGACATCTTTAAAGTACTGGAAGAAAATTACTGTCAACCCAGAATTCTCTATCCAATAAACATATCCTTCAGGAATGAAGGTAAATAAAACAGAAATTTCAAAAGAGGGAAAAACAAGAGAATTCACAGCCAACAGATCTCGCTACAGGAAATGCTATAGGAATTTCTTTAGGCTATAGGGAAATTTCCCATGGGTAAACAGAGATTTTTCCAGAACGAAGAGCAAGCAAGAGAAATGGTAAATATCTGGGTAAATATTTAAGTTCTTTGAAATTCATATGATAATTTGAAGCAAAAACAAACACTGCTTTGTGGGTTTTGTAATGTGTGTTGATGTGATAAATATGAAAATAACATATAGGTGGGGGAGGAGAAAAGGGACTTGTATGGTTGAAAGGGTTCTAAATTTTACGTTAAGTGCAATTATCAACTCAAAGAAGACTATAAAAGATTAGATATGTATGTTGTAATCCTTAGAGAAGTCACTAGAAATACACATAGATAAGCCCCCCAAAAAATCTAAATAAAAGTAGAATACTTAATGTATCTAGATAATACAAAAGGAGAGAGGACAGAAGGAACAGAGGAATAATAAATAGGAGAAATGAAAAGAAAATAAATGAAATATTAGGCCTAAATTCAAATACATCAATAATTATATTAAATGTTAATGGCCTAAGCATTTCAGTTAAAAAGCAGAGCTTGGCAGAATGAGTAAAAAAGCAAGACCCTACTATATGTTGTCTAGAAGAAACACTTCAAAGAACTGGGCATGGTGGCATGTGCCTTTAAGTCCAACTATTTGGCAGGATCACTTGAACCCAGGAGTTTAAGACCAGCCTGGACAACACACAAGACCCAACTTCAAAAAAGAGAAAAAAAAAACACTTTAAATATAAAGACATATATAGGTTGAAAGCGAATGGATGTTAAAAGATGTACTATCCAGGGCTGGGCGTGGTATCTCACACCTGTAACCCCAGCACTTTGGGAGGCCAAGGTGGGTGGATCACTTGAGGTCAGGAGTTCAAGACCAACCTAACCAACATGGCGAAACCCCGTCTCTATTAGAAATACAAAAATTAGCCGGGTGTGGTGGTGAGCGCCTGAAATCCCAGCTACTCGGGAGGCTGAGGCAGGAGAATCACTTGAACCCAGGAGGTCGAGGTCTCAGTGAGCCGAGATCATACCATTGCACTCCAGCCTGGGTGACAGAGTAAGACACCAACTCAAAAAAAGATGTAATATCCAAATAGTAAACAGAAGAAGGCTACAGTAACTATTTTAATATCAGATAAAATAGATTTTAAGACACATGGCATTACAATAGATAAAGAGAGATAGTTCATAATGATAAAAGGGACAATTCATGAGAAAATATTATTATAAATGTGAATACACTTAACAACAGAGACTCAAAATGCATACCAAAATAAAGCAAAAATTGATAGAATTTAAAGGAGCAAGAGGCAATTTCAGAATCATAGTAGGAGATCTTACCATTCCTCTCTTAGGAATTTAGAGAACTAGAACCCCCAAAAATCAATATGAACACAAAAGATCTGAACAACATTATCAACCACCTTCATATAAATAATATCTACAGAACACTACCTCAAACAACTGCTTAATACATATTCCTTCCCAGTGCACGTGATATATTCAACAATATAGACCACAGGCTGGATCTCAAAATAAATCTCAACAAATCTAAAGGGACTGAAATCATACAAAGTGTCTTCTCTGACTATAGGAAATTAAATTAGAAATCAATAACAAGATATCTATGAAACCCCCAAATACCTGCAAATTAAATAACACTTTGCTAAGTAACTTATCATTCGAAGATAAAAATCAAGAGATATTTATGGATTGATGAAAATGTTCTGGAATCAGATAATGATGATGACTGAATAATACTAAAAACATATGAACTGTACACTTTAAAATGGTGAACTTTATAATATGTGAATTACATCTCAATTTTATCTGTTTTTTTATTTTTTTGAGACCCGGTCTTGCTCTGTCACCCAGGCTGGAGTGCACTGACACAATCACAGCTCACTGCAACCTTGACCTCCTGGGCTCAAGTGAGCCTCCCACCTCAGCCCCCAGAGTAACTGGGATCACAGGTATGCCCAGTTAATTTTTTTATTTTTTGTAGAGACAAAGTTTTGCTATGGTGCCTGGGCTGGTCTTGAACTCCTGGTCTCAAGTGATCCTCCTGCCTTGGTCTTCCTAAGTGCTGGGATTACAGGTATGAGCCACTGTGTGCAGCCTATATCTCAGTTTTAAAGGGGGACATTAAATATACTCTGAACTTAAAAACACTAAAAACATATCTAAATATGTGGCATATAGCTAAATTAGTACTTAAAGGAAAACTTACAGCTTTAAATGCTTACATTAGAAAAGAAGATATAAAATCAATAACCCAAGGTTATATCTTAATAAGCTACAAAAAGAACAACAAAACAAATAAGGGAAAAAATAATAATAAAGAAAAAAAGCAACAAAACAGAAAACAGACAATAGAAAATCAACAAGAGCCAAAAGCAGATTCTTTGGAAAGATCAACAGTATTGAAACACCTAAACGAACGAAAAATAGAGAAAATACACATATCACCAATATCAAGAATGAAATCATCACCAAAGATCCTACAGACATTAAAAAGATAAAGAGAATATATCATTGATAACATAAGGCCAACAAATGTCACAACTTACATGAAGGGACAAATTTCTTGAAACACACAACTCATCAAAATTGAAACAAAAAGAAGAAAATCTGAATAGCCTTGTATCAACCAGAGAAATTAAATCTCTTATCAAAAAATATTCCCAAAAAGAAAACTCAATGCCTGGACAGTTTCATTAGGGAATTACTCAAGAAAAAATAACACCAAACTTTGTCCTAAAAAAGAGGAAGAGGGGTTTACCCCTCTGCTTGTTTTATGATACTAGCCAAACACTAATATCAAAACTTTAGAAAGATTTTACAAAAAAAAACAAATTAAAGACAAGTATCTCTCACAAATAATGCAAAAATCTTTAACAAAATATTAGCAAATCAAACCTAGCTGCACATAAAAAGAATAATGCATTATGACCAAGTAGAGTTTGTCCTAGTAATTCCAGGTTGTTCTAATATTCAAGAATTAATTAATGTAATATTTAATCATCATAGTAATAGAAAAAAATCATTTTAATAAATGTAAAAATAGCATTTCACAAAATCCAGTATCTGATTATGATAAAAAAAAAAATACTCAACAACTAGTGATAATAGGGAGCTTCCCAAATGTTGATAAAGAAATCTACTGCTAACACCATAGTTAATGGTAAAAAGGTTGAATTGTTTCCCCCAGAGAGAGAACAAGGCAAGAATGCCCACTTTCACTACTTCTATTCAATACTGTATAGAGGTCCTAGCCATTGTGATAAGAAGAATGAAAGAAATCAGAAGGGAGAAAATGGAGGAAAGGAGGGAAAGAGAAGAAAGAAGGACAAGAAAGAAGAGAAAAAGGAAGAAGAGAAGAATGAGAGAATACATAAAAGACATTAAGATCAGAAAGGAAGAAATAAAACTGTCACTCTTTGCAAATGGTATGATTGCTTACATAGAATCTAAAAACCTACTAGAACTAATGAATTACCTTAGCAAGGTCACAGAATACAAGATGAATATATAAAAAATCAGTTGTATTTTTATATACTAGAGCAAAAATTAGAAAATAAAATTCCATTTACAGTAATACCACAAAAAATTAAAATACCTAGGAATAAAGCTAATAAAAGATGTACAGGACCTCTACATTGGAAACTACAAAGTACTGAGAGAAATTGAACAAGAAATGGAAAAAGATACTACATTCATGGATCAGAAGACTCAATAGTATTAACATGTCGATTCTCCTCCAAACTGATTCTATAAATTCAAGGCAATTATAATAAAAATCCCAGCAGATTCCATAGAAATTGACAAGTGATCCTGAAATGTATCAGGAAATACGAACGACCTACAATAATAAAAAAAGATTTTTAAAATAATCAAAGTTGAAGGACTTACCCTACTTGATCTCAACATTTACTATAAGGCTTTGGAAATTAAGATAATTTGGTATTAGTGAAAAGACAGACAGATTAATGGGACAGAATAAAGACCTGAAATAGACCCAATTGGCCTAAAATTGGCCCATATATGGCCAATTGATTTTCAAACAGGTACCAAGGCAATTCAATGGGAGAGAGAGAAGGGTTTTCAATAAATGGTGCTAAATCAATTAGATCTCCATATGGAAAAAATGAGTATCTACCCATATATCATACAAAAGACCTGAATCCAAAATATATTTTTAAAAAAACTCCTACAACTCAAAGAAGATAGACAACTCAATTATTAAAATTAGTTTTTAAAATTTATTTATATATTTATTGAGACAGGCTCTGATTCCATTGCCCAGGCTGGAATGCAGCAGCACAATCACAGCTCACTACACCTTCAACCACCAGGGCTCATGTGACCTTCTGACCTCAGCCTCCTAACTAGCTAGGACTACAGGCATGCACCACCATGCCTGGCTATTTTTATTTTTTGTAGAGACAAGCTTTCCCTATGTTGCCCATGGCTCCAGCAACCCTCTTACCTCAGCCGTCCGAAGTGCTGGGATTATAGGCAGAGCCACTGTGCTGGACCAACCCAATTTTTTCAAAAAGGCAAAAGATTTGGGCAGATACTTCACAACCAGATTTTAAAATGGCCAATGAGCACATGAAAAGAATCATTAATAATCACACAAATGCCAATTACAACTACAATGAGATATTATCACATGCTTATTAAAATGTCTAAAATTAAAAAGACTAATCATACCAAGTGTTGGCAAAGATGTGAAGCAATTAAAATTCTCACATACTGTTTGGTGGAAATGTAAAAGGGACAATAATTTGGCAGTTCTTTAAAAAGTTAAACATATACCCACCATGCTACCCAGCTATTCCATTCCTAAGTATTTACCCTAGAGAAATGAATAAAATATGTACATGAATGTTCATAACAGCTATATTTGTAATCAGCAAAACTGGAATGTTTATCAACAGATGAATGAATAAATAAATTATGATATATCCCTACAATGGGATACAACTAGCAAAGGAATGAACAATTGATACACAAAGCAACTTGGATGAAACCCAAAATCATCGTGATGTGTGACAGAAGCCAGGCAAAAAGAGTATATACTGTGTGAGTCCACTTATCAAAATTCTAGAAAATGCCAATGAATAACCTATTCTAGAAAATGCCAATGAATAACAGAAGCAGACAAGGACAAGACTGGAGAGTGGGATGGATTACCGAGGGGCACAAAGATACCTCGGGGAGGGTGATGGAAATGTTTGTTATCTTAATTGTGGCGACCATAATTAATTCTGATCAAACTGTACACTTTAAATATGTGCAGTGTACTGTCCCCTTATCTGCTTCAATAAATTTGTTACAGAAAAAAGCTAAAAATAAAAGAAATAAAAATTATTTTAAAAAGAAAAAAAGCACAAAAACGGAATTCTGAGGATCAGAGAATTTGCAGATGGAAATGTTTGTTATCTTAATTGTGGTGACCATAATTAATTCTGATCAAACTGTACACTTTAAATATGTGCAGTGTACTGTGCCTTCATCTGCTTCAATAAAGTTGATAAAGAAAAAAGCTAAAAATAAAAGAAATAAAAATTATTTAAAAAGAGAAAAAAGCACAAAAAAAGGAATTCTGAGGATCAGAGAATTTGCACAACTAATTAGGAGGAAAAAGAAAACCACAATTACAGTCATCAGTGCTCCAGGCAACATTCTGTCCACTACAGCCTCTTCCTCTGCCACCACCTGCTCCTGCACACAGCCCAGATTGTCCCTCTAAAGTGAAGGCTGCCCATGGGGACTCAGATGCCCACTCACACAGATAAACTCACAATCTTTTCATCCCCAAGTTAGTTTTCTGCTATGTCCCAAAATAAGGTCTCTTATGCACTGGTTGCTTCTTGGCAGGGACAAGGCACGTGTGGAGGGAGGCACTGACAGCTGCCCCGGTAATCACCAGACGATACCACTTCACTGGAGGAGGAACAAGACACTGCTTTCTACCCAGAAGGAAATCACTTGCAGATGTGCAAATCCCAGATTACACCAACAGCAGAAGGCACAAACAAACCACAGGCCTATTCGCAGAGAAGAGGATACCCCATTTCAAAGGGAGCGTCCAGCTCCACGAAAGGGGAAAGCAGCTGCTTAATCTTCCCTTGGGAGCTGCACAAGGACAACCCGAAAATTTCCATTCAAACTGTTTGCACTCTGACTACAATGGCCTTAACAATCTGCCTCATCTGAACACATATTTGCGTTCACCACATACAGTACACAGTGTCTGAGCCTCATCTCTCTCCTCGGGAGGGATGGGAAGCCCTGCCACAGTGAGAGAAGGCTTGTGACAGGCCTCTGTGAACTGCAAGGTGCCAAATGAATGTTGGTATTTTTATTACTGCTTTACATATTACCTATTCAAATATCAAGGTGAGCATGGTGCATTCCCAGTAAAGCACCACGTGGATGGGAACTATGTCTGCTAGCTGTTCTGAGAACTCCACATCACTCCCGACGTGCTGTTCCGGCTGCCCAGCCTGCGGGGCTGCTCGATGACAAGGTGCTCATCCTGTCAAGTGATCTGTTGGGTTTTACCCTGGTGGCTCCTGGCATAACTAGAGGGTCACCCCTGAAAGCAACCCCTACAGAACGAGACCAAACGCACTTCCTTGGCCTTAATCAATGGGAGGCTGGCAACAACTTTTTTTTTTTTTTACAAGTTTGGAAATTCTCTAATGCCCAAAGATGAAGATGAATTAGCATTTTGGAACTAGGGAACTAGCCCTGTCTTAGGAATTGGTATAATCAGCATCGATATTAGTTATACAACCTTAAGGCAAAAAGAGAGTCTACTTCCATAGCACAGAGTGAGACGAAAGTGCCTATACAACATAGCCCAGCAAGGACAGGCTTCATCTCAACTTCAATAATATACAAAATAATAATAATAATAGCAGCCCATTTCAGGGCTAATACCACTACGCTATAATTTGCTGATACATGCAGCATATATGCCCTGAGCCCCCACTCCATGCCAGGCACTCTTAGGTCCTAAGGATAAAGAAGTCAGTAAAACAGACATTGTCTTTGCCCTCATAGAACTCATAATCTTAGAATGTTCAGTAAAATTCACACATTTGCAAAGGTCTGTGTTTAATTTAAAGTAACTGTGGATATAAATCAGTGGCTTCAGGTACCTTTCTTTACTTTATAGTCATATCTGGCATTACTGGTCTCTGCCATGGACCATTTGTGTCCCTGAAATGCCAAGGCACAGTCTACATTCTCACACAAATGGGAATGAGGGTGGAGGGGACGGGATTGGGGGAGGGGGCTGACCTCTCGCCACCTGGCTCCAGCACTGCTAGAGATGTACACGTTTGTCTTGCTAGCCAAGTTCTTTCCCACTGAGCCTAAAATGCAAGAGAAATAATTATTTTTAATTTCAAGAATATGTCAGATAATCACCTTGCCCAGCCAGAAATTCTGCGTAGTATCTAGCAACTAAGAATGCTTTCAAACCACAAAGCGTGGTTACTGCTGGAGGTGTGGGTGATCGCTCTGCATTTGGCCTGCACATCACCAGACAGCTGAACCCCTTTTGAGAACAGGCAAGCACACTTACCAGTGGCGATGATGAGGCCTGGAGCCGACTCCTTGGACAGGATGGGCATTCTCCGGAGCTGGAGGTTGAGGAGCTGACTGAGGCGCTGAGCCAGATGAAGGGAACAGCCCTGGGAAAGCTATACAACCAAAGTTTCAGGCAGTGTCAGCACATGATACCATGCCTAGCGTTCCCTGTAAACCCTGCGGCCTGTGTGAGGGGAGTGCAGCTGACACGGGGCAAGGAGGCCTGGCCCAGGGGAAACCAGACTCACAGCCCAGCTGTCCCCACACCCCCCAGACAGAGAGGATCATCTGAACCCACATAAATGTCCCGTGGAAGAAGAGAACAATTACAACTTAAAAAGGCCTTCTGAGACTCTCAGGGAATAACAATTAGAAATCAGTGTCAACTCAAGTAGATGGGAAAGTCATCATCTCATCCTATCACTCAGAGATCCTCTCAAGTGACTCAGAACTAAAGAGAAATGAAATGATTTTGTCATATTCACTTTCTAAGTCAGAGACATATTTCAAACATGATTCCAGCAATTCTGTCATAAGAAAGACCAAGAATCAGAAGTCATAAGTCTCATGGAAAAGCTCCCCTGATGTACAGTATCAATGAGATATAAAAAGCAAAGGATTAGCACTAAATTTTTTCCTATGTATTTTACATTTGCACAAAGGTGTAGGTATACAGGGCAAGGCTTCAAGCGATTCAGTCTGGCCTCCATCACTCATGTCCAGATTTTCATAGCTCTGCAAGCAATCAGGACAACACCCTTTGCCATATGGTCACACTCAGTTCTCCTGGTCAGAAAGAGCTTGTTCAATGTTACTCAGATGTGGCCAGGGTTCTGCACAGGAGGACTATGTGCTTATGTGGTTATGGTCAGGTAAAAATGGTAGCAAGGTTTGCTGGATTATTTGCTACTTATTTTTGTCATAAAAGGATCTCTAACAAGTATCTGTCTTGCTAGAGTCTCAGTTTGACCAATGAAAACTGGAACAAATTAGGCTGGGTCTCAAAGAAATATTTATTTGCTCACTCCTCTTTCTGACTCATGCTTCTCTGCCTGCAAGGAAGTCTATTCATTGAAGAGTTTCTGTAACCTCAGGTAATCAGACTTACCCATTTCCTATACATTCCTTCCACCACCTAAACTCAGAAGAAGAAACCTATACCTAAAGCTGATGAACGACAGTTCATAAATAAACTGATTAGTCAGGGAAACAGAAAGCTGAATTTGAATGATACCATTAATTCGATTTAACTAAAGCCTGACCCCCACAGCACGCTCAAAAACACCCAAGCCCCAACTATCCCAGGATCTCACCAAGCTGCTGTAGAAGACACTATTGAGGGAAGAGGAAGTACCCAGATATTTGTCTATATCCATTTATAGGCTGCCTCTTTCCAAAATTAGATTTGATGTGGTAAGCCAAGACCCATTGCCAAATAGAGAAGAAAAACCAAGAAGTAAATTCTAAGGTAAGAGTCTCCAAAAGAATTTTCCCAAGGGCCACAGATACATTATATAGGGGAGTGTCCACATAGCCCACCATGGACAAACAAAATTCAAAAATCCAAAAGACCAAGTAATGGTCTAACTAAACAAGTAGTACTAAAAACGAATACTACTTTTTTTTTTTTTTTTCTGAGTTGCTTCTGCCCAGAAGTGGTAGCAAGACCTTGGAGCAGAGTTTGGGAACTGCAAGTGTAGCAACACAAATAGAAGTCTGCTCCATGTGATATTAATAGAATACCATGTGATCTTGTATTTTTTCAATAAATACTAGACATAGGAAACTACCACAGAGCAGGGCTCTTTCCTTTATATTAAAAAGCAAAAGAAGATTAAAGCATCAATACCTCACAATTGATTTTCTCTCCATATCCCGTGAAGGCTGGAGCCTGAAGAAACTCCCAGGTTCCCCCTTTGTCAAAGGTGATGACCGATCTCATGTTCTCCTCATTCATAGAACCATTAATCAGAGTAGCAATGTAGACTCCTTGCAATCCTTCCACTCGGTGGAAGTCAGCAAATGGTTCATTTGCAAAATACCTACAATATGAAAATAAACAGCTATGAACCTGAATTGGTATTTGCTTGTTATTGTAAATAACATAAAATTTGACCATTTAAAAGTATACAATTTTGTGGCATTAAGCACATTCACAATGTTGTGCAACTATCATTACTATCTAGTTCCAGAACATTTCATCATTCCAAAAGGAAACCTCATACCCACTGGCAGTCACTCTCCATTTCCTCTTCCCTTCCCAAGCCCTGGAAACCACTCATCTGCTCCATGTGTTTATGAATTGGCCTATCTAGACATTTCATATAAATGGAATCTGCAATATGTGGTCTTTTGTATCTGGTTACTTTCACTTAGCATAATGCTTTCAAGGTTCATCCACATTATAGCACATTGTTAGAACTTCATTCCTTTTTTTTTGGAGACAGTCTTACTGCTGCCCAGGCAGGAGTGCAGTGGTGCAATCATGGCTCACTGCAGCCTCAACCTCCCAGACTCAGATGATCCTCAATGATCCTCACACCTCAGCCTCCCAAGTAGCTGGGACTACAGGTGTGTGCCACTATGCCCAGCTAATTTTTTTTATTTTTTGGTAGAGATGGGGTTTCGCCATGTTGCCGAGGCTGGTCTTGAACTCCTCAGCTCAAGTGATGCACCTGCCTTGGCCTCCCAAAGTGCTGGGATTACAGGCATGAGCCACCATGTCCAGCCAGATAATCTGCTATTTTAAAAAATTTGTTTCTTTTCAACTTTTAGGGTCAAAAGGCTTGTCTGACCAACAATTCCTAACAGGGGGTTTAGAATGATGAATATAACATACAAAAGTTGACGAAAGAGTCACATCTATTACATCACTAACGAAATTGACTCCAAATCCTCCAGTGAGCCTTCAAAAACAGAAATCATTAAGTCAGACTTGCAAGACATTAATAACAGTGCTGAGGCTTAAAATTCAACCCAATCTGTAGGAACCTAGCTCAGGGTTACACAGCCCCTCTCCAGGTACTTACAACCTAATTATCCAACACCCTGATCAGATAGAAGCCCACAGGGTTTTCTGTCAGGAAGCTCAGCAGAACCTGTCGATTCTTTCCTAAAGAAACTGTACATATAGCAAGGATGGCTCTAGAAAGCTTGGGGTTATATTCTTAAGAGAATATGGACGGCATGAACCCGGGACGCGGAGCTTGCAGTGAGCCGAGATCGCGCCACTGCACTCCAACCAGCCTGGGCGACAGAGCGAGACTCCGTCTCAAAAAAAAAAAAAGAGAGAGAGAATATGGGTTTCCCAGGCTTTATCTACCATGCGGATACCCTGATGCCACAGCCACAGGGAAGTGGTTTTGCGCTAAAATGATACACGCATTACAAATAGAGCGGATCTCTGAGAAATTGTAACCAGGGTTCATAGGTGGCTGTTAAGACTGGAAGCTTGGCCGGGCATGGTGGCTCACACCTGTAATCCCAGCACTTTGGGAGGCTGAAGGGGGCAGATCACAAGGTCAAGAGATCGAGACCATCCTGGCCAACATAGTGAAACCCCATCTCTATTAATAATACAAAAATTAGCTGGGCATGGTGGCACGTGCCTGTAGTCCCAGCTACTTGGGAGGCTGAGGCAGGAGAATCGCTTGAACCCGGGAGGCGGAGGTTGCAGTGAGCTGAGATCGTGCCACTGCACTCCAGCCTGGTGACAGAGCGAGACTCCAACTCAAAAAAAAAAAAAAAGAAAAAGAAAAAAGACTGGAAGCTTGCCCTTTACTTCAGGGGTTCTAAGCCACCGGCTACACAATAAAGCCGAGAAACGCTGTCCTCCATCAACCATCTCCACACAATCTCTTCAGCTGGATGACTGCCCTGCCACCTCAGACAGAAAGACCCAAACAACAACCTCTGAGGCAGGAAAAGGAACACTAGGAGCCCCACCAAAGCAGCTTCAGGCTGAGGGACTGAGCAGAGTGCCGAATGAAATGCTGGAGTTGAGACCAAATTCTCTGACATGTGGTTTCCTTAGGTCTAGTTCAGTTATTTTTCAGGGGCTTCCTTAGGAACCAGCTGAAGGTCTCGATTCCTCCTTCTCTGCTGACCTCTGCTCTACCTCTCTGAGGGTTATCATCATAAACCTGTCATCCCACTGGTTATGGGCTTCTTCTAGATATCTGGGAGGCCTGAGTTTCTCTCATTTAGATGAGCCCTGTTTCTTTCCCGAGTCGGATTCCTGGAGTTTTATCTTTTACTTCTAAGCAGAAGCCTGTCTTCCTGTACCTCACATGCTCCTTCACCAGAAGTCCCAGCCCATCCTTTCCTTTCCCCCACTTGACCTGCCCTGCAACAATCTGCCCCACCCTAAGTACTTTCTCTGAGGGTCTACTTTCTTCCATTTTATCCTCACTGGCCCTCCCCAGGGCACTTCTCCCCTTCTTCCCAGAGTGCCCTGGGCCAAGGCTTACCAGGAAGCTCACCAGGTCCCCTATAGCCCCACTCAGTGCAGAATCCATGCCCTGGCAATACCCCCACCAACTGGGCCCATGCCCCTCCCTAAGGTGACCCACGGGGCTGACATCTCCTCAGCACATTAGTTCCTCCAAAGCATCCAACATCTAGCTAGTGCTTTCCATGAGACTCCCACCTGGCACATCCCACCAGGGCCAGGGTCATTCCCTAGAAAGAGCTCTTTCTCCATGTCTCTGAGTAAATCAGAAGCAGTTCCCAGACACCACTCTTTCCTATTCAGTTCAAAGACTTGCTCATTTCACATAGCAGTTTACTCTAAACCAGCCTGCCCACACGATGTGCTAATTCACCTTTATCCCATTTCACCTGGCTGAGATTGAGATGCAGATGACAAAACATCACTCAACTGAGTATAATGGAACCTCTCTAGTCCTCAGATAAAATCTGAGAACAATGAGAAAACTGAGTGGGACGTTGGCCTATGACTCTTGACGTGAATCTATTTCCAGTTTCTTCACTGGACTGTGCGCTCAGGCAAGGAGGGGAGGCCTTCATGACTCTGTAAAGGGCCATCGCTCTGGCTTCTGGCTCATACTCTGTCCCAGCATGAAACATTCACCCTGAATATCTGACAAATGAGGAAGACGAGAAAATATTTAGCAAGCTGTGACTTTTCCATTCCACAGCCAGGGGCTTTCAATGGTGAAAAAAGAAAAATTAAAGAGTCAGTGAAAGGTCTGAGGGATAGTGATTCATTATTTTAATTATTTTTAAAAGGAGAATATTATTCACCCATTAAAATGAATGAGGCACTGATATATGGTACTCACGGATGAACCTTGAAAACATTAGGCTAAGTGAAAGAAGCCAGACACAGAAGGTCACATATTATTGTATGATTCCATTTATATGAAACATCCTGTAAAATAGGGAAAAATCCACAGACACAGAAATCAGACTGACGGCTGCCAGGGGCTGGGAGAAGGGGACGGTGGAGAGAAGCGGCTTAATGGGCATGGGGTTCTCTTTTGGAGAAATGAGAAGGCCATGAAATTAAACAGAGGTGGCGGTGGCACAACATTGTAAATGTATTGAATGCCACTGAATTGCCCACTTTAAAACAGTTAAGCTGATGTTATATACATTTCACCTCAATAAATAATTTTTTTTTTTTGAGACAGAGTCTCGCTCTGTCGCCCAGGCTGAAGTGCAGTAGCACGATCTTGGCTCACTGCATCCTCTACCTCCCAGGTTCAAGCATTTCTCCTGCCTCAGCCTCCCAAGTAGCTGGGACTATAGGTACGTGCCACCACGCCCAGCTAATTTTTGTATTTTTAGTAGAGATGGGCTTTCACCACATTAGCCAAGATGGTCTCGATCTCCTAACCTCGTGATCTACCCATCTTGGCCTCCCAAAGTGCTGGGTTTACAGGCGTGAGCCACCATGCCCGGCCAGTAAATAATTTTTTCAATAAAAAACGACAAGAACCAAACAGAAGGAGGTAGGGTCCGCCACTGACCAAACCAGGACAAGCTGAGCATCAAAATGTATCATGGCAGGAATGGTTTATAACACATTAAATAATAATTAATCCATGAGTCTATGTCAGGGGAGGAAAGGAATAAAAGATGACAGCACCTCCAAAAGAGAAGAAACAGGAAGTGGAAAAGCACTGTCAGAGGCCAGGTAGAAGGCTGGGCACATGGATATCCAATAGGCCTCTCCAACCAGGTAAGTCCCAAACCAAGCTGGTGATCTCCCCCCAATATTGCCCCTGCCCCAGCTCTCCCTGACTCCCTGTGTGGCCATCTCTTTAAAGGCAGCTCGGGTGAAGCAGTAGCAGTCCCCTGGCTCCTCCTCCTTTCGTACCCCTCGTCCCATCTATCAACAAATCCCATTGGCTCTACTTTCAAAATATATTTAGGGTCTGACCATTTCCAGCGTCTCTAGTGTGACCACCCTGGGTCCAGCCAACATCCATCCCTACTGGCCTGTATCTCTGCAATACTTTCACAACTAGTCTTCCTGTTCCCACCTTTGTCCCCTACAGTAGTCACAGTAGTCAAATTCCCACACAGCATTGAGGATAACTCCTGTAAAAGATAAGCCACATGAGTGCTCACTTATAATTATTTAGAACACTATCCATTTATGTGTTATATTCTTTTCATTATATAATGCAATTCACAGATTTTAACGGAAAAAAATTGAAAGGTTAAATCAGATCATGTCCATCTCCTGGTCTAAACCTTCCATCTCATTTCGAAGGAAAAGACAGGATTGAGTGTGTTGGCTCATATCTGTAATCCCAGCACTTTGGGAGTCCAAGGCGGGCAGATCACTTGAGGTCAGGAGTTTGAGATCAGCCTGGCCAACATGGTGCTGTCTCTACTAAAAATATAAAAATTAGCCTGGCCTGGTGGTGCACACCTGTAATCCCAGCTACTTTTGAGGCTAAGGCAGGAGAATCACTTGAACCCAGGAAGCGGCGGTTGCAGTGACCCAAGATTGCACCACTGCACTCCAGCCTGGGCGACAGAGCGAGACTCCATCTCAAAAACAAACAAACAAACAAAAACAACAAAAAAGAAAAAAACAAAGTTCTTCACAAGCCCCTGAAGGCCCTATAGGATCTGAGCCCTGCTCTCTTAGGTCCTGTTTCTTCCTTCTCTCTCCCTCTCTGCAGCCCTTCCAGCCACCCTGGCCTCCTCCCTGCTCCTAAAACACCAGTGCAGTCCAGCCTCAGAGTCACTGTGCTTCCTGTCTGCCCTGCTTGCAGCGCTACTCCCCCAGGGGTCTGCCTGGTTCCTTCCCTCATGTAATTCAGGCACCTGCTTAAATGTCCCCCTCCTGAAGCAGCCAATAGAATAAAAGAACACCGTTGCAAATCCCCATCCCCTGATCTTGCTTTATTCTTCTTTTCAACATGTTACCAGGCAGATCACATATTTGCTTATATTCTATCTTCCCCAACTAGAATACAAACTCCATGGAAGAGGGACTTTGTTCTGATATTTTATTGCTTCATACATTACTTTGTGGCTATACCTAGAACACTGTCTGGCAGAGAGCAGCAGCATACCTGTGAATAAACTGACAACGGAATGAATTGCCCAGAAACAGTGGGCACAGGGGCATGCCCTCAGACCTGGTTGTCATGGCTGGAGAGCCAGACCCCACCCCAGACCAGTCAGCTTCACACGGGAGACTCTTTCCAAGAGCAGAGGGGACTCTAACCACAGCCACACAGGTCACACAAGTCTGGTTGTCAAACGACAAATCAGAATAAATGGCCCTGAACGGATCTTAAGAACCAATTCATCCCTCCCAAACCCCCAACTCCTCCACCACCCCTTGATGGGTGTGGTGCTCCGAGACCGCCCACTGCTGGACTACAAAACAGCTCTAAACACATGATTTACAGACAAAGGATCAATGACGTTGGTGCCTTTCTTTACAAAACACCGTCCGATTATCTCTTAAAAAGAGTAATGACATCAATTAACCTGATCCACTGGCCGCATATGCCAGCTCTCACTGACTGATATTTACCAAGTGCTGTTTTTCACTGCTCAGAAACCACAAAACCAGAAAACTGAACAAAAGCAGCTCAAGGAAGTGATTAACACAGTAGCTCGGACCCTAAATGTTACCTAGAGCTGTAGTTCTCAGACTTGGCTGCACGTAAGAATCACCTAGGGCGCTTCTTAAGATCCTCATAACCTGGCCACACCCCAAACCCATCCCATGGTGATCTCTGCGCACGTGAGCCAGGCATCGGGTTTCCGAAAGCTCCCCGGGTGTATCCACATGGGCAGCTAATGTTGAAAACCACAGAACCAGAGAGAAGCTAATGGTTGTGTTGGCCTAAGAAGGCAGGAGAAGGACTCACAGTCTCCTTACCTCACCAAGGTGTCACTGCCGGCCCCTCCTGGGCTGTAATAGAGCACGTTCTCCAAGGACAGGGAGAACTTCAGCCCCTCTGCCTCTGAGATGTATAAATTGGTGCGGTTGTTACTGTGGCTGACACACACAAACACCTGGTCCTCGGAGGCATCTGCGATGTAATATTCCTTTGGAATCAAAAGTCAAAAAAGATACGTCAAAAAACAAATGTGCCCTGTGGGCTTTTACTATACACACGGAAGCAATGACTTTCAAATGTTCTAGCGATGAATGTTGGCCTAAAGCCCACGGGAAGCTCCCTAACCTTGGCAAAGAAGCTTTGGCGACTTTCCCTTTGGAGAACCTGAGGCAGATCTGCAGCTTAGCGGGCCCCTTACTGGCAAATGGGGCACAAAATAATGGGCCACTGCACTGCACAAATGACCTACAAACCTCTTTCCGTTAATAATGTCTCCCTCATTTTCCCATGAGAACTTTCATTCGTACAAAGTACAATACGGGTTAATGCACTTCCCTTTATTTTTCCTAAGGTGACCAAAGGAAAGCAGAATCCATAGAAACTAGCAAAGGACTGGCATGACTGTTCTCCGTATGATCCCACTCATTTGGTGGAAGGTAAGTAAGTGAGCTACTTACCTTTCACCAAACCACCTGCCAATGTCAAGACGTTTCACTGTGACCGTCTCCCTGTGGCAGCTCCTCTAATGACCCATCCCATGCAGACTTTTCCTATCCATCTTCATGTTATAAAGCTGCATATTTAAGCATTTGCTTATGTCTGGTTTCTTCTGCTACTCAGTTTTTAGTCTCTCCAGCCTGTTTCTAAAAGGTGGGACCCAAATCCTATCCTCTGCTGGAATTCATCCCCTGCAAGCAATCCAGCAGTTACTTAATAAAAAAAGATCCTATCATGCACAAACTTCCCATTGCTTCAGTACTGGCACGTTGCTCAGATGGCACTGACTCTGGCTCGAACCTCTCTCTGCCAGTGCTGCTCCACTTAAAGCAAACTAAGTCTCTCGTTCAGCTCTGCTTCAGTGAAGTGGGAACCACAGACCACGATGCCCAAAGCATAGCTGCACTCTCTAGAGACCTGACTTCAGGGAGGCGCCATAAAATATCCACTCCAGCAGGCCATCCCTGCAACAACCTTCCTCTGACCTCTGCATAAAGACAATGATACTTCTTCCCATCCTCAAGCAGACCCCACTCACATTAATAGGATGTCTTGTGACAAACTGGGCTGCTCTCATGGGCTTCCGGCCAAAGGAGACCCAGAGCTGGACAGAAGACTGCTGTTCACTGCCCAAGAGATGCTGCCAAGGAAGAGGAGAAAAAAAAATTAATGGTGCCACATTACAGTCATTCAAAAGCAGCAAAAATAAAAATAGAAGAGTCAGATTCTTCCAGTTCTACTGGAAACACAAAATAGAGACTGTGATTGCAAATTCATGTTTTTGCAATGTCTGCCATCACTGGGCAGTTTGGGTTGTACTGCTTCATCTTAGATACCCGGTTTGCAACAGACACTAGACACTCCATGGATATTAGATAAGGAAATGGTATGATGGTAGAACTTGGACTAGAGGAGGTTTTTGGAGGCTGCCAACACTTCAACAGAGTAAGAGATAGAAAGAGGATTGTGTGATGAGGCTGAAGAAACACGCAGGGAGGAGCCTACGGCCCCCAAACCACTAAAGGGTGAGATCAGCCACACACCATGCACACAAAACATGTTCTTTTCTTCTTTCTACTCCTATTTTTAGATTACAAGGATGCTCCAGTCACAAGGTTTTAATTTGCACCAAGACTTGAGAGAATCTTCATTGATTCTGGTTTTCCATCTCTGAATAATCTCATTGAGGAAGGTCTTTTGCTAGAATACATATTCATTGGTAGAGTATTCAACATGATGTTGACCACATCACATTGCATTTTAGAGATTTTTAAGTCACAGCAAGAATCTTGGAAATGTGTATAAAAGCATAGATTAAGAGCTAGCTCTACCAACTGAGAAAATGATAGAAATCTCTCTAGCTTTCAGTTTATTCATATACAAAAGGAGAAGCTTATTTGGATCAAGACTTCCCTGTAGATGGGTTTAAATGGTCCAGCAACCCTGTAAACATATATGCAAATTTTTTTATATACACTCATTTATTTTGCTATGGAGGCTCCGTACGTTTTATCAGATTCTCAAGAAAGTCCACCACTCAAAAAAGGATAAGAACTATTATAAAAACTCTGTGTGGTTTCTTCCAGCTCTAAAAGAACATGGCCAGAAGCTGAAGGCAAATGTTGCATATCTATCAGGAAAGACACAGGGAGGCATACCCTCATGTGGACATAATCATACAAATGACTATTAAACATATTGAGATGTTGGGATTCCCAGCCAGAGGGGTTACTTTGGCTTCACTTATCCTTGACTAGGTTGCTGTTTATTATAGATATTAACTTCCTATAGAGTAAGGAACATATCCATTTATTTTATCTGCAATATAACGATTCAGTACCCTGTGCTCAAACATGCCCCATAAATACTGTGAGGACCCAGCTGATAAAGACAAAGTTACTTTTAATCCATTTGAGCAGCAGACATTCAAATCACCACTGAACAAATGGTTAAAAGTAGTTTGTTTTAAAGAAATCAGGCAGAGAGGTACGAAAGACTGCCCACCAAAATGGAAACCTGAAAACCATATTAATAGCTTGTACTAAACATAGGGCCGTAGGAAATGATGGATCTATTAAAAATGTAAAAGCATATTAACTGAATAAGAAAACAGTTCCCAGCAAAATTGTTACATATAAATTCCAAAAGCCTTCATTAAGTTGATAAAATGTCATGGCTATGTCAGATGATTAGTTTAAGTCAGCCTATACACATACATTTTTGTGAATATATAGAGGAACATATCAATGAAATATACATTTTTATGCTTTGTTTTTTACGACTTCCAACTGTGAGTATAACTTTAAAAAGAGTGATTTCTCAATGACACCCAGGCCCATCATTAGTTAAAAATACTTAACGATTGCTGCTGGGAGGCCTGAGTATTAAGAATATATTTCACAGGTCAGTCTTACCTCATAAATGCAAAAATCACAGAATACTACAATCATCAAAAAAAAAATCTCAAAATGCATCGATCCCACTACCTTCTTGGAGAATTATTCCTAAACCTGGACAATTCAGGTTCATTCTTAATGGATTTTTAAAGAGTTACTGTATTGTTTTACTTCCACCAAGAAATATATTAACAATTAAACTATGGCACACTAGTGATTATAAGATGTATTGTAAGGCTCTGAGATTTTTCTTAATAAACCATAGGTTTTGGGTTGGTTTGTTTTTTATCACTATTATTAAAAAGCAAAGCATACTCATGGAAAATATCCAACAGCACAGATGGGTATAAGGTAAATGCAGAAGCTCTGCTCTGATCTCCACATCCCTCCTCCCACTCTACCCTGCAGAGTGCCCAGTGGCTAACAGCTCTTGTGCATCCTTTCAGAAATGTACTGTGCCACCACATGCAAGCATATGTACATAGTGACAGACACTGCTACACCTACCCCCAACACCCATTATCCCTTTCCTCCTGAGCAGTGGGACTCTGACACCACCCAGAATAAATGACTGCACTTCTCTACCATTTTTGCACCTATGGGAAGTCACGTGACTAAGTACTAGTCAATGAGATAAAAACAGAAGTTTCGTGCTGGATTTCTGAGAAGGCTGCCTAAACAGACAGAATTGGTGGGAAGAGGTCCTACTTGCTGTCTTTCCTTATTCTTCTTAACTGCAATAAGGACTTGAAGGCTAGTATGGATGTCTTGAACCATGAGGTAATCTTGAGAATGGAAATCACTAGTCAGGATGGCAGAACATTAAGACAGAAACCTGGATCCCCAAGAACATCAGGACACCAACATACCAGCCCAAGACAGCCTACCTCCAGGCAGCAAGGGGGAGAAAACTAAACTCCTGACTTGGTTAAGCAATTTTTATTTCTAGTCTATTACCAGCAACCTAATATAGTTCTAAACTGACAGAGGCAATTTAATTTTTCACATATAATTTGGATCATGATATAAATGCTGTTGTATTACTTAACTTTTTCCATTAACAGTGTATCTTACTGTCCCACAATTTAAAATTTTATCATTGGCAATGTATCTTAGACATCTTTCCACTTAACAGCTATTGGTGGGCACTTTAGTTATTTCCAGAAACATTCTTAAACACACACACATATAAATAAGCATGTATTTATTACTTTTTCAGAACTGCACAATACCATTGGTAGGATGCAGTCTTAGAAGAATTATTAAGTCAAAATTTGTATTTTTGATAGCTATCATGAAATAGCCCTCCTGAAAGGTTGTACCAACTAATACATCCACAAATGCACAAACTTCATCAACTAGTAGAAATGATTTAAATATTTGAATCTAATTCAATCTTATAGAGTCTGAGAATTTATAAGAAGATTTTTTTTAATTTTGTGTTTTCATTTCTGATAACTAAAAATAAATTCTGCTGGGTGCAGTGGCTCATACCTGTAATCCCAGCACTTTGGGAGGCCGAGGTGGGCAGATCACGAGGTCAAGAGATCAAGATCATCCTGGCCGACATGGTGAAACCCCGTCTCTACTAAAAATAGAAAAATTAGCTAGGCATGGTAGAGTATGCCTGTAATCCCAGCTACTCGGGAGGCTGAGACAGGAGAATCACCTGAACCCAGGAGGCGGAGGTTGCGGTGAGCCGAGATCATGCCGCTGCACTCCAGCCTGGCAACAGAGCAAGACTCCATCTCAGAAAAAAAATAAATAATTAAATAAATAAATTCATCTAGGTATCTGAATAACCTGAATTTCCATTTATATTTGAGATTGTGTCAAGAGCAAAAAGAAACGGAGGATCAAGGAGAAAAGAGGAGTAAAGGAACTAAATAAAGGACATTCTTATCAAGTAAAGGCCAAAGGATACTGCAATGAGCTATCCCACTGAAAGTTGCATGGCAGCTCAGCTAGAGAAAATGGGTAAAGAACTAAGCCCTCCCAAGGCATGGGGAAGCACAGGGCCACTAGTTCAGAAGCACCAGAGCCATGGGTCACATCCTCCCTTGGAGCAGCAACAAAGGTTCAGCAAAACATCCTCATCCACCTTAATGTTGTTTACAAAAAAAAAAAAAAAATCATAAATGAAACATAGCTAAAATCTGACATCTGGGATATTCCAGGGGGAAAAAAAAGTAGTGAGTAGATAGCTAAGGAGAGGTTGGCAAATGTAGGTAAGTAATATTGAAGTTGGTGAGGGCACGTGGGGAGGTCATATCAGCATTAACTGTTCTTTCGTGTAGGTTGGAAAATGCCTATAATAAAGTTTACAAAGTTAATATTAATTGGAAGCATTTCTAGGAACTCTAAAAATATACTTATCCATAAAAGCAAGAAAAACACTGACAAAAATCCTCAAAATCAACTTTTTCAGAATTCTGCAAATGAAATAAAGGGTTGCAAAAATCCAAGGCACATTTACTCAAGAACAATGGCTGAATCTTGGCAAAAATAGCCAGCTTTGTGATGTTTTCATTTGCCCTAATCCCATCCCCCTCTCTCTAGCTCTGTGGTAGCCTTGGAAACCCACAGCCTCACATCTACAATAGCTGTGAAAAACAGCAGCCTGGCAGCCACTGGAGAGGACAGAATAGGTCTGGAGTTCCCAAAAAGCCTGACCTGTCTGGGGGCTCACAGGAAGGCTGCATTATCAGCTCTTGTCTTTACATAGCCTGACTTGGTTCATGATATAGACAGCCTTATAGCCAGCCAAGGCATTTACTGAAAATAGTGAATAAAAATTAGCAAAGGCTTATCACTGTAACTTCTGAAGACAGTATTACCAATTGGGAATTAAAAAGAGGCTAACTAAAAAGCTTAAAAGGAAAAAATGGGGAAGAAGATGCCCTTAGGAGGCTTTAATAAGCTCTAGATGAGTATTCCTGGGACTCTACAAGGTCAAGCACATAAGAGCCGTGAGTATGCTCAAGAAAGAAATGAACGGGGTCTAGTCTCTTACCTCCAGCTAATCTTGAAGCTCTACATAAGCAGGAAGTGAAGGCTAGGACAGAGTTGTAAACTGCCTGCAAAAGCATTGAAGGTATACCCTAACACACACCCAGAGGCCATTAGCAAAGGCTGAGAGACTTAGTGGTTCAAAGAGTTTAAGAAAATCTCTGTCTTATCATTAGCTGACCAATAAGCTAAATTACGAGACAATTCAGTAGCAAAAACAATAAAGAACACAAACTTGATAGCAGTACAGGAAACTCCCTGAACAACAATAACAACAACAACAAAAACAGCAACAACAAACAGCAACAACACAAAACCCTGAGGAAGGGGTGTCAGTGGTTTGGAGGTACCACACCATTTAAAATGTCCAGTTTTCAACAAAAAAAATCACAGGACAAGCAAAGAAACAACAAAGTATAGCCTATACACAAACAAAAAGAGTAGTCAGTAGAAATTGTCCTTAAAAGCTCAGACATTAGACTAAGTAAAAAAAAAAATTAAATAAGCTATTATAAATATGTTCAAAGGACTAAAAGAAATCATGTATAAAGTATGAAAGGACAGTATGAGAACAATGCCTCATCAAATAGAGAATATCAATAAAGAAATAGAAATATTTTTTAAAAACAAGCAAATAGAAATTTGGGAGTTGAAAAGTATAATAAAAGAAAAATTTAGTAGAGGGGTTCAACAGAAGATTTGAACCAGGAAAATAAAAAAGCAGTGAACTTTAAGACATGTCAATTGTGATGTCTCAGTCTGACAACAAAAAAAAGAATGTTAAAAATAAACAGCCTAAAAGACCCAGGAAACACCATCAAGTGTCCTGACATACACATTACCAAAGTCACTGACGAGATGAGAGAATAAAGGAGAAAGAATATTTGAAGAAATAATGACCCAAAACTCCCCAAATTTGATAAAAAACATAAATCCAGTCAGCTCAATGAATTCCTAAAAGGATAAACTCAGAGACCCATACCCAGACACACCACAGTAAAACTGCTGAAAGCCAAAGATAAAGAACCTTGGAAAGCAGCAAAGAAAAATGACTCATCTAAGGAGTCCTCAATTAGACTAAAACTGTGCTGATGGGCTTAAAGAGTATAAAGATGAAACAATAATAGCACAAAAGCAGGGACACAATAAAGCTATATAATGACAAAGATTTTGTACACTACTGAAGTTACATTGTTATTAATCCAAATTAGATTTCATAAATTAAGATATTTATTGTAATCCCCAAAGCACAGATTAAGAAAACACCTGGGAAAAATTTAGTGAAAGAAGGTACAAGGGAATTTAAATGTCACCCTAGAAAATCTGTATTTAATACAAAAAAAGGCAGTAATGAAGTAATAAAGGATCCAAAAAAAATTTATCAGGAATATAGAAAGCAAAGAGCAAAATAGCAGATATGTAGTCTACCTTTCAGTAATTACATTAAATGTAAGTAAATTAAACATCCTAATCAAAAGGCAGAAATTAAAAGAATGCATAAAAGACCTGACACAACCATATGCTATTTACAAGGATTCAAAGATACAAATAGATTGAAACTACAAGGATGAAAAAGTGATATGCCATGTGATATGGTTTGGCTGTGTCCCCACCCAAATCTCATCTTGAATTCCCACATGTCATGGGAGGGACCAGGTGGGAGGTAACTGAACCATGGGGGCAGGTCTTTTCCATGATAGTGTTATCACTGTTCTCCTGATAGTGAATAAGTCTCATGAGATCTGATGGTTTTAAAAAGGAGGAGTTTCCCTGCATGAGCTCTCTTTGCCTGCTGCCATCCATGTAAGACATGACTTGCTCCTGCTTGCCTTCCACCATGATTGTGAGGCTTCCCAGCCACATGGAACTGTAAGTCCATTATAAACCTTTTTTGTAAATTGCCCAGTGTTGGGTATGTCTTTATCAGCAGCATGAAAACGGACTAATACACCATGTTTACTGTACCCAGAAGAAAAGAATAGCTATAATAATAGGCAAAATAGAATTTAAGACAAAAAATAGTTACTAGAGACAAGGAAGGACATTTAATAATGATAAAAGTGTCAATCTAGAAGAATTAACAATCATAAACATATATGCACCTAACAACAGAACTCCAAAGCACATGAGGGAAAACTGACAGAATTGAAGGGAGAAATAAATAATCAAGATGATAATACTTAAAGATTTCAACAGTTGAAGATTTTCCCACCTTCAATATAGAACAAGGCAGAAAAGGAAAAAGATAAACTGAACATCACCATCAGCCAAGTAGATTTAATAAACACTTATAGAACATAATACCCAATAACAGCAGAATACACATTCTTCTCAAAGCACATGTTTCATTCCACATGTTCAGCCACATTCTCAAGGATAACAGATGTTAAGTATTAAAATAGGCCCCAATACATTTAAAAAGAACTGAAACCATATAAAGTACATTCTGTGATCATAATAGAATAAAATGAGAAACCAAAAAGTGAAGGAAATTCACAAATATATTGAAATTAAACAACACATTCAAAAATCATCAATGAAGTCAAAAGGAATCACAAGAATCATTAGAAAATACTTTAAGATGAATGAAAATGAAAACATAAGCATATGAAATGCAGCTAAAGCAGTGATTAGAGGAAAATGTATACCTGTAATCACTTATATAAAAAAAGAAGAAAAATATCAAATCAATAACCTGACTATCCACCTTAAGAACATAGAAACATAAGGGCAAACTAAGCCCAAAGCAAGCAGAATGAAAGAAATATAAAGATTACAGTAGGAATAAATGAAATAGAGAAGAGAAAAATAATAAAGAAAATTACTCAAACAATATATTGATTCTTTGAAAAGATTAACAACATTTAATAAACTAGACTACAAGCTAGACTTACCAAGAAAAAAAGAGAAGACTCAAATTACTAAAATTAGGAAAGAAATAAGAAACATCATTAACAACCTCACAGAAATAAAAAAAAGATTAGTGTGAACACTATGAATAATTAAAAATTAAATAACCTAGAATAAATGAACAAATTACTAGAAAGATACAAACTGCTGAAACTGAACCAAAGAGAAATTTTAAAAACTGAAAAGATTGAATTAGTATCCAGAAAACTTCCCACAAAGATGGTAAATTCTGCCAAACAAATTAAAGGATAAAAATGATTATAAACCAAGAGCATGTGGGATTCATTCCAAAAATGTGCATTGGTTTAACATATGAGAAAGATCCATCAGTGTAATATTCAATGTTAATAGACTAAAGGAGGAAAAAAAAGAAACATATGATCATTGCAACTGACACAGAAAAAGCACTGACAAAATCCCAGATTTTTTCATGATAAAAACACTCAACAACCCATGAATAGAAGGGAACCTTCCTCAAATTGATAAAGGACATCTAGAAAAACCTCACAGTTAAAAATCATACTTAATAAGACTGAATGCATTTCCCCTAAGATCAGGAATAAGACAAGGATGCCTACTCTCTCCACTCCTAGTCAACATTTTACTAGAGGTTCTACCCAAGGCAGTTGGGCAAAAAAATAAATAAATAAAAGGCCTCCAGACTGAAAAGGAAGAATTAAAGGATGATGTTGTCTCTTTTAGCAGACAACATCATCTTGTAAACAGAAAATCCTAAGGAATCCACACACCAAAAAAGTTAGAACTAATAAAGTTCAGCAAGGTTGTAGAATATAAGATCAATAATACAAAAATCAATCATGTTCTATATATTAGCAATGAACAATCTGAAAATGAAATTTAGAAAAGAACCATTTACAATGGAGCCAAAAAGAATACTTAGGAAATTTTTTTTTTTGAGACAGAGTCTCGCTCTGTCGCCCAGGCTGGAGTGCAGTGGCACGATCTCAGCTCACTGCAATCTCCACCTCCCAGGTTCAAGAGATTCTTCGGCCTCAGTCTCCCGAGTAGCTAGGACTACAGGTGCGCTCCACCACGCCCAGCTAATTTTTGTATTTTTAGTAGAGACGGGGTTTCGCCATATTGGCCAGGCTGGTCTCGAACTCCTGGCCTCGTGATCCGCCCACCTCAGCCTCCCAAAGTGCTGATATTACAGGCGTGAGCCACCGCGCCCAGCCAGGAAAAAAATTTTAACTAAAGAAGTCCGGGACTTGTACACTGAAAACCAGAAAACCCAGTTGAAAGAAATTAAAGAAAACCTAAATAAATGGAAGAATATCCTTTGTCCATGCATTGGAAGGCATGATATATTAAGATGATAACACTCTCCAAATTGTGTTGAATCTGTAGATCAATCTCTATCAAAATCCTATCTGTGGTTTTTGTTTTGTTTTGGCAAAAAATTGACAAGCTGATCTTAAAATACACATGGAAATGCAAGGAACCCAGAATAGCCAATACAATCTTGAAAAAGAACAAAGTTGGAGAGTTCAAATTTTCCAAATTCAAAACTTATTAGAGAACTACAGTAATCAAGACAGTGTGATGCTGGCATAGGGGTAGATATACAGATTAATGGAATAGAATTAAGAGTCCAGAAACAGGCCAGGTGCAGTGGCCTGGGCAACATAGTGAGACCCTGTCTCTTCAAAAACTTAGCCAGGCACAGTGGTGAATGCCTGCAGTTGCAGCTACTCAGGAGGCTGGGGCAGGAGGACCTTTAAGCCTGGGAGTTCAAAGCTGCAGTGAGCCATGACCATGCCACTATATTCCAGCCTAGGTGACAGCAAAACTGTCTCAAAAAAAAAGAGAGAAGGAGTCCAGAAATAAATTCTCATATTTATGAGAAAATAATTTCCAACCAAGGTGCCAAGGAAAAAGTATAGCCTTTTCAACAAATGGTGGTGGGACAACTGGTTATCCACATGCAAAAGAATGAAGGTAAATAACTATTTCACACTAGATACAAAAATTAATTGAAAATGAATCATAGACTGTAAGAACTAAAACTACATAACTCTTAAAGGAAAGGGAAGTATATATTCATGACCTCAGATTAGGCAATAGTTTCTTGGATATAACAACAGCACAGGCAGCAAAAAAAAATGGATAAACTGAACTTCATCAAAATTAAAAACACGGCTGGGCATGGTGGCTCGTGCCTACAATCCCAACACTTTGGGAGGCCAAGGTGGGAGGACTGCTTGAGCCCAGGAGTTTGAGACCAGCCTGGGCAACATGATGAAACCCCGTCTCTACAAAAAATAAAAAAATTAACAGGTATGGTGGCACATGCCTGTGGTCCCAGCTACTTGGGAGGCTGAGATAGGAGGATTGCTTGAGCACACGAAGATCACGGCTGCAGTGAGCCACAATCGCTCCGCTGTACTCCAGCCTGGGTGACAGAGGAAGACCCCCAACTCAAAAAAATAAAATAAAAATAAAAACTTCAGTGCTGAAAAAGAAAAAAGTAAAAAGATAAACCACGGAATGGCAGAAAAGATTTGCAAATCATATAACTTGTATATAAAGAATATATAGAATAAAGAACTATTATAACTCAACAATAAAAAAGAACCCAATTTAAAAACGGACAAAGGACTTGAATAGACATCCATCCAAGAAAGACATACAAATGGCCAACAGCCACGTGAAAAGATGTTCAACATCCTTAGCCATCAGGAATTCAAATGAAAACCATAAGATACCACTTCACACTTAACTGGGATGGCTATCATCCAAAAAACAGTAGCAAATGTTGACAAGGATATGGGAAAACTACACCCTAATACATTTCTGGTGGGAATATAAAATGGTACAATAGTTTTGGAAAACCACTTGACCGATTCTCGAAAAGTTAAACATAGAATTGTCGGCCGGGCATGGTGGCTCACGCCTGTAATCCCAGCACTTTGGGAGTCCGAGGTGGGTGGATCACGAGGTTAAGAGATCGAGACCATCCTGGCTAACACAGTGAAACCCTGTCTCTACTAAAAAATACAAAAAATTAGCCAGGTGTGGCGGCGGGCACCTGTAGTCCCAGCTACTCGGGAGGCTGAGACAGGAGAATGGCATGAACCCAGGAGGCGGAGCTTGCAGTGAGCCGAGATCACACCACTGCACTCCAGCCTGAGCGACAGAGTGAGACTCCATCTCAAAAAAAAAAAAAAAAAAAAAAAAAAAAAGAATTGTCACATGACCCAGTAGTTACACTCCCAGGTATAAACTAACAGAATTAAAACATAAGTTCACACACAAACGTGCACACGAACATTCACAGCAGCACTGTTTGTAACAGTAAAACAGTAGACACAAGCCAAATGGCCACCAACTAATAGATGGATAAATAAAATGTGTTATATTCATTACAATACTAGTCAGCCATTAAAAATGGTTAAAGTAATGATACATGCTACAACATAAATGAAACTTGAAAACATTATACTGTGAAAGAAACCAGTCACAAAAGGTCACTGATATGGTTTGGCTGTGTCCCCACCCAAATCTCATCTTGAATTGTAGCTCCCATAATCCCCACATGTCATGGGAGGGACCTGGTGGGAGGTAACTGAATCATGGGGGCGGGTTTTCCTGTGCTGTTCTCATGATAATGAATAAGTCTCACAAAATCTGATGGTTTTATAAAGGGCAGTTCCCCTGCACACACTCTCTTGCCTGCCGCCACGTAAGCCATGCCTTTGCTCCTCCTTCACCTTCCGCCTTGATTGTGAGGCCTCTCCAGCCATGTGGAACTGTGAGTCTATTAAACCTCTTTTTCTTTATAAATAACCCAGTGTCGGGCATTTCATCATAGCAGTATGAAAATGGACTAATAAAGTCACAAATTGTATGATTTCCATTACACAAATTGCCCAAAATTGAAAAAGCCATAAAGATACTAGGTTAGTGGTTACCAGCATCAGGGAGGAGAAGGAAGTAATGGTAATGGGTATGTGGTTTCTTTCTGAGGTGATAAAAATATTTGGAATTAGGTAATGATGATCATTGTATAACCTTATGAATAAACTAAAAACCACTAAATTGCACACTTAAAAAGGGTAAATTTTGCAGAATGTGAATTGTATCTCAACACAGTTGTAACAAATATTAATTTTAAATGTATTGTTATAGTTTTATTTTTAATCTGTAAATATCTGGGTTTTATTGATCACGTATGAGAGTTATAAGCATTGGGTGCTTATACATTTAAGTAACATAGTTAAAATAATTTATAAGTAGTTTGGTTTGGGTCAGTTATCCTATAATTCACAACACAGTTTTGTCAGCTGATTTCTCATCTAGAAGCCCACAACACCCTGTAGCAGTTACTAAACTGTTCTGTTACCTCTGATCAACATTAGAGAGCAAATTAGCTTAAGGTTGAAAATTGGTTTTCAATAGTGAAATTCGTGGTTGCTTAGTCAGAATCATGAAAATACACATGGACCCTCACTTGGGAGACTGGTGTGACATCAAAATACTTGAATTGGGCATAATATTCTAAAGATACCATCCTGTCATTAACAGGGCATAACAATTTAGAGAGGCCCATAACCTATACTTTTCTGGATAATGCCTGGGACCTGTCAAGACATTGCGATTCCAGTTACCTGATGCCAACTGAAGGGGTAACAGACAACTATCAGCATAGTCAGCAACTACAGGAAGTCAGACAACTATCTGTAAAGGTCCAGATAATAGATATTTTAGGCTTTTGGAGCCATATTGCCTCTGTATAGGTACCTATGCAACTCTACCACTGGGCATGAAAGCAACCTTAGACCACAAATAAGCAATGAGCATGGCTGTGTCCCAGTAAAACTTCATTTACAAAAACAGGTGGTGGGCCATAGTTTCCTAGCATCCACTCTAGAACACAGCGTCTGCAGCATGCAAGGCGTGGGTGGCTGCATCATCTGTAAGGTCACAGAAGAGACTTCAAGTCCACAGATCATGTCTTTGCTTACTGATACACATTTGTGCAAGAAATATCTGGGCCTGGCTTGCATGATAATCTTAATCTGGTAGTGAGGTTATGAGGTTGTGAGGTTGTAGGGGAGTAGCTAACCCTGACCCACCTCAAGCTTTTCAGCAATTACTGTTATCTACTGAAAGAGCCTAACAGTTGTATATTACCAAATTAACAAATCACAGAGGAACCTCATTGTTTCTTTAATGGCCCTATCATTTTGATGTACACTATGAAGACAAATAAGTGAACTTCATGTCAAAAAGCAAGGAATAAAAATTAAACAAGGCAACTTAAGGGCAAAAAATACAAAGCACATTATAAAGCCAGAGCGAGGCCAACAGGGTACCAGGAGGTTCTGAAGACCTGGACACCAGCTCCAGTCCAGAAGCCAGGGGGCTGAAACAGTAGCTTGCAAAGGACTGTAATCATTCATGGTGCTGGAAGGAAGCAAAAGAGTTAATCATGCAAAACCAGCTTTCTGTAGCTTTAAAATCAGTTCTTTGATTTTCCCAATTTGATTTGAATTCATTTAACACTAAAGCCAGCTGGAATTTCCCAAGCTCAGGCAGCCTTAGAGCTAGGCAGACCCCAGATAAAAAGTTACACTTGCAGGTTTCAACACTCTTACTGGGAGGGGATTATCTGACCGAGGCCAACTTTGTTTATCCTTGTCGTTTAGCAGTCTGATGTAATAAAAAGGAGGAAAGCACATATTTTGTGTGCTATCCACAGCCAGTTGTGTTTCTTTTCCCATCAATCCATCCCTTGAGAAATATTCCCTAGACAGTAGTACAACTCTGTCATTTGAAGCATCTGCCTGTAGAAGGCTCAGGGCAGAGTTTCTCAAACTGGTGATTGTTAGACAACCTTGGGATGATCTGGGGAAAAGTGCATTTGAGCCCTGCAATCTGCACTTGTAACAACTGTCCTTGCCTGATGCTGACGTGGGTACTCCTAAGACCACAATTTGGGAAACACCTCTCAGTGGTGGCCTAACTCATCTTACCTACATCCTCTCACTAATACCACTGACCCTGGAATCTGGTGGCTCATCCATGTGCAGAAGGAGGAGCCAGCTCATAACTACAATTTTGCCACCAACAGCATATAAATAAATAAGCCATACAGAGAGTTAAGAATTGCCTATAAAAGTACCAAAAATTTAATACGTCTCCCACCAAATTTCTAAAAATTGACTACTTTTTAAATTAGGTGGGCAAACATGGCATTCATTCAACTCTATTGCGCATCTGCTGCGTATCAAACATAGCGCAAGGCACTGGGTACTGTATCGGTGAGATCAAAACAAACATGACCCCTAATCTTACCACTGGCCAGGTTTAATTAAAAACTCACCACAGGCACTCTGTAAATCAGATACATCTGGAGAACAGACATAGCTGTTAGACTAGAATGGAGGGCACAGAAAGCTCCAGCTAGAATATAACTTTTTTTTTTTTTTGAGACAGAGTCTTGCTCTGTTGCTCAGATTGGAGTGCAATGGCATGATTTTGGCTCACTGCAACCTCCACCTCCCAAATTCAAGCAATTCTCCTGCCTCGGCCTTCCGAGTAGCTGGGATTACAAGCATGTGCCACCACACCAGACTAATTTTTGTATTTTTAGTAGAGACGGGGTTTCACCATGTTGACCAGGCTCGTCTCAAACTACTGACCTCAAGTGATCCACCCACCTCAGACTCCCAAAGTGCTGGGATTACAGGCATGAGCCACCATGCCCGGCCCAGCTGGGATATAACTTAAACTCTCGACCGTGACACCTAGAAATAACCCGGTTAAGAGAAATGCACAACAGCTATCCATCCTGCCCTGGTTCAAGCAAAAAGGAGGACAAACCAGGCAGTCAGTCAATGTGTTTTAGAGTTCAGAATTAAAATCACACAATAACTCCAGGCCCAAGGCATTAAGGCAGAAAAGGCCTATAAACCCTGGAGAACTGAAGACAAGGTTTTAGACCATACTGAAAACTCAAGACTGTCCAACTGATGTCACAAGGCACCAGTGCTTGGGCCTGATTTCTTATCTGTGTGTTCCCATCACCCCATCCCTGCCCAAAGCCATTCGAGGATGCTTATGTTTCTGGGCTGCTGTACATATTTGTGCATGTGTGTTTAAGAGAAAGATAAAGAAACAGTCAAGGCAGGAAGGCACTGAACCAATGTCTATGGGTCAATGCAAATGGCCTGACAAGAAAAACTGCCATAGGCTAATGGTTTTTCAGAACATTTTGCAAGGTATGTAACTGGAAATGCCTCTAGCCTTTAGCCACCCACATCTCTCTTCTCATTCTGTCCTTACTCCCTGCTTTTCCTGCTGGGGAGATCCTCTCTTGACCCTAAAATCCTACTAAGAAGGTTGACCTACTTCCACCTGGCCTGCTACCAATTATAGAAGTAAATGAGAATCTGAAGGAAAAGATTACGTCTGATTTCAGTCTCTAAGGTTAACAGTGAAAGACAACAGAGTAACCTCCCAGTTAGCAAAGGCCTTCAACAGACCCTGAGTCAACAAGGGAAGGGCACCATCAGGAAAGCAAGCTAGTAGCCTCCCAGAAATAAGAGCCCCACCTGCCCTTGACTGGGCCTGGTTTTTTCCTTTACAACCAGGGTGATAAAGACTGAACTCAATACAATTTCAAGACAAGTCCTGTTAAGTAATCAACTCTGGTTTTGAATGAGCAAGCCCACCATTTCGGCATCTGGCTCCAACACATCAAATCAAGGGGAAGATTTTCCCAAAGGCTGAGAGTTAAGCTACTTACTGACAGCTGGAAGCTTAATTACTGCTTTTCTTAGAGCATTAACTCCCACTAGCCAATGACTACACATCCTATTAGCCATGTAAATTGACATGTGTTGAAAAATCTCAAAGAAATCAGCATAAGTTTAAAGGAAATCAGGCAGTGGGATTAAAGGAAAGAAGCCACTGAGCCACCCTCCCCTCTCCATTCTTTGTTCTTTTCATTGGGATTTCAAAGAAATACGTCTTTGTCAAGGATGCTTGGCTACCAGGAAACAACCAAATTCCTAGAGCCTAGAGCCACTTTGAGTGTTTGTCCTAGGCCTCTCCACTCCTCTGACTTCCTAGCACCTGCCAAGCCCTTTCGGAATGTTCGTCAATGTTGTCAATGTTGAGATCCCTTCAGTCAATCTGTCCCAAGCACATCCTTCCAATTCCTGTGTATGCAAACTCACCTGTTTAATCACAGAATGCCAAACTTCACAAAGGAAACTCAAAAGTAGTTTATTCTTTAGTACATTCAACTTACCACCACCTTTGTAGCAAACATGTACTTGTCCCGAAGCTGAAAATCTCTCACTTCCTCAAGGATCACTTCCTGGTTTTCCCGGGACTGGAAGAAATCTGTACTTCGGAAGACAGTGGAGTAGCCAGAGGGTTCATGTCGTTCAATGTAGATGGTATTTGGTTTGTCATAGGGATCAATTCCCCTGGCAGAAAAAAAAAAAAAGGTTGTTATCATTTGCACATTTAATTACTAGAGGCATGGAAGTTTTGCAATGGGATAATCAACTAGAGTTTAGGCCTACCATGGTGTGACCCACAGATCATACTCTCTGTGCCTCAAACATATCCCTTTGGTTACTCCTTGACTCAGGATAGAGGGGACAAATTGCCATTTGCAAGGTGTTTTATGTTGTTTTCAAAGCATCCTGGGTTTAGCTCAAGGCAACCCTGCCCTGCTTAGGAAGAGCAAAAAGTAGTAGTACAAGATAAAATGTTTCAAAATTAATAAGCAAGGGACTGCTTGAAGCTATAAGCAAGTTTCTGGTCTAAAGTTATGAATCTCAGAGGAATGAAGGAGAGTTTTCCCAAGGTGCTACATCCTCTGAAGAACATTACTGGAGAAACCACACCATGAACCTCTGAGCCTGATCCTTCCAAGTGACGCTGCCCTGTCTCTGCCCTGTCCCCTACCAATGTCATGGATCTAGGCAATCTGGAGCTGCCTGTGCATTTCGTCTCCCATGAGGCTCTTCCACAAACTCTTTCTCAAACATACTGATCTCCTTGATGTCCTTCAGAAAGGGAGGGCACCTTTCTCCCACTGTGCTTTTGCAAACACCACACTCTCGTGAGGAGATGCCCTCTGCACGCACTCTGATCCCTCCATCCAATTCCTACTCTCCTCTGTCATCAAGTTCAAGTCTTCATCTTCCAGGAAGCCTTCCTCAGTGCTGTCCTCTCTTCTCCCAACACTAGCAATAACATCCCTCTGCAGCATCCAATTCCAAGCCTTTTACATGAGTTTGAACTCCAAACAAAGGTATAAAACCCCTTTAGTTGGGTGATTTTTTAGAATCAGTCTTATTCCTTTATGCAGTAATGCCTCTTAGACACTGTATTTTATTGTTCACCATTATGTATTTGTCTGAGCTTCCTAGACACAGTATAGATGCCTCGGAAGGCCATGTCTTAGATTTCATTTTACCCTATAGTATTCCTAGCTGAAGAGATACTTTCTGCATTGGATCTGTGGGGCAATTCAAGAAGCTAATCCAAAATGAAAACATAGAATGACCAGGCCAAACTACCTTGGAGAAGAACTTCTGAGCCAGTGATCCCCCAAGAATCCCCACACAGCAGCTCAGAGGACAACTTATCTGCTCCAGGTCTCCTAACATTCTCAAGAACACCAAGGCCATGGGAACCATTCAGCAAATGGAAAAAATAAATGGTAAAGTCGGGAAGATAGTCTTGTAGTGAGAATACAGAGTGATGACTCAAGGAAAAGCAGAAGGCCTCAGTTAGGTAACTGCCCTTATACAATCCCATATGCATGATGGCTCTCAGAATAATGAAGGTAATCGTGTCAAATTCCTTCAGAGATATACTGTCAAGAGCATATTCCCCCCACCCCTCCCAAAAAGGAAAATAAGAAACAGAAAAACAAGAACCTCTTTTGCCAGATGTAGTGGGTCACACCTGTAATCCCAACACTTTGGGAGGCTGAGGCCAGGGTAGGGAGGGGGACCATTTGAACCCAAGAGTTCAAGACCAGCCTGGGCAACATAGTGAGACTCCACCTCTACAAAAAATAAATTTAAAAAAATTAGCCAGGTATGCTGGCGTACACCTGTAGCCCCAGCTACTCAGGAGGCTGAGGTGGGTGGATTGAAGCCTGGAAGTTTGAGGCTGGGTGAGCCATGATTGTGCCACTGCACTCCAGCCTGGGCAACAGAGCAATACCCTGTCTTGAAAAAACAAAGAAAAAAGAGCTTCTTTTTACAATGGGAGCAAGACTTGAGTTTTGCCCTACAATCTGGATTCTTAGGGCAACGGAGAAACCAGCAGCTTTGGTCCTAGTGTGGGAGAACACTATTCTTCATTATCAGATCCTCTGTGTGCATGTGTGGGCGGGTGGTGGCATGTTCTCTTCTTTTCCACAATTAGAAGTACTGATTAAAGTACTTCCTCTAGCCAGAGGATATGCAAATTAAAATGAGGCTGCTTGGTATTTTTAAAACGGCAGAGAGGAAGGAACCTTTATTGAGCTATTTTGAGACCCAGCTCACCTCTATTATTCCTTCCTAGCCAAAAGCAGCAGCCAACACCTAGAGATAGAAAGAACTGTGACTTTCATCCCAATTTTCTTCCGTAATCCATATTTGGACCTCCCATTTCTGCAAGCTGCTCCACCTACAAGTTCTCATACTTTGCAATCACTTAGACTTCCAATGTCTTACGCTCACTGACACCTACTTTCTATTGTCTTTGTCCTCATTGAGAAATTCCAATCCTTGCTCTATCTCTGAGCAGTCACCAGCCTCACCTGGCCTCACCTGAAATCCCTCAATGATGCTCCACAGGGTATCTTTGAGTCCCCTCAGCCCCCTCCAGGTCTTCCACTGTTCTGTCTTGCCAATCTCAAGCTCCGGACCATGTAAATTTTTAGCTTTCCCACTCCTGCTGCTCCCAACTCGCCAAGCATTGTTGAACAAATGTATATCATTATTCTGAGAGACTAGATTACGCTTTCACTTATTATGGGGAAACCTAGGGGGAGAAATCCCACAAATAGCCTAAAATCCCCTAACCGACATGTCATTAGCTTCAATGAGATAAACCAGTCCTTTCTCCCAGGATATCTGTATATCTACACAGAGGCAGAAGGTACAATATGATTTTAGAACTTAAAATTTCTAAATTGTATGTTCCCTTATCTAGTAATTCTGCTGGTTTGCCCTCTTAATTTATAGTTTCTTAAGCAGATAAAAGAACAATTTTTCCCCTTAAAATTCAAATAAAGCAGAAGAAAGTTCTAATGGTTCTCCTTGAGCAGAGGGTGTCCTTGGATGAGACTGTGGTTATAATTTCACTAAGATCCCACAACTTTTGCTCAAGGAAAATAACAAAAGGGTCAGAAACAGCTACCCTCTGTGGAAACATAAACAGAATCTATGGGTGTCTGATGATGGTCAGCTGTAAGGCTCCTCAACATACCAGCTCCATCTTTACCTCTATTACTAAGGAAGCAATACCAACTAAAAGACATTTCACTTTACATGGAGAACTAAAAGAAACAAAGGCAGTATCTACATCTTCTGGGACCATTACACTTAATGAGGACTAAAATTACAAGTAAAAGTCTAAAAACAAATGAAAAACTAGGAGATAGAAATATAAATACACACACATACGATCTATCTCATATCACAGCCAAAGGGCTAATCTCGAATATATAAAGAGCTCCTTGAAACCAACAATGAAAAGACTAATAATCAAATAGAAAACAGGCATGAGATCAGGCACGGTGGCTCACACCTGTAATCTCAGCACTTTGGGAGGCCAAGGTGGGTGGATCACCTAAGGTTGGGAGTTCAAGACCAGCCTGGCCAACATGGTGAAACTTCATATCTACTAAAAATACAAAAATTAGCCAGGCATGGTGGTGGGTGCCTGTAATCCCAGCTTCTCGGGAGACTGAGACAGGAGAATCACTTGAATCCGGGAGGCAGAGGTTGCTGTGAGCCAAGATCACGCTACTACACTCCAGCCTGGTCATACTTAAACAGACAAACAAACAAATAAATAAAACAAACCATAATCCCAGCACTTTGGAAGGCCAAGGTGGGAGGATTGCTTGAGGCCAGGTGTTTGAGATCAGCCTGGGAAACATAGGGAGACCTCCTTTCTACAAAAAAATGTAAAAATTAGCTAGGGATGGCTGCACATGCCTGTAGTCCTAGCTACTTGAGAGGGTGAGGTGGGAGGATCACTTGAGCCCAAGAGTTTGAAGCTGCTGTAAGCTATGATAGTGTCACTGCACTCCAGCCTGGGTAACAGAGTGAGACTCTCACTAAAAAATATAAAATAAAAATAAATAAAATTAGCCAGGCGTGGTGGCAGGCACCTGTAATCCCAGCTACTCAGGAGGCTGAGGCAGAGAATTGCTTGAACCCTGGAGACGGAGGTTGCAGTGAGCCAAGATCACGCCACTGCACTCCAGCCTGGGCAACAGAGCAAGACTCCGTCTCAAAAAAAAAAAAAAATGACCCTTAAGCAGATTAAAAGATGTTCTAACTCATAATAAGGAAAATGCAAATTAAACCACAGAGATAATATTTCTTCCCTAACACATTGGCTGTGGAGGGAGACACTATTCTATATTGTTGAGATGAGTGCAAACTTGACACTTTCTATATCAAATCTGGCACTCTCTACCAAAGTTACAATTTTAAGGATTTATTCACTGTGGATATATCAGTGCACAAAACTTACAAAAGTCCTTGCCCTTGGGAAGCTTTCATTCTATTGAAGGGAGAAAGACAAATAATAAGCATAATAATAGTATATTAGAATGTGGTAAAGTGCTCTGCAAAACAGAACAGAACACAGTACAGGAGATTGGGAGTAATGGGGGAGTAGGTGCAATTTTATTTTTATTCATTCATTCATTCATTCATTGAGACAGTTATTATTTATTTATTTATTTATTGAGACAGTGTCTTGGTCTGTCGCACAGGCTGGAGTGCAGTGACGCAATCTCAGCTCACTGCAACCTCCACCTACCGGGTTCAAGCGATTCTCCTGCCTCAGCCTCCCGAGTAGCTGGGACTACAGGCACCCGCCACCATGCCCAGCTACTTTTTGTGTTTTTAGTGGAGATGGGGTTTCATCATGTTGGCCAGGCTGGTCTCGAACTCCTGACCTCAGATGGTCCACCCACCTCGGCCTCCCAAGGTGCTGGGATTACAGGCATGAGCCACCGCACTTGGCCAGGTGCAATTTTAAATAGGATCCTAAGGTGGGCATAAATGAGGTGGGCTTCATTTAGAAGATGTTATTTGAGCAAAGACTGGAATGAGGTAAGGGAGTAAGCAGTAAGTATATCTTTGGTAACAGCATTTTAGGCAGAGAAAACAGCAATTGCAAATATCCTGTTCCCTGTGGTAAGAAGGTATCTGACATTTAATCTGAGAGAAATGATGAAGCATTAAAGGGTTCAAAGCAGAGGAACAAAATGATCTAATTTATTTGAATAGACTCAAACTGACCACATGCTGAGAATTAATGATAGAAAAACAAGAGTAAACGCAGAAAGACTAGTTGGGAGACTAATGAGCAATGACACTGGAGGCTGGCACTAGAAGTGGTACCTGAGTAGAAGATTCTAGATATATACTGAAGGTGAAGCCAATAGGATTTCCTGATAGAATGAATGTAAAGCATAAAACAAATGTGAAATCAACGATGACTCCAAAGATTTTGGCCTGAGCAAATGAGAAAAGTTATAGGTGGAGCTGATTTGGGGTGGTGAAGATCAAGAGTCAATTTGCGAGGGGTCAAGTTTGCAATATCTATCAGTCATCCATGTGAGTGAATGGATAGCTGTTAGATAAACCCACTGACCCAGCATACCCACTCCTAGAAATCTGTCCTACACATTTGCCTGCACATGTACAAATTCATATAATTCAAGATCCTATACTACTTTATCACTGTAATAGTAAATTACGATAAGTATATTACTATTTACTTCTAGAAGTACTTCTTGAAGTACAGCCTGTTTATTTCACTCCTCTTCTCACAAAACTACAGGGGTACCTCATTGCTTTCAGAATGTAGCCCAAATTCCTTTATCAAGCGATGCAGATTCTAATACCAACTTCCCTTTCAAAACTTCACCCAATACACTGTCCAAAATTAAGAGTTCATGTTCTCTACCCAAGCACCACATTGGCGCATCCCTGTGCCTTTGGCAAGTCACTTTGTTCCTCTGCCTGGAATTCCTGTCCTCCACACCTCCACACAGGGACATCCTACCTGTTGTGCACATCCTGGATCAAGGGCCACCTCCTCTACACAGCTGTTTATGATCCTCCCATCTGGAAGGATAAATCCTCTCTCTAGCTTCTCATACTATGTCTGTTACCTCTGTGCCTCTTTCACAATGTGTGTTACGTACCTGAAATGTCTTTCCTTACCTCTCCTTAATAACTATATCCATAAATTATTCAATTTCTTATACCCTTAAGAATCTAGTAGGTTTTATATTTAACAGACATTCAAGAAAATGTTATGAACAAATGCAGGAATTTTTTTTTTTTTTTTTTTTGAGACAGAGTCTCACTGTATCGCCCAGGCTGCAGTGCAGTGATGCGATCTCGGCTCACTGCAACCTCTGCCTCCCAGGTTGAAGCAGTTTTCTTGCCTCAGCCTCCCAAGTAGCTGGGATTTATAGGCACATACCACCATGCTCAGCTAATTTTTGTATTTTTAGTAGAGACAGGGTTTGACCATGTTGGCCAGGCTGGTCTTGAACTCCCGAGCTCAGGTGATCTGCCCACCTCAGCCTCCCAAAGTGCTGGGATTACAGGCGTGAGCCACTGCACCCAGCGAAATGCATGAATTTTATATAGAGAAAAACTCCCACTTCTAATATGATGCTCTAAAAATGAAACTCTACAAACATGCAAGGGCCTCAAGATTCCCCTGGGTTCCCTGATTGATTGAAAAATGCAAAAGCTCTACCACTCCTCTCATAAATACCTTACTTTCTCCTCCCCCCAACTCTCTCCCACAGTGAGATCATTGTACTTGCAGCTCTAATTCTCAGATCTGGAAAAATGTATTTCCTGAATAAATGCTGGACATTTCAGGGGAGGGCAGTTTGTCCACCAAGAAGGAGCTAGAACTGGAGAAAGGAGGTTACATATATCAAGATTTCTTAGATGACACAACTTACCAAGAAAAGGACTTGACATGTTCCTGAATCATGATCCAGGTCTGGCCAAAGTCATCTGACTTCCACAGCTGCAAAGACAAGTGGTCATGATGCAAGAGGCATGTATAATACAACCTGAATGGCATCACCATCAAACACCCGCTGAAATCCCACCTTCCATGACACGCTGTCTGTGAAGGCAGGCACTGAGACTGCCAAAGCCAGCTCAGTTGCTCCAAAAGCAAACAAGGGCAAGAAAGGAAAGACAACTGTGTACCTATGTGTTCTCTCAATAGCAACTGGAAGGAAAAATGAGTAGGACTTGCCTTCCATTTATGGATTACCAAAAATTATATTTCACTCAAGACTAGCCTCTAGGTAATGGTAAAAACCAAAGGATGATTATACTCAGCACTTTTCAACGAAGAAACAGTGTCCTTAAAAACCTTTCACAGATAGCAGCATTATTCACAACAGCTAAAATGTGGAAGCAATCCAAGTGTCCATGAGGGATAAGCAAATAAGCAAAATGTGGTCTATGCATACAATGGAATATTATTCAGCCTTAAAAAGAAAAAAATTGACACATGCTACAATATGGATTAATCTTAAGGACATTCTGCTAAGTGAAATAAGTCCATCACAAAGTGACAAATAGTATTAATTCCACTTAGGAGGTACCTAGAGTAGGCAAAAGCATAGAGACAGAAAGTAGAATGGTGGTTGCCAGGGGCTGGGGGCAGAGAGGTATTATTTCATGGGTGTAGCGTTTCAGTCTTGCAAGATGAAAAGTGTTCTAGAGATGGATGGTGGTGATGGCTGCAAAACAATATGAATATACTCAATATCACTACACTGCATGCTTAAAAGGGTCAAAACAGCAAATTGTACGTTATGAGTATTTTAACACGCACAAAAAAGAGGAAGAAAACAACAGTAATGGGCCCTGATAATTAAAGATGAATGCAGAGGACACCAGCTAAGTACAGAGCCCCACAGAGAACCAACTGAATACACGGCTGTGGCAATGAGGAATTAACCTGCTGATCTTTGCCAAAGCCCCTCAACTTCCACAGATGGAATCTGAGGGTTCCTCCGGCCCTAGCAACCATGTATTAAGAAGCAGGAGACCCAAAGTAACAATAATTCCCCCTCCGCTGGTAAACTGACCCAGCCCATACTTAGGTTACTCCCTAAGGCAAGCAAAGGTAAACAGATCTGTGTTTTGGTTAAACAACCTGCAAAAAAACGTTCCAAGGTTTCTCTGAGCAAAAACATTCAAGGCTCACTGTAAATCCAATCATACAGGATCTACAAGTTTCACAGATTTTTGCCAAACTAATATCCTTGACTTGGCAAGCTTCAACCTTGAGATATAAGTCTTACTCAGGCTCTTTCCTCATCTCTCAGATTTCCTTCAAACCTGGGTTGAAGGAGGAAAATACACACATTTATATGATACACACGCACGCACTCGAAGGAAGACTATTACTGTTAGTGGTAACTTCAAATAAATGGGAGGCAAAAGCAGTGTTTAAGATGGAGGATGGAGAAAGCAGAACAGAAATTCAACAAAAGGTCCCTGAAGAGCTCAGATTCCAGCTTTCTCCACCTGGCTCTCTCTCTGATTAAATTCCAGAGCCTCGATTTACCCCAAGGGCTAACAAAGGTGCAACTGCATGGAGAAGGGCATGATGTTTAACTCACAGGGCCTGCCAAGTGCTGGGTGCTGATGGCTGGCTGGGCTGCCAACTGAGAGTGCCAGGAGGAGATATTTTTCTTGAGCCCTGGTAAGTGAAATAGTAGCTACAAAGGCTAGGCCCAAGAGAGAAGGAGGGAGAGGCAGGAGGCGAGGTCACTCAAAGGACACACAATCCACACAGGCAGAGGAGAAAACTAGAGGAGCCCCATGCAACTGGGTTCTGAAAGCCCTCTTACCTGCTTGTTGGGGTGGGACCTGTCAAAGCCCAAGAGAAGGTTGGAGGCCTTACTGTGTAGGAGGAGATCAGCTGCCCGAAATGGGATGGAAAAGCCTTGAAGAGTGTTGCAGAAGTCAAACGTGATCCAGAGGTACTGGGCATAAGCGTCTGCAAAGATGTACTGCAAGGGAAAACAGGTAAGTTGAGAGCAGGCCCTGTCCAGAGCTGCCCAACACTCCCCTAAACCATGTGCGAGTCCACACGAGTACACACATGTGCAGGGGCCAGCTGGCACCAACAAGGCACCACAGCCTTACAGGGCTTCCACAATGGCTTTCTCCCCATCTCTTGGCAATAAAAAGACACTGGCATACTCCAAACAAGGCTCAGCGAAAGGAGGCCTGGAGATGGACCGGGATGAAGCTACAAGGTGGGCTTGTTTAACCAGGTAATGAAGTGGGCCTTTCTGTTGTTTCCTTTCAATGAAATTAGCAATTCCCACTCCCTAGTGGGTCACTCAGTCACAACCAGAGGGTAGTTACTGGCATCTGGGACACAGACGCCCTACTTTTCAGATTGGCTAACACAGATGGGATGGTTGAGTCTCCCTGCATCCTCCAAGCAGCTATGGGACATGGCTTTCCAGGAAAAGCACTAAAATCACTTCCATCTAAGAAGATAAGCTTCTCCTTCGTGCTGCTATGCCAGGTGATCGGCAGCTCTGGGGACCAGGCTGCCACTGTGGCTGGCAGGCTCACTCTGGGGCAGAGCAGTAAGTAGCTCTGGTGAGCACGGGCCTCATCCTACTTAGCTTCTGTGTGGATGAGTGAATCTGAACAATTTAGGCTGGATAGTGGCTGCGGCTGAAAGAATTCCCTGGGGAGAAGGATCCAGGCAATTCAACCTAACACATGTGTGCTGCATTCCCACCACGGACCAGACGCTCAGGAGCTGCCACAAAAACCCAAGATGCCTTCCCTCAAGTAGCTCAAAATCTAACATGGGAGACAGACATGTCCAGGGCTAACCATCAGTCAAGAGAAAGTGAGGCTGAATGAGAAGCCATGACCAGAGTCCTATGAGTGCCTCTCCAGGCTGAGAGATGAGAAATGATTCCATGGAAGAGGTGGGCCTCGCAGGGCAGGTGAGACTCCCACAGGGAAAGAATATTCCACGTCTAGGGCAGTGTGGGTTTGGGCACAAAGGGGGAAAAGAGATATAGCATGGGTTTGATGAGAGTCTTGTTTATTTGAGACAAGGTCTCGCTCTGTTGCCCAGGCTGGAGTGCAGTGGCACAATCATGGCTCAGTGCAGCCTTGACCTCCCCGGGCTCAGGAGGTCATCCCACCTCAGCCTCCCAGGTAGTTGGGACTACAGGTGTGTGCCATCACAACCAGCTAAGTTTTTGTATTTTTTGTAGAAACAGAGTCTCACCGCCGGGCGCAGTGGCTCGCGGCTGTAATCCCAGCACTTTGGGAGGCTGAGGCGGGGGGATCACGAGGTCAGGAGATCGAGACCATCCTGGCTAACAGGGTGAAAACCCATCTCTACTAAAAATACGAAAAATTAGCCGGGCATGGTGGTGGGGGCCTGTAATCCCAGCTACTCGGGAGGCTGAGGCAGGAGAATGGCGTGAACCCAGGAGGCGGAGCTTGCAGTGAGCCAAGAGCGTGCCACTACACTCCAGCCTGGGCGACAGAGTGAGACTCCGTCTCAAAAAAAAAAAAAAAAAGAAAGAAAGAAACAGAGTCTCACCATGTTGCCCAGGCTGGTCTCAAACTCCTGAGCTCAAGCCATCAGGCTGCCTCGGCCTCCTAAAGTGGTGGGATTACAGGCATGAGCCACTGCACCCAGTGACAGTCTTGAGGGCCTGAGAGAAATAACCAGAAAACAAGGCTGGGAAGCACAGATGATGTAAGGCCTCGCATGCACACCTGGCAAGACCCGGAGGCCGGTCCCTGCTCCTGGAAGAATGAGGAAGGCTCAGGAGATTATGAATCAGAAACCAGAGCAACAGGGACCTAGTTCTACCCACAGCCAGTCATTGACATCCTAGAAGTCAAGCAATCCTGCAGGATAAGCCCAAGGACACTTTCTCGAATGGACTCCACCTGACCCAGATCAATCTCCAGCTCTGAAACCTTTCAGTGCCACAGCCTCGGTGTGGACCAGCACTTTGCACTTGTCTCATGCTGCTTTCAGATGTGCTCACTCCTTTTCATTTGCACTCTCTCCCCAAATCCAGACCATAAACTTCCCAGGGACATATTTTGTGGATTCGCTCTCTCACGTTTCCTCCCCAGCATCTCAGGTAAATCTCTAAACTCTGCAGAAGCCTCATTAAATCAAACTGGAAAAGGTAGTAAATGTTTTGAAAGCAAAAACTACAATAAAATGCAATGTTATAAAAAACAATTATGATCCTAAGAGGATCATCATAATTTCTGGCATAAAAGTATTCCCCAGAAATAACATAGTCCATCTTCCTGCTCCCAAACCACCTAGGTTATTGGGGAAGGAAGCATCCTCAATTTGAAAAGATTTCCCCAGAAATCTGTTCCATGGCTTCCTGCAGTCTCACATTGGAGAATCCAAAAATCACGCACCCCGTCATAGAATGTATTATTGTCCATGGTAATAGCTAAACGTTTTCAAGAGCACTTCCTATATGCCAGGCACTGAGCTAAAAGTTTGGCATGCCCTATCTCATTCAGGGTTCACAGTGACTCAATGCTTTGGATATTACCGTTATACACTCTTTTAATAATGAGGACACTGAGACTGAGAGTAGTTTACTGCCCAAGGTGACGCAGGACTAGGCAGCATTGACGTCAATATCTGACTGGTTCACATGTTCACATCTCACCCCTTAACAGCTCTTTTAACAAAACGGCAACATTTCCTGAACTTCATTCATAGGTCTTACCTTGTACCATTTAACTCATTTGTGTGCCTTCTCTCCTAATCCACAGCACCCTCTCATTTCACCTCTCCATCCCCAGCCCCTGATCATCTCAAGCCTTGATTCTCCTCTGCTGGCTCCTTGGTCCTCCCCACTCCCTACGCTCATATAACCTCATTCTTCTTCCATCCTTTGCTGCTAACTTTGGCTTATCCTTTCACAAAGCTTCAACCACCGCCCTTAAGAACAAGCATGGGGCCGGGCGGGGTGGCTCATGCCTGTAATCCCACCACTTTGGGAGGCCAAGGTGGGCAGATCACTTCAGGTCAGGGGTTCGAGACCAGCCTGGCCAACATGGCAAAACCCCATCTCTACTAAAAATACAAAAAATTAGCTGGGCATGGTGGTGTGCACCTATAATTCCAGCTACTCAGGAGGCTGAGGTGCAAGAATCGCTTGAACCTGGGAGACAGAGGTTGCAATGAGCCGACATCACACCACTGCACTCCAGCCTGGGTGATGAAGTGAGACCCTGTCTCAAAAACAAAAGAAGAAGCATGGCATGACTTTCAAATCTACAGTCTAACCCTCAATTCTTACAGAGATTCCATTTTTGTTTACCTTCTCACCATCTCCACTTTTGATGGGCCAAGATATTTTACTATACGCAAAACTTGAGTTCTTCAAAACTTTCCCAACAAAACCCAATTCTCCCTCCCCACGTCCCAAGTCTCCTGCCTGCTATGCCTTCTCCCAGCCCCACTACTCACAAGCAGAGATGGGTTTTTACTCCAGTCCTTCCCTTTGGCCCTCACTCTCTATCAGCCACCAAACCTGTTTTGTTTTCCTTTAAAATCTTTCTCAAAATATGTGCCTTCCTTTTTCCTCTCAGTGCTATTGGCATGGCCCACGTCTTCACTAGAGACTAAACAAACTGGAGGCAGGCAATGGGTCTTCTTCATCCTCATGTCTTCCAGGGCCTAAATGAAATACTTAGAGGGTGATACCAGGTTTGATTGAGCAACTTCATGCCTACACTGCCACAATAGTTCCCTTTCTAGACTCTTCCCTAATCTTTCCCTGCTAAAAGGGAAAGTCAAGAATATTGCCAGAAGACACATTTCCCTAAAGGACACTATTCATTTACACCCCTACTCAAATATTCTTTCCTAGCTCTGTTCAGCCCTCAAAGCAGAAGACAATCTCCATCTTCAGACACGGGCCTGTTTGACATTGCACAGCAGCTCAATACAAGCTCTCCACCACCAAAAAGTGAATCTCCTCGCTGTCCTGCACAGAAACCACATTTTGGCACTTTGCAGTCTCTGCTGACGCCCTTCTCCTGCTTGAGGGCTCCTGACAGCTCTCCTCTACTTACTGGGGTCACATGTCCATCCTTGAAGCTCATATCAAATCCTAAGTACCCCATGAAGACTTGGCTTCTATGATCCAACCTCATTTGATTCCCCTAGCTCTATTATTTGTAGGTTACATTCATCACTTGAGCACATGGTACCTCATGCTGTGATACAAAGGGTCAGATATGTACATGTTAGGAAGACACAGTATTTCACCCTGGCTTTTAAGTCTCTGTGCTGCCTGGCTGTCAAGTTTACTGGAGGCCAAACCTACAGACTGACCAAGAGCTGACCTACAAGGTGCTTCCCAAACTATGCAATTTCAGGAGTGCCTTTGTGTACCCCAATCTCTCCAACCCTGTTTGCAGTAACTTAATATTCCAGAGGAGCTTCCTCCTTTGGTTAAAAGCTGTTTCCTCTGAAAATACAAATACCTCTGGAAAGAAAACAAACTAAGCTATAGAATGTATCCACAGTCTATTAGCATAAGTGACTTTCTCCAGTTTCAAGTGGAGAAACCAAGAGTACAATGAGAGGAGGAAGGGCAGAGAAGGCAATGAAGGAACATCCCTCTAGAAGGTGGGAATGAAATTTTACCTAGGACCAACCTCTGCCTGGAAAAAGGCAGGACTGGGTCTTGCTTCTGCTGAGGCTGAGGCTGTGAGGCCTAACTGTACATTCAGTGTCCTTTTTTAAAAAGCCCCAGATATGCAGTGGCGCTGGCCCGTAGTCACAGCTACTTGGAAGGCTGAGACAGAAGGAATACCTGAGCCCAGGAATTTGAGGTTACAGTGAGCTATGATTGTGCCCAGGATGTATGGCAGAGCAAGACCCCTGTCTCTATTTTTTAAAAATTATTAAGTAAGCAAATAACAGCGCCAAACATATTTCAATTCTGTCTGACCAATCTCAGGGGCCCCACAATGTTGGCAGAACTGCCATGTGGCCAGCACTGCACAATGGTTCAGGGCAGCACACAGGAGACCAAGAAGGAAGTGGGACTGCTGGCTAATGCAGAAATAGACCCAAAACTCACATGGGCCCACAAGCACCATCTCCATCACAAGGCAAAGCCTTCGGACTGGAACTGGATGCCGCGCTAGCACCTTCTCTCCCCTTCCACAGGCACTCATGCTCCTAGACATCCACGCTGCCCTTTCCTGACATCTTAACCTTTCCAAGCAGCTGCTAACATTCATTTCGACCATTTCAAATGCTCCTTGGCAGCTCGCATTTTCACCTGGGTGATTTGCCTAGGCAGAGCGCCCTGCTGTTGACAGCAAGGCATCCAGCCTTGTGTGATTTTTCTCAGGAAGTGGTAGGTCTGGTGGGGCAATTTGCCTTCCAGGGGACAAAGGCAAAAGTAACAGAAGCAATCAGCACTGTTAAGAGTCATCATTTCCTTCCTGAGAGTCTGGTGGGGTGGTGAGGAGCAGCCTTCTCTGGGGAATTAGAAACTATCTACAGAGAATGCTGCCCCCACCAACCCACTCAGCCTGTTCCAGGCCTGAGGCCCAACTGTCAACAAATTCTCCAAGAAGGCAGCCTTTTTTCTCCTGACTTCTCCAACCCCACCAACTCCAAAGAATATCCACCCATGAGAATCTAAGACACACCACTCGGAGGTACACAGCACTTGGGATGCAAACATGTCACCCCCATTCCACAGTGCAGCACCTAAACTCCCTTACTGGAATCACCCTCCAGTTTCCCCTTGCTCTTGCCCCAAACACCACGGCCCCTGCTCTGCTCCTTCTCCAGATCCAGTGCTTCCAAAGCCCCAGTCCTCTGCCTGCACTAACCCTCCTCCTTCAAGTCCAAAACATCATCTGTCCTGTCTTCTGACTCTTCAGACTTGTGGCCTTAGCAGTTGTTCACCACAACCCACAACAAGCAGAAAGGAAGTCAGAACCCACCTATAGGCATCTGTGTACTATGGAAGAAGCTGGGGAAGAAGAGATGGAGCCTGCCTATAGGTATCTGTGCACTAGGGGAGGAGCTCGGGAGGAGGAGATGAAGCCTGCCTATAGGTATCTGTGCACTAGGGGAGGAGCTGGGGAGGAGGAGATGAAGCCTGCCTATAGGTATCTGTGTACTAGGGGAGGAGCTGGGGAGGAGGAGATGAAGCCTGCCTATAGGTATCTGTGCACTAGGGGAGGAGCTGGGGAGGAGGAGATGGAGCCTGCCTATAGACATCTGTGCACTAGGGGAGGAGCTGGGGAGGAGGAGATGAAGCCTGCCTATAGGTATCTGTGCACTAGGGGAGGAGCTGGGGAGGAGGAGATGGAACCTGCCTATAGGTATCTGTGCACTAGGGGAGGAGCTGGGGAGATGAAGCCTGCCTATAGGTATCTGTGCACTAGGGGAGGAGCTGGGGAGGAGGAGATGAAGCCTGCCTATAGGTATCTGTGCACTAGGGAAGGAGCTGGGGAGGAGGAGATGAAGCCTGCCTATAGGTATCTGTGCACTAGGGGAGGAGCTGGGGAGGAGGAGATGAAGCCTGCCTATAGGTATCTGTGCACTAGGAGAGGAGCTGGGGAGGAGGAGATGGAGCCTGCCTATAGGTATCTGTGCACTATGGAAGAAGCTGGGGAGGAGGAGATGGAGCTTGCTTATAGGTATCTGTGCACTAGGGGAGGAGCTGGGGAGGAGGAGATGGAGCCTGCCTATAGGTATCTGTGCACTAGGGGAGGAGCTGGGGAGGAGGAGATGGAGCTTGCCTATAGGTATCTGTGCACTAGGAGAGGAGCTGGGGAGGAGGAGATGGAGCCTGCCTATAGGTATCTGTGCACTACGGAAGAAGCTGGGGAAGAAGAGATGGAGTCTGCCTACAGGTATCTGTGTACTAGGGGAGGAGCTGGGGAGGAGGAGATGAAGCCTGCCTATAGGTATCTGTGCACTAGGGGAGGAGCTGGGGAGGAGGAGATGAAGCCTGCCTATAGGTATCTGTGTACTAGGGGAGGAGCTGGGGAGGAGGAGATGGAGCTTGCCTATAGGTATCTGTGCACTAGGGGAGGAGCTGGGGAGGAGGAGATGAAGCCTGCCTATAGGTATCTGTGCACTACGGAAGAAGCTGGGGAAGAAGAGATGGAGCCTGCCTATAGGTATCTGTGCACTAGGGGAGGAGCTGGGGAGGAGGAGATGGAGCTTGCCTATAGGTATCTGTGCACTAGGGGAGGAGCTGGGGAGGAGGAGATGGAGCTTGCCTATAGGTATCTGTGCACTAGGGGAGGAGCTGGGGAGGAGGAGATGGAGCCTGCCTATAGGTATCTGTGCACTAGGGGAGAAGCTGGGGAGGAGGAGATGAAGCCTGCCTATAGGTATCTGTGCACTAGGGGAGGAGCTGGGGAGGAGGAGATGGAGCCTGCCTATAGGTATCTGTGCACCACAGCAGGAGGTGAGGAGGAGGAGATGAAGCTGAAAAGACAGATTCCAGAGGGACAACAAGGCATTTTCGAGGCCACAACCTCCGCAAGAGTGAGCTCTGAGACAATGTGTAAATACAGTAATCATCATCAGCATCAGGTAAGTACAACTTAATAAATTGAGAAATCCAGGTGTTATTAGTTTGCTGCAAAAGAAATTGTGGTTTTTATCATTACTTATGATAATATTTGATTAGTTTTTTTCAAATTTAATTATTTAAATAGACATACTATTATATGTATTTATCATGTAGAACATAATGTTTAAAAACATACATACATTGTTTAATGGTTAAATCTGGCTAATTAACAAATGCTTTCCCTCTCATAGTTATTTTTGTGTGAGAACACAAAATCCACTCTGCATTTCCAAGCATACAACACATCAGCAGGTGTAATTTGATTCTTGAGAGGCGGGGCGCATATGGATCCATCCACAGAAGAGGCAGCTATGAGCTGGACCCTGGTCAGGGCTCCTCACCTCACGGAGGAGCCAAAGGCAAGGCAAGCAGCGGGGCCCACCCCTCTCTGGGAGTCCTGGGGACCACACTGTGCGGTGGGGCAAAGGGGCACAAAGGCTGGCTGACCCGTCTATGGGGCCAATTCCCTCCAACACCTTCTCCTTGCTTTTCATCTCAGGGGGAAAAATTACTCTGTCACCCTGGAGTTAGGTAAGAAAGGGAAGTTTGCTCCTAACTGCCACTCCACTCTGAGATCATCAGGCAGAGCTGATATTTTAACAAGTATGTACCAGTAATGACCATTCCAGTTGTTAAAAAACAACTGCTCTGTACCACCTGGTCAACAGCCGCTGCCCTGAAACCCTTAAGTGGCCCTTCCTAAGCCTACCCCACAACACTTCCCATGGCGTGGTCCCTTCCCCAGGATCTCCCTGAAATTCAGCAACTCAAAAGTTAATGCATGGCCCAGCAGGGGACGTCCAGGACCCAGCCTCCTCCAGACAGGATTTGTTCTGATTGGTCAGTGCCCAAGCCACACCAGTCGCTAAATATTTTGAATGCAGCCCCTGCTAGGAGACCTCAAGCAACCTGAGAAGCCAGGACTAGGGACTGGAAAGAGGACCCTGTAGATCTTGCTTGCTTGTTCCTTTCTGGAGCAGAAAGCTTTTGCTACTAGAATGTTTCTCTTAGTTTTTCTACTAAGGGTCTTTCCGTAGAAGATCTGGCCTGGAAACAAACACGGTAACACAAGAGTGGGGAAGAAAGCAACGAAATACAACTCTCCGAGCTAAGAGCTACCCAACTGGCAGGAAAGCCTTGCCGGCTGCCCGGTTCCTGCCCTCCCGCCTCCACCTCCCTGGGGGCCCAGGGTCAACGCTTCCTCAAATCAAATTGCCTAACTGAAGAAACAAAGCCCCCAGGGCCAGCCAGCTGGGAAAACAAAGCAGGAGGCATAGCAATATCTGCTGCCTTGGTTTTCTTTTCCATATCGGTACAGGTTCAGAGGCCGGGGGACAGAGGGTTGCACCAACACACGCACGCAGGTACCCACGTGCACACAAGCATGCGCACGCACGTGGGTACCCACGTGCACACAAGCATGCGCACGCACGCAGGTACCCACACACGCACGTGGGTACCAATGCATGCACACAGGTATCTGCACACACACACAAGCACACACACAGGTACCCATATGTGCATAAGCACACACACGCAGGTACCCATACGCACACAAGTAACTACACGCACACAAGCACACACACAAAGGTACTCACGCGCACACAAGCATGCACATCCACACAAGTACTCACACGCACACAAGCACACACACAGTTACCCACATGCACACAAGCACACACACACAGGTACCCACACGCACACAGGTACTCACACGCACACAAGCACGTACATGCACACACACGCATACAAGCACGCATAAGCACGCAAGCAGACACACTGATAGTATCCTAGAAAACATGAATTTGATTGCAAGGTTATTCTCAGTGTACCTGGGAAACATTTTTGCCATCTGCAAGTCGGGCAAGGTATTACAAGAGTTGGCTGATTTTCTGTGGTTTAACCTGTCATTGTTTGTCTAGAAATCCTGCCTGACCAGTCCTTGGCCTGCCTGATTGTGCAGAGACCAACCCTGAGAACAGCAGTCTGTCACAAATGCCCAGGTTAGCACAAAAACTCACTAGCCACCAGTCATGCTACAAAGATCACAGAGAGCGCCATCTCCTAGCACCCCCTTAAGTGCGGCAATCTTTCCAAAACCCAGTCCCATGAAGTCGGGACAGGAGGGATGGCCACTTCCTTACCCGCTTGTTGTCCGCAGGGCTGTGGTAGAACTGGGCGATAACAGCTTCACTCCTATTTCCCAAGCCAAAGTTTAACTTGTCTGAAATTTTCTTGAATGATTTTCCATAGTCGTAAGACACGTACACCTGGAATACAGAGAAAAGGAGATGAAAAAGAAAGAGTTGGTGAGAAACTGGCAGAAAGATCTTTCTTTTTTTTTTTTTTTTTTTTGAGACTGAGTTTCACTCTTTTTGCCCGGGCTGCAGTGCCATGGTGCGATCTCAGCTCACTGCAACCTCTGCCTCCCGGGTTCAAGCGATTCTCTTGCCTCAGCCTCCCAAGTAGCTGGGATTACAGGCACCTGCCACCACGCCCAGCTAATTTTTTTTTGTATTTTTAGCAGAGACAGGGTTTCACCATGTTGGCCAGGATGGTCTCAATCTCTTGACCTTGTGATCCGCCTGCCTTGGCCTCCCAAAGTGCTGGGATTACAGGCATGAGCCACCGAGCCCAAGCAGAAAGATCTCTTTCAAACATCCCATCCTGGATCCTGAACGTGGCTCCCATTAGGTGCCTGATAGGAAATGACAGATGTTACCAGATAACACACAAAGGTGAGGCAGGGCACCTCTATGTCTGTCCCCAAGCATGTGGGGGCAGAAAGCATGGGACCCCTGCAGTCCCCACTGCCTGGAATACACAAGCCTCTTTTCTGAGGCCAAGGCAAGTCCCTGGAGCAGGAGACAAATGATAGAAACAGTAATAACCTCCTCACCGGGGCTGAGTTCAGTGTTTAACAAATTACATCCAGAAGGGGGAGAATGTGGCTAGCTGAGGGGAATGGAACGGAGGATTTGTTTTGCCATCTGTTGAATGGTGCCCAAAACGTATCTAATTCTTCATTCTTCTTCTGGGAAGTTCTGTTTGTACAGCATTCCATACAAAAGAGAAGAAAACTCTCATGGGTCTCCACCACGTAGCCCAAGATGGAAATGAAAGATTGCTGAGTGACGTGACAATACTGTGAGATGTACCTACCTGTGAGATGTGAAATAATTAATATAATCACGGGGTTAAAAACAAGCCTGATAGGTGAATATATTAAAATAACTTAGTTATTTTTCAAATGATTCATGGAAAAGGGGATTAGGATGAGCATTAAAGAAAAATGAGGCCAGGAGCAGTGGCTCACGCCTGTAACCCCAACACTTTAGGAGACTGAGGTGAGAGGATGGCTTGAGGCCAGGAGTTTGAGACCAGCCTGGGCAACAGAGTGAGACCCTATATCTACAGAAAATATAAAAATGAGCCTGGCTTGGTGGTTTGAGCCTGTAGTCTCAGTTAGTTGGGAAGCTGAGGTGTGAAGATCACTTAAGCCCAGGAGTTTCCGGCTGCAGTGAGCCATGATCACACCATTGTACTCCAGCCTGGGTGACAGAGCGAGGAAGGAAGGAAGGGAGGGAGGAAGGGAGGAAGGAAGGGAGGGAGGGAGGGAGGGAGGAAGCGTGGGAGGGAGGGAAGGGAAGGGAGGGAGGAGAAGGGAGGGAGAGAGGGAGGAAGGGAGGGAGGGAAGGAAGGGCAGGTGAATTCAAAGTGGAGCAGGGTGTATTCCAATCCTTGCTTGTCTGAGTCATCAGCAAACATGTTTTGAGGGTTCCATGTGAGCCAGGTATTGTCTAGACACCAGACAGACAAAGACTAATAAAAGACATAGTCTTTAGACACGATGGGCATGTAAACATGTAAATGTCTGCAAACAATGCCCTATGTAAACACAAGGTATGTAGAAAGGGAACAGAGAGCACATGCACGTCTTTAATACTTACTAGATGTTAAGGTTAGAAGAGGCCAAGACAGAGCCTCTGCCTTTATCTGAGTCACAGTTGAAGAAGCTATTGGAACACACAGTATGTGTTCCCAACTACCAGATACACAGTAAGGAGCTGCCACAAAAGCAGCTTCAGAAATTGTGCAGGCTGAGAGTTCACAGATAATCTGAGTGGGTAAAATGACGAAGTAGCACTTTCTCACTTCTATTCTGCCGGCCAAGAATGGACATTAGTGTCCCGGTTAGGTTCAAACATCACATGGAGCAAAATAATGGCTTCTCAGGAAGGAAACTAAAGTCCCTTCCAGCTCTGACATCCCATAATTTGATAACCCCCCACGTATATCTTCAGGGGCACAAAGGTGATAGTTTACATTAAGGTAGCATTTTTCAGTATGTAATACTCCTTTACAAACATTCTCTCTCTTCATCTGAAAAACCGGAGTTAGTCTCACCTTTGTCTCTTTCAGTGTACCTGGGGCATAGCAGGTGCTCAACAAAGATTTCTAGGATGAATAAATATCATTATAAACCAAAGAGCAAATAAACAAATGTGATAAATAAATGAATAGAAAAGAATGAATTGAATGAATCAGTGAGTCACTAAGAGATTTCCATTTAAGAGATAAACAAAAACTAAGATTCCCAGAAGTGAATGGCTAGCTCCGGGTCATACCGCTAGTAAGAGACAAAACTATGACAGTTTCCTCCAATTCCACGTCCAGTTGTCTCTCTACTCCAACAAGTTACCTCTAGGAGAATGTTCTCTTCTCCATCTTAACGTTTCTCTGCTAAGTAGGAAGGTCTTATACCAAGTCTACAGGCCAAGCACTGGAAGGAGTGCTGGCCCGCAGAGAGAAAAGACCCACATTAACCAAGTAGAAAGCCTTCCTGAGATTCTCAGCCATGCCGCTGCCATCGTGCACATGGAGGTAAAACCACCTTCACTATCAAAGAGCTCTTCCCTAATTCTCACCTACAAACAAAATCCATCTCTTTGGGTCTTCTACTTAACAGAAGTGAAAAGCAAGTATGTAAGAGTCCGTCCTATGCCTGAAGGCCATCATGAACCACTCATCAACTTTCCTTCCCTTGGCCAGGTTGAAAAATTCCAACATGACATTTTTATCCTACCTTCATAATTGTTATTTCTTTCTCTTTTTTCTGACGAGACAGGCTCTTGCTCTATGACTCAGGCTGGAGCACAGTGGCACAAGCACAGCTCACTGCAGCCTTGACCTCCCGGGGTCAAGCAATCTTCCCAGGTTCAAGCGATCCTCCCACCTCAGCCTCCTGAGTAGCTGGGATTACAGGCAGGCGCCACCATGCCCAGCTAAATTTTTGTATTTTTTTTAGAGATGGGGTTTCCTAGGCTGGTCTCCAACTCCTAAGCTCAAGCAATCTACGCACGTCAGCTTTCCAAAGTGCTAGGATTACAAGCATGAGCCTCCGCACCCAGTCCTTAATTCTTATTTCTACTTAATTAGCATAGACTATAAGCTCCATAGAACAAGGACAATGCTTAAAGCTGGTGCACAGTTATCTATCTTCCCCCACATTGAACAGCCCAGAAAAGGCCTCTGCCAGTGTGCAGTTAGCTCAAGCGGATTGGTGGCTCCACCCCGACTTGCGCTTTCCTTTCTAGCTGTCTTTTCTTCATGGCAGCACCATGCTGCTGACTCACAGTCCAATACCATCTCCAGGTGAATTTGAGAGAACACCCCGGACTCACTCATCTTGTGCTCCTAGTTGGTTTTTCATCCAGACGGGATTTCTGCACTAAATAGTCCCCTCTGACCTCAATATGATGCTACTCCCTAAAAAGCAAAATAGCACAGGGGAGGAGTTACTGAACTGCCCACGGTTTCTGGTTAGATCCTTTTTTACCTACAAAGATGGTCCTTGAAAGTGAGTGATTTTTAATTCTTTCCCTTGTACCTCAAAACTACGTAATAATAAAGAGGAGGGAGAGAAAGGGGAGAAACAGATGACAGCTAAAATGTACAGAAAACATCCCCATATCTGGCACTGTTCTAAGTACTTTACAGCAATGTTCTCAAACTGTAATATGCCCACAGACTGCCCCCTCTCCGCCCCCTACCTGCCCCCTGGCCCCGGCAAGACACTGGTCAAGTGCAGGTTCTGATTCAAGAAGTCCGGATGGGACCTGAGATTCTTTTCTAACCAGCTCCCAGAAAATCCCCAAGGGCTGATCCACAGACCACAACCACACTTTGGGTAGCAAGGTTTAACAAGCACTATGTCAGTGACAGAGGAGGACAAGAGAAGGTACATCACCTGGCCCAAGGTCAGATTGCTAATGAATGGCACATCCGGGATTCCAGCCCAGGTGTTCTGATTTCAGAGCCTGTGCTCAGCCAGACATCGGCCTCCCTCTGTTAGCAAGAACTGACACTGCTCCCCAGTCAGTCCTGAGGGGTACAATCATGATGTCACACTGCTCTAGGGACAAAAGCAGAAAGTCCTATCCTGCACAGTATCTTCCCTGGTTGATTCTTTTCTTTTTTTCTTTTTTTTTTTGAGACAGGGTCTCACTCTGTCACCCAGCCTGGAGTGCAGTGGCACGATCACAACTCACTGCAACCTCCGCCTCCCGGATTCAAGTGATTCTCCTGCCTTGGCCTTCTGAGTAGCTGGGATTACAGGCTTGTGCCACCACGCCTGGCTAATTTTTATATTTTTAGTAGAGACAGGGTTTCACCATGTTGGCCGGGCTGGTCTTGAACTCCTGGCCTCAAATGATCCACCCGCCTCGGCCTTCCGAAGTGCTAGGATTACAGGCATGAGCCACTCCTCACCCAGCCCCTGGTTGATTCTGATCTTCTGGTGGACTGTACCCCTGGACAGCTCTTCAGCCAATTATGTTGCACCTGAGCACTTTGTAAACCTAGTACTTTGTAAAATACATCATGAGAGAGCAGAAACAAAGAGTTAGGAAAAGGTGAGATAAACATCTATTAATTCTTTTGTTGATTTATCACAGGACAGATGAGTCCTGCAGGAGCCGTTCTCTTCATGGAATCACACTGGCTTCAACTTCATCAGTGGATAAATGATTCATTTTTTCCCCGTTTGAGAGCAAGACTTTCTGGATTCCAGCTTCCAGAGCCATCCCTTTTTAGATACTGAATATGCATGACTTTGGCCGCTCACCAACACCCACACAGTTCCTGATTTGTTTAGGTTCTTTCCCTTCTGGACTGCTGATGGGACCTTACAAACCATGCTCAGTCTTCTTTAAAGAGAATTTGGATTGTTATTACCCCAACTACTGCCTCTGAGTCATCATTTCTTTTCACATTAACTTTTTACATCAGGCATCTCACTTGCATCTGCCAATCCTTTAACACAGTTTGTATAGAGAGGAAGGCCATTTCTGCCATCCCTATTTATTAACCCTGGCCATTGCGTTTCCTTCCCATTTAATCTATCTCCTTTTTTTTTTTCTTTTTTGAGACAGAGTTTTCTCTCTTGTTGCTCAGGCTGGAGTGCAATGGCATGATCTCAGCTCATCGCAACCTCCACCTCCCGGGTTCAAGCGATTCTCTTGCCTCAGCCTCCCGAGTAGCTGGAATTACAGGCACCCACCACCACACCCAGCTAATTTTGCATTTTTAGTACAAATGGGGTTTCTCCATGTTGGTCAGGCTGGTCTCAAACTCCCGACCTCAGGTGATCTGCCCACCTCGGCTCTATCTCCCATTTCATTCCACAATAGTGTATCCCACTTCACATGTTCAATGGGCTCTTAGTTAGACACACCCAAATATACAGAGAGAGCAAGAGTTGGGTTTCAATAGACTGGCAATACTTAGGGTGACAAACCACCCTGGTTCACTCAGAATTAAGGGAGGATCCCAGGATGTGGGGCTTTTAGTGCTAAAACCTAGACAAGTTGGTCACCCTAATACCACATCTTCGCACACTGAGTACATGATTGGGCCTTGATTCTCATCAGCCCCGACCTTCCCACTGACATGCTGAGTGACCTCATGCAAGTCTCTTTACACCTCTTGGCTCCTGTTTGTCCAGCAAAACTATAAAACAATGCTTAAGGTCTTTATCTACCTCACAAAAAATGTTGTCTGGATTAAGAGTTTTTTTAAACGCATAAAAATTCCAAGAAGGATTTCTCAACACAGTATAGCACAGTATATATATCTCCTGTGCCCAGGAGGGATATGCCCATGGGCAGGGACTACACACAGGTGTCTATGAAGAGTCTCACAGGGCCAAAGGCATTCTTTTCTATTTTTTGTTTTATTTTTTCTAGAGAGAGGGTCTCACTGTCACTCAGGCTGAAGTACAGTAGCACGAAGATAGGTCACCGCAGCCTTGAACTCCTTGGCTCAAGGGATCCTCCTGCCTTAGCCTGCTGAGTAGCTGGGGCTATGGGAGCAGGCCACCACACCCGGCCACCAAAGGCATTCAGACACAGCTGTCTGTGGTGGCCACAGCTTTTACTTGCAAAACCTGATCATATTTATAAATGGGCCAAAGTCATTGCCCCAAACAAGTCTAGCCCTGCCCCAGAGCACTACACCCAGACTGGCCATCAGTAGCGGTGGTCTCCCACACAGCATGGCTCAGAACCCACCCCGGGCAAAGTCATGCATCCTGACAGCCAGCCCTTCTGTCTTCCCTTCTGTGGCTGCCCTAATTCAACTCCCTGGAAACAGTCCCTGAGACAACTTCCCAACACCTGCTTCTCAACACACCCAACCCAGACAGTGGATATACAGAGAGGGACCTCACAGAGACCAAATCCGCATTCAAGAATTATAAATGTATCCTTAAGGCTAGTGTGAAAGTGCTGGCAAATTCATCAGAAGGTTCCCCCGGCCAGAATGCAGGGTGACCGAAGCTGTAAAGCATGGTGTTCCGTCTGCAGCCTCGCGCTGCCACAGTGTCAGACCCCAGGCTGAGGCAGGGGCTGCTCCTCTCACCCACAAGGAGGAGTCCAGAGCACAGGCCGCAGACCTGGGACCAGCCGTTGGGCGAGCTTTGGCCCTTACATGTGTTTTACCTGGCTCACGCGGTGTCTGTAAAAACTATACACTGGCTGCCAACTTGTAAGACTCAGCAGTTTTCACATGAAACTCCAGACCTCTGGGTTCCTCTGGAAAACCAGAAGATGTGGCAACACTGGGCCCAGCATCCTGCACGGCAACCAGAGCCTGGAGCTGACAGTCAATGCTCCTCGGAAGCATGCTTCTCCCGGTCCCCAAAGGCCCTTCCCCTTCCCCACGTCTCTCCAACACAGGAACCAAGTATCCATTAGTATGTTCAAATTAAGATATGGGAGAATGTTTCTTGAATGTGCATCTCCATCAAAAGTGGAAATGACATATATTGTCCAACAAGGCCACAGACTTCAAGAAAAATGGGAGAAACCATATTTCTCTGAGGAGGTAGAGTGTTGTAATGGCCAGGTGTGGTGGCTCAAGCCTGTAGTCTCAACACTTTGGGAGGCCGAGGCAGGCGGATTGTTTGAGCCCAGGGGTTCGAGACCAGCCTAGGCAACGTGGCAAAACCCCATCTCTACCAAAAAATATATATAAGCACAAAAATTAGCCAGCCATGCTGGTGTGCACCTGTAGTTCCTGCTACTCTGGAGGCTGAGTGGGTGGGAGGATGGCTTGAGCCCAGGAGGCGGAGGTTGCAGTGAGCCAAGATCACACCACTGTACCCCAACCTGGGTAACAGAGCCAGACCCCAACTCAAAAAAAAAATAGAAAAGAGTGTTATAAACTTGAAGGTGGCTTCACTCCTGTCCTTTACCTGCCCGGCCTCCCACAGGCCTTTGAGTTTATAACCCTTGGCATCTTGAGTCTTCAAAGTACCTCACCTACTAAAGATCACAAATACCCAGCTATAGAAATTAAGAATATTAGAGAATCAGTTTCAACAGCTCATCCCACTATAATGGGTTAGAAGAAACCAGCATATGGGAAAGGCCAATTTGATTCCATCGGGCTCAGCTGCAGGCAGGCAGCTCTGCCCAGGAAGGCACTCTGGTATTTTCTTGGGCAGATGCAACAATCCAGTCCATATGCTATTACTTCCCAAAGGTAATCACACATTGCATGGATCTGTTTGCAACACTGACTGCACCTCCCTGTGTTCAGCAAACAAGGGATATATCATTTTCTAGATTATCTTCCCTGTCATACAATTCATCCATTCCATGTTCCAATTACCCACTACTTTTTCCAGTATGATAATCCCAGTGGACCAGAAAAGGGCATGTTGATGGCACCAAGGTGTGCCCAGAGCCAACACAACACTTACATCACTGCTCTTGGGCCTCGCCAATGCCAGGCTATCTCGGGCCAAGGCCACGATCACGTTGCTTTTCTCTCCAGCCCAGTGCACCACCATCTGATTGTGGGAATCATTCAGACTAACCTGAAAGAGATCAATGTAGGAATTAGGACCCACGATAAGTGATGGCCACACACATTCTAAATCAAGACTCTTTCCTCCTTTGTCAAGCAGAAATGATGAAGATTCTGCCATCTAAAGCATTTGGGCCAAGGTGGCCTCTTCCCCTCCCACCTCATGCATATTCTGTCACACTCAACTTCCCCACAAAGAAATGAGTCCCCTGCTATTTTGGATGTAAAGAGATTGTAGAAAAGCTTCTTGGGCTCTCATTGGCATAACCAATTCCTTTGATTATTTTCATCCTTTATGATACCAATCTCTGGTTACTCTGATCCTTACTCTATGTATGACATGCACTGGTAAGATTTTAAACCAAAGCATGGAAACATTGCCCTTGTTCAAAAAAAATTCATAGGCCAGAAAGATCACATGCTTTTCAAACTTCTGTTCCAACTATGTTTTTTCTGGCTTGGTGGTACTGTCATTCACTTTCAGCTGGTAATGAGAAATGAGAGAAGTATCATTGTGAAGCTTTTCAAAATTATTTTTGAAAGGTCTCAAATAAGGAAATATTTTAGTTCTCAGACTTTTAGATTTGGTAAACCGATAAAATAAAAATGAGGAAGGCCAACAGAGGACTGGTTGGCAACTTCTATTCTGCCAAGTAAGGACATCACAAAAACAGGACTAGCTACTCTCTCAATCTCTTTCCTCTGCTTCCTGAGGACACCGCAGACTCTGGTCCAGGCTGTGGGGCAGAAGGTGTGGCCTGGGACTGAGTTCCAGCAGGTGTAATGTGAGAGAAGTCATCAGGGCCACTATCGGCCTGGCCCCCATGCAGTCCTCTTTTCTTTCCCCATCCGCAGGCCGCATTCAGAGGACTCCAAAGCCCCAGAGGAGGGCAGAGCCGAAGACGGAAGGAGGCTGCATCCCCATGGAAAAGACCTCCGCTAACCAGTAGCACTCATCCTGAACTTCTCATAACCCGGAGCCTCAACTCAGCCACACGCTGAGCCTTTGGGATTTGTCTGTTACGCAGCTCACCTTACAGGGCAATATGACCACTATCTAGAGTCATTGTCATTTTTTCAAAGATGTGTTAACACTGAAAACTGAGGAAGCATATCATCTCAGAATAAAGAACCATTGTTTCACTGTATGGAAAACTACATTACTTTTATTTTCTTATTTCACTGTTGGCTGATGGACACCTGTCTGAGGACTGGCATTTGAACACCTGAACCATACATTCCACCCACTCTGTGGAAAGCAAAGTCATGACAGGAATAACAAAAATTCTGAGAGCTGGTCAGGCTCGGTGGCCCACGACTGTAATCCCAGCACTTTGGGAGGCCAAGGCGGGCAGATCACCTGAGGTCAGGAGTTCAAGACCCGCCTGGCCAATACGGTGAAACCCCATCTCTACTAAAAATACAAAAAGTAGCCAGGCATGGTGGCATGCACCTGTAGTCCCAGCTACTCGGGAGGCTGAGGCAGAAGAATCGCTTGAGCTCAGGAGGCAGAGGTTGCAGTGAGCCAAGGTTGAGCTACCACACTCCAATCTGGGCGACAGAGCAAGACTCAGTCTCAAAAAAAAAATTCTGAGAGGTGGTCCAACACTCAGAAGCAGGACAATGCCATGAAACCAGGATCACAGGCTGCCTCTCTTGCTGAGCGATGTCTGAGAGAAGCCTATTCCACCAGCCTCCTCAACCTCAGCTGTCTGAGGCACACGTGGAAGGAAATCAAGCTTCTGGGACTCCAGCCCGCACAGTCCACCCCACCCACGAGTAAGCCTAGACTGATGACAGTTCAAGCCTGGGCCAACCTGCCCTCCGAGCTGTCTTCTCATCAAGGCTCTGCGGCAGAAAACCCACAGCTCCTTTCTCCTTCTCTCGCTTCCTCCCCCCAGCACACTCGAACTTTCCCCACCCACTCCTTGAGGTGCTCTCAGATGTCATCAGGGAAAAGAGAAACACCTGTGCCACATATTTGGCTGGCAGAAGGACAAAGCAGCTAATCCTTAACGACGTTACTTGGAGTTTTAAATACCTGCATTTAATTTGATCCAGGATCAAACTCTTTTTGAAAAACATTTGAAAGGCGACCTTACTTTAAAGAAAAGGACCTAGGAATATGTGTCCTTCCAAAATGTCTCTCCTCATTCCCAGATAGAGAAGTCCAGGCAAGCACTAACAGAGAAGTGCAAATAAGAAATAGAAGTAAATAAATTATTTAATCCAGAATGCTACAAAGAGAAAGCAGCTAAAGGAATCTCCTCCGGTCGCTGAAGCCTTCCCTTTTCCTCCTCTCCAGCCCAATCCCCTGGATCCATCTGGAGATCAGAAACTCACAACACATGTGCCCTGGGAATCCCAGCTAAAAGTTTCCTCCCCTCCCAAAACATCTGCACTCTTGAACCAGAGTGGGGATAGAAAACTATGCAAATGTCAATACAATAAAGGACTAGGAACCTAGAAAAAAAAAATCACCCATGTTCCCCTGGGATCTGGGATAAAAAGTCCTCAAATATTCAACTTGGGCATCCTCAAAGATGACATCAAAATGCTCCCTCTGGCAGGTAACACTCAGATAATGCTTTGAGTAGGTTGCAAAGCTTTCAGTGATCAGAGTGGGCAAAAGGTCTGAAGATAACTTGCTGAAATCGATCTACTCAGAGGACAGGAGACCTCCTCACCAATCCCAAGGCAGGTGAAAGGTGAGAAGAGCACCAAGGGCAAGCCTCAAAACATCCAAGGGCTTTTCTACAAAGAAAAACTCCCATCCTGGCTAACACGGTGAAACCCGGTCTCTACTAAAAATACAAAAAATTAGCCGGGCGTGGTGGCGGGTGCCTGTAGTCCCAGCTACTCGGCAGGCTGAGGCAGGAGAATGGCGTGAACCCGGGAGGCGGAGCTTGCAGTGAGCCAAGATTGTACCACTGCAGTCCAGCCTGGGCAACAGAGCGAGACTCCACCTCAAAAAAAAAAAAAAAAAGAAAAAAAGAAAACCTCTAGAAGGCAAGCCTGGTAAAACACCTGTTTGTTTGTTACTTTGTTTCTTTCTCTTCTTTTTTTTAAGGAAAGCTTTTTTTATTAGATGTCCCTTTTACTCATAAGAGCAGACTGAAAAGGGGCAGCCCAGTAGGGGGATAAAATCCCTGGCAAGAAATGACTTGTACGAGGGCCACCAGGCACTCGCAGGAACAGCTCAGCTCCTTTGCTTGGCGAGATGTCAGGCACATCCTGGTCATAAGAATAACTCCCTGGTGAGTCACAGCTGATCCCCAAGGCAGCCCGGGTGCCCATCCCCCCACAGCAGACCTAGTTGCAGGAATCAGGAATGGATGCGCGCAGGACAGGGGAGCCAGCAGGCAGGCTGACAGGAAGTAAATTTTATTATCAAGACATGCATTCTACCCTCTGGCCTCACCTGTCTCCTCTGTCTCCACCTTGCCCCCATCCTCACCCCCAGGGGAAAGAAAAGAAGTCAACAAAGCAGGCTTTTCCTGCTAGCTCTCCATGGCATGTGGCCAAGACACCAGCAGCCCAGGGCAGACCCCAGCAATCAAGAACAACCCACAGGTCCCTAGATCCCTTTACTTAATCAGTGGCTTCCGGTTTGTTTGGTTCCTTTTCCATCCATCCCCAAGGATCTCCCCCTGATCTCCCCTTTCCTCCTCCCCAAGCCTTTTTCCATCGCCAATCCCCCACACAGGTCCCACACCCAGAAGACACTGGCCTGGGAGTGGGTGGGAGGGTGGTTTTCCCAGGAACATAACCTTGACGTGCAATCAGCTATAACCACAACCCCGGGGTGTGAACAACCTTCCCTCTCCCCTGTCTAGCTCACAGGGCATAGCTGGAGCTTGATAAATGAGACACAATTAATTGGAGCTGTTAAGGCAGCAGGGAGGGGCCGAGTGCCTCCCCTCAGAAGGCAAACAGAGAAAAATTACATGCCACAGAAACCTCTGAACACAGAAACTGCATCATAAACAACAAACAGCATCTGGCTCATTGGCAGGTCGTTAAGAGTCAAGATAACTCCTCCCACCCCACCCCCCAAAGATCACCTGGCCTAGGGGGGTCCCATGCCCCACTGAAGGTCAGAATCACCTAAGAGGCCCCACTCCACGCCTACCGGCTCTGTCGCCCTCTGCCTGGAGCCCAGGAATCAGTCTTTTTTAAAAGACACACCCAGCCGGGCGTGGTGGTTCATGCCTGTAATCCCAGCACTTTGGGAGGCCAAGGCAGGCAGATCACGAGGTCAGGAGATGGAGACCAACCTGGCTAACACAGTGAAAAACCGTCTCTACTAAAAATACAAAAAATTAGCCAGGCACGGTGGCACGTGCCTGTAGTCCCAGCTACTCGGGAAGCTGAGGCAGGAGAATTGCTTGAATCTGGGAGGCAGAGGTTGCAGTAAGCCAAGATCATGCCACTGCACTCCAGCCTGGGCGACAGAGCGAGACTCCGTCTCAAAAAAAAAAAAAGGAGACACACCCCAACCCCAGGTATTTCTAATGCAGCTTCTTTGGGAAACAATGAATCTAGTTGATTCCCCTGCCTCCTGGCAGGAGTTGGAACTAAATGACGGTAGCTAGAAAGATGTACCATTTTTGGCGGGGGGGCTTGTCTTTGGGGATTTGGGATGGTCATTAAAACTCTAGGATATACTGATGATATATGCTACAATGTGGCTGAACCTCACAAACAATATGCTAAGTGAAAGAAGCCAGATACAAAAGGTCACATATTGCATGATTGCATGACACCATTTATATGAAATGTCCCGAATAGGTAAATCCATAGGGAGAGAAAGCTGATTAGTGGTTACGAGGGGCTGGGAGATTGGAGAGGAGGGAATCACTGCTTAATGGGTAAGGGGTTTTATTTCAGAGCGATGGAAATGTTTTGGAAATCATGGTAGCACAACATTGCGGCGATATTAAGTTCACTGAACTGTTCACTTTAAAATGGCTAATTTTATGTAATGTGAAATATACTCAAATTTTTTTAAGGCCTCTAGGACCTGCAGAGAACATTATATTTCTCAAGTGCTAATCAAGAACCTAGGAGCTTCCACTCTTAAGAAGTGCTCCTTTTATCTCATCTCAAGCCCTCATGCTACCAAAATATGCAGCTAGAATGAGTCATACAGGAGGCAGGCTGTGGACTGGGTCTCTGGCCAAACCAATCCTTCAAAGTGCTGTCAGCGGCATCTGCAGAGCCACAGCATCCGCACAGGCCTCCCTGTCCCCAGCTGGAGAAACAGCCGCAGGCCCAAGGCTAGCATCCACCGCCAGCTCACAACAGTGGATGCCACCCACACCTTGACTCGCCTCGGCATCTTCATCGAACAAGTCCATATCACCCCACAAGTGTTGTCCCTCAGCCCCCTGCGTGCCCTGGCAACCCGGAGAGGTGAAATGATTCACCTCCTATTATTCAGAGTGAGGGGAAGGACCTGCTACCACCCAGTCCTCAAGTTCTGGGTTGTTATAAATAGAGGGGAGGAAGTCAATGGCTTGGATGAAGGGACTGATTACTCATGCGTTCACTTGCGGATGAAGTAGGCACTGAGGTCTGCTAGGTGCCAGGCACCCTGTAGGCTCTTTAATCATTTCTTACCTGTTAGCTCACACAGAGCACTTCTGGGGGAATTAGGGTTGCAAGTCTAAGCCAATGATGAGAAGTTTCCAATAAAACCACCGAAATCTGTATAGTTGTTGAGGCTTATGCAGGAGGTGGGGCCACTGAATAGAATGGGTCACAGGTACCCTCTCTACACCTCTTTCAAATTGGTCAAACCCAAAAATCAGGATGTCCTAGACTCCCACAGCTTGCAGTCCTCACAACTCCTACACAGCCTCCTCCCAAAACGCAGTACAAGGAGGACAAATAAGGCAGTCTGATTCATTTCTCTGCTTCACTAGCAGTGAAATACAAAGAAGCGTTTTTAAAATTCTACAATATAGCATAAAACAAATATCCTGTCCTTCAACTGTGAGGACAGAAGGAGCCAGGCACTCCCCTGAACTATATGACGAAACTGAGGAAGTCAAAGACAGCCTCCTGAGGTCCAAGGAGAACAAGGTTTTCCCAAACCATCCCTTTGCATGGCTTAAATGCTAGGTATGCAAATTGCCTCTCACTGTCCCCTTTCAAGACTGTGTTCTCACTATATTTAGCAGGCTTATTATCCTCCCTGGACTGCTCACCTCAGAAGGAAAGCTGAAATCTAGTTTACGAGCACTCCCGGAAGAGAGGCCCAGTTCATGGAATCTCAGCTCACTCACTTGACTTTTGAGTTTGCTCAAGATGCTTCACCTACAGAACTCCTGAACTACTTTGCTGATGAATTCAGGCTGCCCATTTTCCAGATGAGGAAACAAGGAGAGAATAACCTTGGACTAGAACTTAGCATTCACTACTATCTCCTTCACTGGAGCCATGACCATTCTACAGAGAAAAATACACATATGCCCTTTCCTTTCTCTTTGCTAAAAGGATGATAATCATAATCTCACTGCCTTATAATATCAGTTTAGAGAGCTTATTTCCCTTTCTGATTGATCCTTGGCAGCGAGAACCTATCTACTGTTTACCTCTGTGTGCCACTCTGTCCTGGTGAACCCACTTTGTCAATGAGCGAATATGCTTTGCTGTTTTGGGAGGGGCTCCCTACTAAAAAGAAACTGTGGAAAACTCTCTTTCTCATGAACATAATATCACCCCTTAATTTACCAGTTGGCAAAAAAAAAATGAGGAAAATATCAAAGCCAGAAAGAATCTCAGAGAACAATTAAATGAAATGCCACCTTTTGCAAATGAGATTAAGCTCAGAGACAGACTTTAAGGCAATGTGGTGGTTCTCACTGCCTGAAAACACACGGCCATGTGCAGGAAACACAGTCAGAGTGAGCACAGCAAATACCCCCTCAAGAGAGCGCACCCCAAGCCAGGACTTGCCCTACGTGAGGATTTCCCTGTGAGCCCAAAGTCATTTCTCACAGCTCTTCAGGATGGTTCCAGACCACAGACTTGCCCTCTGCAGCTTCACCATGAATAGCCCCTCACCGCGTTCAGTCAATAAGTATTTATCAAGCACTAACTATATACCAGATGCTATACTAGGTGTTAGTAAAATGGCAGACTCACATCTGCAATCCCAGCACTTTGGGAGGCCAAGGCGGGTGGATCCCTCGAGCCCAGGAGTTCAAGACCAGCCTAGACAACATGACACAACCCCATCTCTACAAAAAATACAAAAACTAGACGGGCCTGGTGGCGCATGCCTGTAGTCCCAGCTACTAGGGAGTCTGAGGTGGGAGGATCGCTTGTGCCCAAGAGATCGAGGCCGCAGTGAGCTATGATCATGCCACTGCACTCCAGCCTGGGCGACAGAGCTAGACCCTGTCTCAAAAAATAAAAAAGAAAGAAAAATAACACGATTCTAGGTCCTGCCTCATAGCTCTGAATATAGTAGGGAAAACACGCATTAAACAACTAATTCCAGGAATGATGATTGAATTACTGTTGTTACACAGGGGACCTAACCTCATATCGGGGAGAGAGTGAGGCTTCACTGAAGACCTGACCTATGTACTGACACCATAAGGATGAAGAGGGAGGAGTTAGGGAAAAGGGGATGGAAAAGTGAGGCAGAGAACATGGACCCAGACCTAAGGCAGGGCAGAGCAGAAGCCAGGAAGGAGAAGGGCCTTGAGACTTGCTGTGTTTGAAAAATTACAAGATCAGTGTGGCCAGGAGAAAGTGGAATTATGTGAGATCTCCAGGTTTTAAAGGTGGAGAAAAAAAAGTACTGCAAAAAAGCTGTGGATCCCTGCTTGAGATCAAAAATTTCACTAGATTACTTAGGATAGACAAATATGCCTGCATAAATCTGAAACAAGTTAGCGGGTTGGTTTGAGTCTTGTTCTCTCCGGTTTACCACCTGTCTAACTACGGGTAAGTCACTTCACCTTTTCAAGCTTCAAGATACTCATCTCTGAAATGAGATGAATAATCATTCTTATCTTCCCCATTTTTCAAGATTGTCGTAAGAATCAAATGAGATGCAGCCTGTGGATGTCATTTCATAAACTTCGACGCACTAAAACATCATTTCTTTTCATTACCAAATGCCTCTCAACCAAAATAAGCCATTCCTCACAAAACGGCTCCACATAGAACATTAACATTAGCGAAAGGCCTAAGAGCAAGCGATGACATATATAAAATGACAAAACACTGCACGCCTGAGTCAAGCTAGGAGCTCCTGCCTAACTGAAACTCACAGGCAGTTTTCTCCTTGATTCCCAGCCGAACTCTGAAACCTGGGGAAACCCAACCTCCAGGTCCCAAGGCTCCAGCCCAGAGGCGACACTGTTTTCTAGCACTTTCCTAACTCCAAGAGAAAAGCATGTAAACATTACATCCCAGAACCGAAGGCCTCTATACCCTACCAGTGGCTTCTTCACCACCCTGTGAGGGCAGCTATAAACAAGACTAATGGAGAAGGGGGAGTGCATTAAACCCATGGCTTGGCCAATTTCTCAGTAATAGGAGATGCCCTCTGGGCTACCAGGAGGTGAGGCAACAGGCGGACGTCCCACAGGCTCTGGTCTGCTAGCTAAACTCCCCCAGCTCTGTTTAGATAGCTCTTTCACCTCTAACCAACTTTCCACATCCACTGCTTCATTTTTCTCCTCTAGAGATTGAAGGCCTTGTTTCTGCAGTAACCGTCCCCCTCCAGCCCACCCATCACCACCACCACCAACAGCACACCTTGCCAAATTCAGCAAACCATGTGCACAGTTAACTGCAGATTTTTTTTTTTTTTAACCACTCAGTGAGAGAATTTCAGGGAACTAAATGTACACAGATGAGGTAAGTCATAGGTACAGAGTCTCAGGTTACTCAATTAATTGAGCACAGGTTCAAAGCATGCAAGTCCTTCCAAACACTTCTGGTTTCACAGGACACTCACCCCACTCTGCTCTGTCCCCACTCCCTGCCATCTCGGGCTCCTTGGCTGAGATCCTTGGGCAGATCAGCACTGGCCTTTCTCCCCAGGTCCCTGGGGCAGAGACAGGTGGAACTGTCTCGCATGTGTCTCCTGGGCTAATAGAGAAATGGGGTCCTTAACTATCTGGGACCTTAACCCTATAGCTTGCTATCTCACAGGTACCTATTAAAGTCTTCCCAGCCACAGTCCCCAAGCTAGCCTTTCTCCACAGGTGGCTCTTAACCCAGGGCCCTCCAGGCTCAACCAGATCATACCAGCCTTTCCAATGCCTCTGGGCACAGAGTTAAAAATTTCACCAAGGCCAGGCACGGTGGCTCACACCTGTAATCCCAGCATTTTGGGAGGCCAAGGTGGGTGAATCACGAGGTCAGGAGTTCGAGACCAGCCTGGCCAATATGGTGAAACCTCATCTCTACTAAAAATACAAAACAATTAGCCGGGCGTGGTGGTGCGCACCTGTAATCCCAGCTACTCAGGAGGCTGAGGCACAAGAATCGCCTGAACCTGGGAGGCAGAGGTTGCAGTGAGCCGAGATAGAGCCACTGCACTCCAGCTGGGTGACGGAGCGAGACTCTGTCTCAAAAAAAAAAAAAAAAAAAATTCATCATGACACTACACCTCAGCTCACCAGCCCCCCAAAGTCAGAAGGAAATCATCTCAGTATCCCTAAAATATTAAAATCCCAACTGAGGGCCCACCCATTGATTCACCCCCACATTTATTTCATGTAAGATTCACCCTAGTCATCTTCCCCCAGGGTTTCTACTCAACAGGCTAGTCTCTCTTCTAAATAATAGAGGTCACATCAGTTACCTTCTTCATTTAAAAAACCCCCAGAAAGGGGGGGAGATAATAAACAACATATTGGTCTCTACACGGCACAAATGCATTTGATATAGGTACATCTTTTTATTGTCCTTGTCAGCCACTCAGATTTGGGATATAATCACATCAGCCTGCCTTTCTGAGAATTCGTAGCTGTGTTTTGAATCTAATTCAGGGGACTGGAGATAAATCATTGTGAAGGGTCCTGATTTTCCAAGCTAAGAGCCTGCAGCAGCAGCAACAGCAATGGCAAGCTAAGTTAAAAGGTCAGCCAAGAAGTGGGGGAGGTTTATATGCAAAGATGAAGACCACACGCCTGTAGTGTTTGTCTTCATGCCAATCTGGAGGGTTGAAGGGAAGAAAGACAGACCCAGCTACATCAAGGTAAGTCAACAAAAGCACAGGAAGCAAAGGGCAGGGCAGGGAGATGGCCCCACTGTTAAGGCACTGTTTACATCTTTCATTGCTAAACAGAACGTGCAGGGTCTGCGCTCCACCTTAGCAAAGCCCGATACAAGTGCAGTGTTTGCGCAAGGCCAGATGAGAAGTGAAGCCACAGAGATCTGGTTCACCCTATGAATAGCCAGCCTTCATTGACTAAGTGACTGACAGAAGGAGGCAACTGTGCAGAGGCATGCCCTAGAGCCAACCACCGGACCCACTTGGCCCTCCACGGTCCCCCTGGTGAGTTCCTACCTAGGAAAGAAGGACCACTGTCTCCTGACACTCAACTTGGCAGTCAGCAGCCACCAATACCTAGGGTCTAGACCCAAGCCCTCCACTCTTGCTTTTATTGCCCTGTTTGCCCTGCCTACACGAGCAGGTCTTTGCAGGAACTTCTCTCTTGGGTGAAGCAGAGGTTGCCTACAGGTGGGAAGAAGAGGCCTTGTCAAAGCTTGTGCTGTCTACACAGTAGCCAAGAGCCACATGTGGCTATTTCAACTTTAAATTCGTTAAAATTAAATGAAAGACACTTCAAGTCTTCAGTCACACTTGCCACATTTCACCTGCTCAATGGCCAGATCTGACTAGTGAACATGGTGAACAGCACAGATAGAAAACATCACTATCACAGAAAGATCTATTGAACAGTGCCACATCGGAGGGTCCAGGACGCGGCCAGGAAGATAGGATCTTCCAGCTCTTGGCTAGTAGCAGTGCTATGGGCATGGATGTTACCATTATAATAAACAGTTACCCAGTGGATAACAGAACTTTGTAATTATTTTTTAACACACTAGTGTACTTGTGATCGTTACGCAGTCCTATTTTTACGGAACCCACCATAAAATGCACAAAGCATTGGTCATGTTACAGTTAAAAAAAACTGAGCATCTCACAATAACACAGGAGGAAACTCAAATCTTGATCTTGCTCAGCAGCCCACCCTGCCTTTTCTGGATTTTAGCTTCATCAGCCACTTCAGCGCTTGAAGGCCGCCCATGCCACTTCTTCGAAGGCCCAGGGTTCACAGGTCGATAAGCCAATAAATTAGGTCGAAATTAACTGTGGCTCATTTTAAATTGAGGGAAATTGATTTTTGCATGTACGTGGCTAGACTGACTATACCATCTGCCAACAGTGTCTGGCATACCTAGAAAATGCATAGGAAAGTCCCATGCTCATCAACAGAGAATGCCTCACCCCCACAGCCCAGACCACCTCTGGAGAAATACTAATCCCTGAATATTCAAACCAAAAATGCAGTGAGCTCTCTTTTACTTTCCATCACATTTATTTAAATCCAAATAAATGGAGGAAAGGTCAATGTAATGCCCCCAGGTTTTAATACATTTTTATTCATTTAAAACATTTAATACATTTTTATCAACTCTCAATTATCTGCATCTGAATTATTGTCGCAAATTCTAAACTCCAAACTGCCTTTCCCTGAATACATTTAGGCCAGCCATTTCCCTTATCAATAGATCAAAGAATGCAAACTCATTTTAATATTCACCTGAGCAAAACTTAATTAGGAAGGTAAACGAATGCTTTAAAAAAAAGACTACATAAATACATAGCAAAAGCAAATCGATTATTTTTTGGATTACCTGCTCTCCAGATTATGATAAGACTGCCCCCTGTGTCCCTCCATTACAGTGGGTGGAACAAAGCTGGCTCCAACTATCTCTGCCCTGGGATTCAACAATGACACTATGAAGATGGCTGTCATCTCTAAGGAGGAACAGACCAAAATCTGACAATGAAATGTTCCTACAACATCCACCTTTTGCCTTGGGATGTTCGTTGCTATAAGGATCTGCCTCGTGGATCCCAAGTCTCAAAGCAATTTATTAAGCATACCATTAACTTCATTTTACAGAACATAGAGAAAACATTCTCAGACAGAACACAAATTAAAACCAAGATCCATGATCACTGTATTCTGATGCTCTTACAAGCCTGGACTCCACATCTCAAGGGAACTGTGCTCCAGCATCTCTCCAAGTTACAAGGGGGCTACATCAGGCTGCTCTCCTGCTCTGCAAGAACGCTTGAAGTGAAAGGAGAATGAGGTTTTTCTCACCTGGCCTGGAAAAAAAGTAATCATCTATTTTATATTATGATACTTCAGGTAATTTTCTAACAATTCACCATCATAATATCACAAATATAATTTAGAGCTAAAGTTAATCTCATTATTCAGGATACCAGGGACTACAGGTAACAGGAAGCCATTTATAATTCAAGTTTCCAATTTTATGTACATACATGTTGTACATGCATAGACTGTTTCTGGAAAGATATACAAAAATATTGATAACAACGGATGCCACCCGGAAAGGAGCTCTGGGTGAACAGGGGGCATGAGAGGGAAGGAAATTTGTTACCACATACGCTTTTGTACAAATTTTGTTTTGTAAACGTGCATTACCTAATCAGACAGCTTTTTATTTCATCCCTCCAAATTCCGCCTCCTTACTCTTCTCACCAACCCCTTTCCTCCATTCCTTCCCCCTCGCAAAGCCTCCACCTTCTGTGCCTCTAACCATGCAAGCTATTTATGAACTAAAAGCGGCCAGAGACTGGGCACAGAGCTCCCTAAGAAAAGACGCCAAGTGGAACCAGGAAGAGCTTTTCAAGGTCACGTCCCTTATTGAGCCAACCCAAGGCCCCGAGCAACTCTTCAGCTACATAAAAGCCAACCTGAAGCAGCACATTCTTTGCCTTCTCATCTTATTCTGGAAGCACACAGGTCAAACATCCTAACTTCAGAATCAACCAGCCAATTCTTTCCCAAGCAAGTGTATCATGGAAGAATCTACTCAAAAGAGATCTAAAGCTGAACGGTATTCCACCCCCAAAGGAGGCCTTTTGTCCCAGGGCCTTGTGCTGTAATAGACACTTTATTTTCAGTCTCAAATCAGGACACTGAATACTCCCTGGCTTCTAAAATGTAGGAATTATGAAGAGAGAGCTTGTTGGAAGGAAAATAAACCTGTAAATCCTGTTAGGCTTTGTGCTTTATTCCAAAGGATTTTTCCCCAAAACAATACCATTAGCATAAACCAGAATGATAGCCCTAAAAGGGAGGATTCTGTAAAATAGAATCCAAGCTCTTCATTGAAAATAACTCCCATATAGCACAGGCAAATCAGGGCTCCACTATCTGTAGGCCATGCCGCTTGCATCCTCACTACCGAATGAGCCATCTCATTTTCACTATCCATGTGTGGGTTCACTGTATTCCTCCTTACAAATACATTTTATATAATGTGAATGTGCTTCCTACCCTCTGGGCCTCTCTTCTTCCAGGTGTGTGGCTGGTCCACAAATACTCATTAAGGGCCTCCCAAGTGCCAGGGAAACACAAGAGAACTTGATCCATGCCCTCAAGGAGCAAACAGGAAGATGAGACAGTTGAGCAATTCTAACACAAGGCAGTAAGTGCTGCCTCCAAGCTCAGAAGAAACTCTTCCCACCATAGCCTGAGAATACCAAGAGGTATTCCTTGGATGTTAAAGAATGGAATAAGAGCTTCCCAGGCAAGGACAAGAGTTGGGGAAGATCATTTCAGGCAGAGGAAAAAGCAGGTATGATGGCGCAGACAGACAGAGCTTATGAGAAATCAGGAGGAAATTCAGTGTGGCATGAATTAGGGAATCCCTCTTCTTGGACCTGGCCTTTAAGAAGGGGCTCAACTTCTAAACTTTGCCTTTTTTTTTTTTTTTTTTAGATGGAGTCTCACTCTGTCCCCCAGGCTGGAGTGCAATGGCGCGATCTCGGCTCACTGCAACCTCCGCCTCCGGGGTTCAAGCGATTCTCCTGCCTCAGCCTCTTGAGTAGCCAGGACTACAGGCATCTGCCACCACGCCCAGTGAATTTTTGTAGTTTTAGTAGAGACGGGGTTTCCCCATGTGGACCAGGCTGGTTTCGAACTCCTGACCTCAAGTGATCCACCCGCCTCGGCCTCCCACAGTGCTGGGATTACAGGCGTGAGCCTTGAACATGGGCAGAAAAGTCCTGATATCTGCCAGCAAATTATTTTCACCCCTACAATCACATTTCAGTATCATAAATGTGCCTTTAAGTAATCATGGCAGAAGCCGGTCTCCCCACCTTAGAGAAACTGAGGAGGAAAATGGTCAAAATAACCAAGCCTAGTTTACCCAAGACATTAGCGAAGCAGAGGAAAAAGGACCGACATTGACTCCAGCACAGGGCTCTTTCTCAGATGCAAGTATTCCCCTAGAAAGCCTTCCCTTCTCTTCTCCCTGAAGGTGGTGGCCTTAACATCGCCTCTAGGCCTGCTTCCTTCAGGCAGCTTCTGCTTCCAGCCCTAACCTGTGCTGCCAGTGTCCTCTTAACCTCACTCAAAGGTCAGAGGGCAAGAAGCTGGACAGTGTCTGAGCCCACCACCCCTTATCTCTCCATCTCCCATGCGCTGCATGTCACACAGCCCGTTATCACACCATTGTAGAGTTGTGGCTGGTTTCTTGTGACCATGTTTCCTGGTTCCCATCCTGGTACATTGACATGCCTGTATCTGCATCTGCTTGCTCTCCTCCTTAAATTGTAAATTTCCTAAAAGCAGGAATGAAATTTTATTCCCCAGCTCACTGCACCTCCATAGAACCACACTCAAGTCAAGCAGTACTGTTGGAAAACATCACCATTCCTTAGGTTTAAACGTTGAAGGGGAAAGTCGTGATTACAAAGTGGAACTTGGCTTAAGGCTAAAAGTAGGACCATATAATTTATTGTCACATCTTGACACTTTTGAGAGTGAAGGGGGTGCTATTCATAACCACCAGAGACAACTTAGAAACCAGGTCTGCCCCAGGGAAACACAGAGGCAATGGTCATCCTTGCTAGAAAGATCATTCCAAATAGATGTTAGTTACTCCAGAGTTCCAAGAGGGGCACCTCAAACCCCTTCAGTCACCAACCTGTGCTTGCATTCTGAAGGGTCTGCACCAGATAGAACTTGTGGCAGAAAGCCCAGTACAGGGAAGTTCTTCCTTTTATCTGACTCAAATCCTTACAGATTCAAATTAATTCCACTTCTTATTAACCTCAGAGCAAGAGGCAACAATGGCATAGGAAGGCAGCCACAGAGAAGAAAAATCTCACCCTTGTACCCTCACCCTCCGGTTAGGAATTCCTCATTATGAGTTTGACTGCTAGTTCTCCATCCTTCAGCTGAACCAAACTCAATCTGGCTGGCCCAGAAACTCAAAAGCCCAGGGTTTGGGAGTCACTCCCAGTGAGAACAGAGTTCATGTCCAACCTGCCCCACATCCCCTGGAGCTTTTCATAAACCAAACCCAAGAAAGAAATGGCACATGTACACATATTTTTGAAACCAGAAAACTTTTTCCTCAACCTAAACTATAGCTTCAGGGGACCTGAGCACTGGGAGGGATTGTCTCCCACCAGCCCCCAACTCCCAGTTCCCAGAATGCTGATTCAAGAGCACAGCAGAGCTGGGCTGACTGCGGAGGCCCAATGAAGAAGTGGGCCACTCCTCCTCCTTCTCCCACCCTCCATCAGCCCCATGCTGGTGTCGCTGTTAAGAGCAAGGACCTTGATGACTTCTTTTTGTTCATACACATATTTGTCATATGGGGTGGGGACAGGGGGACAAGGATCTGGGCCCAAGAGGAACTGAGCATGCAGGTTCCTGCAGCCTGTGGCCACCATTAGTTACATGCCCTGGGGCACACATTCTTGCCCAGGGACCAATAGTGGAGGGAAATCCAACGCTCCCACCCAGTCACCACCATCCTTTCCCCCTTTATACCAGATCTATTTTATTTTAGAAAGGAGGTATTTCAGCAGCATTGCATAAAGACAGGGTGACTGCAGTCAAGCAAAGGTCACTGAGACAATGCAGACAAAAACTAGAGAGCAGGCCACCTTCCCGGTATGACCTTGGACTAGTCACTTCACCATTCCACGCTTCAGTTTCTTCACCAACAAAATGACACAATAGGGTGATATGTTTACAAGGTTCGTCCTGGATCCAAGGGTTGAACATTTAACTCTGTATTTCCTGAAGAAATGGCTAAAGTGAAATTAGTGAGAAAAGGCAGAACTCAGGGTAATCTTTTATTAATAATTTCTACTTCAAAAGGAACAATTTGACTCTAGAAAACAAGTGTATTTACCCCCTCCTCTGGTCCTACTTTTTCTCCCCCACCGACCTTATACTTTTGCTGATGTCAATCTTAACTGCAGGACTGGGAGTCTCATGAGGCAATAACACGGTCAAATTAATTTTGCCAGTGCTGATCCTAACCTACAAACTCCATCTGCAATTCCTCGCAGTAAGTCTGACCATAAAAGTGAAATTCACGTTACTTATGATCTAATAAACCTATTGCCTGGGTAGAAATAAATCACTTATAGAATAATAATGCCCACCAAATTTCCTGCAGTCCTTTCAAATCTCCAAGTGCCATGAGGGGTATTCCTCTCCAAAATAAAGTTATCTTGACGGGGGTGGGAGAGTCAGCATCTTGAAGGGTGGGGAAGAAGGAATGGAGAGCATCTCACACGCTCGCCAAAAATTAAAAATTAAAAATTCAGCCTTTACACACGCACACACATACACACACCTCTTGTCTGACTGTACAGAGATAGTCGACAAGCTTTCAGGTTTGCCCACTTTTATTGTGCTAATAATGCTAAGTGTGGAAACCCCCACCTCGTGCTGTTCTGTGTAAGTGTACCGCAACTGCAGGGTGCTCGCCTCCACTGCCAACTGATGATACACTAAAGAAAGCCCGTTTTTTATCCAGATGTAAAATGAAGCTGCACCCCTCCTATACCTGCCGGAAACTACATCTCTCTGCACACACCCTGGGGTAATACGCACTGCACCCGGCGAGTTACCTGGAATACGTTTACTAAATCGACAGGAAGAAGGAAAGATCAATGCGATTCAAGTGCTGACGGTTGTACTCGTGAAGGAAAAAAACAAATGCAAGCCGGGAAGTCCCCAGTGGTGCCTGCACCTAGGAGGCGACTGCAACGGATGGATGCGGGGGTGAGGAAGTGCAGGGAGAGGAAAAAACTGGAGGGAGGCGGGTTGCAAAACTGCTCACCTGTCCGTACACCTTGATGGGCTCGGGCTGCAGGGCAGCGCTCCGTTTCCTCCGGAGCGGCTTCTCGTCCGCGCGGCTCGCCCCCCTGGCATCCCCGCGCGCCCACAGCCGCAGCTCGCGCGGGTCGCCCTGCACCACGAGGAAGCCCCGGTCCTGGGGCAAGGGCGCGCTGCCGCCGTGCAGCCTCTGCGTCCAGACTTCGCAGAGAGCTCCGGGCGGCAGCAGTGCGACCAGGGTGAATAGGAACGGGAGTCGCGACTCCCTCCTGCTGCTCCGTGTCGCCATGTTCGGGCGAACGCTACTGCAGGTGGCGCCGCCGCCAGGAGAGAATGTGCAGCGCGAGGCCAGGAGAGCCGCTGGGCCGGGACCGCGCGCGCCGCTCCCGGGGCTCCAGGCCGCCCGCGCCGCTCCGGGCCGCCCCGCTGCGCCCGCCGCCGCTGCCGCCAGGTCCCGCTCGGTTCGGCGCGGCGCCGTCACGTGTGAGGCTCGCAGCGCGTCCCTTTCGCGCACTTTCTGCGCTCGGCGGCCTCGGCGGCGACTCCGGCCCCTCCCTGGCGCGGGGATGGGGAAGTTAAGGCAGCGAGCGCCGGTGGGGGTGCGTCCCTTCCCTGGCGGGCACACCTCCTTGTTCTCCCTGCAGGAATGAAGAGTTGCATGGGGCTCGCTCGTTTTCTCTGGAGTTAGTTGCGTCCTATACAGGGTCGTGTCGAGGTCGTCCTAAACCGTGGCCACTTTCCTGAGTGCACAGCCCGCAGTAGCGCCACAAGACCACCTCCCCCCGGCCCCGGCCTCATCCCCACCTCCAGGGAAGAGTCCAGAGCCACAGAATTAGCTCCTAGAACGCAACCAACAAGAGTCCAGATGAACCCGCTCTATTGGGAAACTCACAGTTTTTCATCTACTCTGGGCACCACAACGTATTTGCAGGGGCCACAGCAAAAACTACCCTTGATCAAGCTACGTGCCCCAGCCTGAAGCACAGCAAATAAACATCCTGCACAGAGGCAGTAAAAACAAGGGTACATCTGACAAAGAATGCACCACACCTGGACAATTATTACACAGCTATACAGGGTGTGCTTGCACGCACGCATGAATACCTGTGCGTGGCACAGGGCCCCAGCGGCGGCTTGCTTATGATCCCTCCAAGGTGACCAAGCACTGAGCCACCCTGCCTCAGCAGTAAAATAGACATATTTACCAGTCCCTTCAACCCACAGCCAGGAGCTAGGCAAACACCCACAGAGGAGGGAGGACACACTTTAACCCTACATTCAGCTTGACGAGCCAAACTCTCTGAACCACAGGAGATAAAACTTCTGCCATGGAACTGCTAAGGTACGCCCAAGGAAAATATTTTTTTTGCAGGTTAGTGGGAGCAGCCAAAGTCTATGTACTACTGCAACCTTTCCTATTTCATTTTATGTTTCACTGCCCTCTGAACTCAGATCCTGGTTTTTGATAAGAATAAAGACACAGCAAGCAGGGCTGAAAGGGAGACTACCTTTATAGTTGCATACAAGCTGCTGTTCAGGGGAAGGAAGGGATGGTCAGTTCAATTTTCTAAAAACATTCCTCATCTCCGACAAGCCACGGTAGCCCGATTCCTACCCCGGCCCACTCTAGTACTTTTCAGGTAGCTTAGCAAAGCCCCCTCCTCTACCTAGGACTACCACTGACAACCTGCCAGAGTCAGGCCAGCTTGCCTCATCTCCCTGAAGCCAGTATTCAACCACCCTACCCTACCCCATGCCAGACTTGCTGGGGACCTCTGCCTCAGGTTCTGCACTCTCCCACCTCCTCCCACACCCGATTTTCTCCCCAAGTCAGATGATGTCTTTCTGTCCATCTCAACATAATTACAGAACCATCCAGTTCTCCCCACCAAGCAAATCATGCATTCTCTATGTTAACCACCCTGCTTTGTTCATTATACATTGTATACAGGTATCAAAATACCACACTTTCCCCAGTGTGGTATTATTGGGGTGCCTTCATCCTGCACCCCAACTTTGATGTTATTTCAGAGGGATTGAGGAAGTGGTAGCTTGTTTACAACCCAGAGCTGGTTTTGAAGCTGAGAGGAACGCCTTGCTCATATTGTGCAATTCAGCTCTAACTCATATATATAACATATATATTTATTATATACTTATATATGTCAATTAAAAATAATAATTCAAACAATCATGCATCCTCCAAGAAAGCCACTGAACCACTGTCACCTCCCACCCCTCATCTAGATCAGCTCTGTCTGGTCAGCATCACCTTACCAGGAATGGACAACCCCATGGTCTCTCAGGACCAGCAGCAAAGATATCTCTACTCCCATTTAGCCCTCAAAGGAAAATGAAGGGAATATGGCTAAAGTGAGAACATCCTGTAGATGATTCAATTATTGGGGTTTTTCCAACATATATTTAATGAGAACCTTCTCTGCAAGAGCAAGTGTCAGAGTCCCAGCAGAAAACAGAGACAGGAGTCTCCTAAGTGTGGATTTGAAGATGGGCATCTGTTTGCCCACACAAACTGCTGGCTTAAGGTTCAGATGGCCCCTTGCACAGAAGGACTAGTAGGGCAGGGCCAGCTACTTGCTCATTTTGATGTTGATTTGCAACTTGAATGCTAGAGAATTGGTAAGAATATTCAAACATGGTTAATTAACTCCTTGCAAGCCCTCCTATCTAATCATTATCTACATTCCAAACCATTCTCAGGTAGATAATCAGCAACCCCCCAAGACTGTGCCTGCTGCACAACTACAGAACGCAGTGGAAGACACGCTGAATTCTGAGTCAGAAGGTTGACTTTCTAGCTGTGGGGACTTGGCCAAACCTCCTCAGAGCTTCAGTTTTCTCATCTGTAAAATAGAGATCTTAATCCCTACCAATCTCACAGGACTGCTGAGAGTATCAGATGAGGTAAGTATATAAAATAGCTGTGCAAATTTGTGTGAAGGCCTCCAGAGAGAAATAGTGCATGCAGGTGGCATTAGAAACATAGATTCTAGTCCTGGCTTTGCAACCAAATTATTATGTAATTTTTTGTCTTGATCATCTTGTCTCTTACGATTTCTTCATAAGTTAAATGAAAAGACACCTTTCAGCCCTGACCACTCCCAAACCTTCAGGACCCCCACTGGGTTGTGAGATAGGAGCAGCCACAGGCAAGGTCACCCAGGACAGGAGTTAGAGCTGAATCGTGCAATATGAGTGAGGTGTTCCTCTCAGCTTCAAAACCAGCTCTGGGTTGTAAACAAGCTACCACTTCCTCTATCCCTCTGAAGTAACATCAAAGTTGGGGTGCAGGATGGAAGACAGTACCATATCCCCCTCTGTCCCATCTTGCATGGCCTTGCTCGGATGCTGCCCAGCATCATGACGAAAATCAACATGCACGGAAATGTAATGATAGACTCACAGCTGTGTATAAAACAGTCTTAAGCCTGTTGTCAGACTTTAAACTGCCCTCCTCTGTCCTACTGCCCATCTTAGGCCACTGGAGATGGAGGTAGAGGACAAACACACAGAGGTCACAGTGTCCTACATTTTTATCCAGGTGGAGTCATGTTTAAAATAGCAGCAAGGACAGCCACGAAGAGGAAAAAACTCCCCAAAGCCTAATTTGACTTCTTTCTGTTCTTTCTCTTCCTGTGGCCTTCTCACATGCTCACCTCCTGGCTGGCCAACTTCTATTCAGCCTTCAGGTTTCAGAGCAGCCTCCTTAGGCACCTAGGCTAGGTTACAGCCCTCACTCTAAGGCTCTAGTCCCCTGTAGCCTTTGATACTTCCTCTCTGGTCACTTGCTTAATCTCCATCTTCCTCTTAATCTACAAGCAGCAGAATGACAAAACCAGTCTATCTCATTCAAGTCTAGACGCCCAGTGCCCAGCATACTCTTGGCACATGGTGGCACTCAATGATATTTATAGGATGCATGCATTTAAATGAAGGTGAGAAGTGACACCACCTTTGTCCTGGTGGCAATGGTTGGTTAAGGGGCCAATGTAGTTGAATCTCAGATCTTTTCTTACCACCATCTGCTTCCCACCTCGTTTTCTCCCCCAAAGCAGGCCTCTCTGAGTCACGCAACCAGACCAGAGTCATTAAAGCAGAAAAGGGACTTCCCTGCCCTTAGGATGGTAAACATTGTTCCCTCTTCCATGTTACTTTGGCCAAATAACTACCATTGACCTCACCAGCTCAGGCAAAATAGAAATACCCGCCTGCCCCCAAAGAAATAACTCCTTCTCCTGCTGTTGCCAAAATCTACTTCAGTTAGGAAAGCGTCCAAGATAATTGATGAGGTTTAAAATACAAATGCACCCAGAGCATAGAATAAGTAACTTATATTCTCACTCTTGATTAAATTAAATCCAAAGAGGAGTTTCTGGAAATAGCAGTAAGTTATTTTGCATAGCAGTGATTTACATTTGCATAACATTATAACAGCATTATCTATCTCATTCCATCGCACAGCAACCCTTTGAAGTGGGCCAAAGCGAGAATTATTGTCACCCCCATTTTACAGACCTTAAGCATTGAAATTCAGAAAGGAAGACTATTTGCTTTGCCTAAAGTTAAACAGGCTTGCTAACTTACTGTTAGTAAGGGATAAATTTGAACCCAGGCTCCCTTTTTCTGCCACATCTGATACCTCTCTTAGGAAGAGAAGAGCTGGTATTTCAAGTCCTGGGTATAGTGGAACAGCGGGAATTAGGGCAGAAAGAAGGAAAGGGAGTGGCTGTAGGCCTCACCTCCTTCACAACTCAGCCCTGCCTTAACCAGCACTGTCTCCCTTCCTAGGTACCTAGCCTAGGTGAGATGCTGTATCTGCTTGACCCTCACGCCCTGATTGGGACAAGTTAGCAGTAATGTTACAGTTACAAAGCTCACAAGTCCAGTCCTGTTTTCTATACTTTTCTAGGAGATGAATTTAGCGAGGGATTTGGTTTCCAATGTGTTTCAAAACCTGTGAGAGAGCGCAAGTTTTAGAAGGTCCCTCAGACAGGCACAGTGACTTATGCCCTTAATCCCAGCACTTACAGAGGCCAAGGCGGGAGGATCGTTTGAACCCAGGAGTTCAAGACCAGCCTGGGCAATGTGTCGAAACCCCACCTCTACAAAAAATACAAAAATGAGCCAGGCATGGTAGCACATGCCAGTAGTCCCAGCTACTTAGGAGGCTGAGTGGGGAGGATCGCTTGAGCCCAGGAGGTCAGGGCTGCAGTGAGCTGAGATCGCACCACTGCACTCCAGCCTGGGTGACAGAGAGAGACCCTGTCTCAAAAAAAAAAAAAAAAAAAGCCCTCAAGTTTTGGTTCCACTGTTTACCCTTGTCTGGCCTTCATCCCTGCGTAACTCAACTTCCTGAACTTCTAGATCAAGAAAGCATTTAGACCTTTCTCACAAAGTGTGTGAAGCGGGAACCTAGAAGTTTCTTATAATTATGTAGACCCAAGGACAAACCTCCTGACATAAGACAATGGGTTGCTGAGGGTCCCTAGGAAATTACCTCTTTCCCTGGGAATATAGAGGAGTAGGACTCCCCCTCCTGGGTTTGAAGTGAATGAGAGGAACTTAAGCTGAAGATTATTTGAATATCCCCGTGTAATTACATATCAAGGCTTGTATCTTCTTCCCTTGAGGCCTTTGCTGTACATTCACTGGGGATGCATGCGTTAGGCACAGACGAGCCTGGGGATGTGACCAATCAGCTTGGACACAGCACAGTTGAAATGTGATGCTTTGTTTCAGCAGATGCCTCTGCACTCTCTTAGGGCCAGCAAGACAGGGAAAGCAGACAGTCAGACTAGCTTTTTGGCCCACGTCTCCTGGATACTTTCCTTTTTTTTTTTTTTTTCTTCTCTTAAGACAGAGTTTCTGTCACCCAGGCTGGAGTGCAGTAGTGCAATCTCAGCTCACTGCAACCTCCACCCCCTGAGTTCAAATGATTCTCCTGCCTCAGCCTCCCGAGTAGCTGGGATTATAGGCATGTGTCATCACACCTGGCTAATTTTTGTATTTTTAGTAGAGACGGGGTTTCACCATGTTGCCCAGGCTGGTCTCGAACTCCCGTCCTCAGGTGATCTGCCCACCTCAGCTTCCCAAAGTGCTGGGATTACAGGCATGAGCCACCATGCCTGGCCTTCTCCTGGATACAGTCTAACAGAAACCTAGGATCCCCCAGACCCCTTTTCCAGTCAGAACAGATTGAGATGCTCTCCCCTCTGGCCTTGTTTATTCATTAACTAAAAGGCCACTTCTTGACCTCTTCCTGGATTTCCCCCAACTACCCCTAGAGGCCCTGAAACTTGCTTTAGGCCTCTTTTGAGATGTTGATCATGTTCTGCCTTCCATTAGAACAACGATTTTGGTACTTATCTCCTTTTCTAAATTGTAATGATGTCTTGGAGTCTATTCCCCTGTCTTGTACTTAACAGAGACAGAGTAGATCCTACAGAATTGAAGTAAAAGTGAAGGGAGTGGTGAGAGAGAATTACCCCCACCCCCGCTCCTCACACCCTTCGGCAGTTGGTTCTGGAAGGAGGAACAATTTTGAATCAATGCTCTGGGGAGACTGAATTTTTCATTCTAGTTTTCACTGCAAAGAATGGCAGAGAGGCCTCTGAGGGCCTGTCAGCACCAGGGCAGCCAGCCTGAGCAAGAAGGGGGTCCTTTCCCTGCAACATATTTTTATGCATGTCCTAGTCATCATCTGCCCAATAATAGGTTCAAATGCCTATAAAGGACACAGCCACTAACTGCAAGGAACTTGAGAAAGAGAAGAAAGATAAACATGAAACTAGCAGAAATATGTAAATACAAAAAGAATTCTGTCTTGGGGGGAAAAAAGATGAGTACTGGCTTTGGGGAGGGTGATAGGCAAACTCTCTGGAGAATAAGACGTTATGAGCTGTGGTTTCAGGTGTGTGTGTGGAAGTTGGAACGGGACAAGCAGAGAAGGCTAAAGTGCTCTGGTTCCGGGAGGAAGCAGGAAGTTATTTTCAGCGTCTGAGGAGAAGGAGGAAAGGTTTCAGGGTAGAGTGGCGGCAAGGTAGGGTGTGGGAACAGGTAGGTGGGGTGGTGCCTGCTATGGGAGGCTGGGAAGGCCAATGGAGAGAGACACCAAAGGAGAGCTGTGGGGACAGCAGAAGCTGGGGTGGAGCGCCCAGCTCGTCCCTTTCAGCACTGTGGTGCAGGGATCCGTGGAGGCCGTGCAGCCAGGGGTTCTGAGAAGTGCTTCTTCCAGCACCTGTTTCACCAGGGCCACAACACGTGTTCCAAATGCCACTTTTGCCCATCTCCTGCTACAGCTCAGGAGAAGTGGGAGGACCTGTGTATCATGCATATAATCTCCCAGAGGGTGCGACAGATCACGCCCCTCACTGTGCGCCTTCTCTAAATCCATCACCCTGGAAATTTTACGTGGTGTCATCAGCTGAATTAACACCTGTTAAAATCATCATTCCCACCAGACTCAAAACTGCAAGTGCTTTTAATGAGGCTCCACATAAAATAATACATTTTCTCAGAGCCCTTAAATTACATTAAATCCTCCACACCAAATAAATTATTGAAACTGCGATTAGAGTTTGGATCATACCAACAGACCTGCTCGGAGGCAAATTTTCAAACTGCCCAACCACCTAAGCAAAGAGGTGAGTGAAAAATTCTTCGTTTTCAATGGTTATTTCAACAGAAGCTTCAGTGCTAAATTAGCAGTGAATTTTGTGTATGAATTTTCTTTGAAATCTAACATTATGTAAATGAAAAACCCAACACAGCACAAATTAAGACTATTCTTAATTCTAAAAGGCTGCTATTCTGTGATAATGACGCCATGGAATACTTACAGTCTGCCAACCATGGAGTGTGGTTCCTGCTCCCCCATCTGTCTTGGATGCCTCCCAGCAGGGGGACACCCACCGTGTCCTCATTTCTTTATCCTGCCCACTGAAGTCAGATCCTGTCCACCCTTCCACCCCTCTTCCACCTCATAATTTAATCTTGCCCAGATCATTTAATCACCTAAAATGGAACCAGAGATTGAAATGCGCTTAACCTGCATCCATGTGCAGTGTAAAGTACTAGAGGCGTGACGTCAGAAGCCCACTCACCTGGGTTTATATCCGGCTCTGCCAGAGACCCGCTGGATCTGCTCAGGTACTTTCTCAGAGCCTAAGTTTCTTCATCCGTAAGTAAATATGAATTACCTACATCTGCAGGTTTAAAGGATTAATTGAGATTTTACATGTCAATGGTTTAGAAAGTGAACGCCTGGCACATAAAACTTGTTTAGCTAATGATGCCTATTATTATTGAGCAAAGCTCGGGTTAGGTATTGTTGGTAAATCAATTTGGCCATTCAGCAATTGTTGGGTTTTTATTCAGGTTTGTACATGTCCCTTCAACCTCACTACCAGGTGATATGTTGCTATAAAAACTGAGATTAGTTTTTATAAATTAAACCAGGTTTCTCTCTCTCTTTCTCTCTGACACACAGACACACACACACACACCCACGCGCACACACACACACACATTTCTTAGCAAGCAGGCTAGAGGCCATCACACATCCTGTACCAGAAGGCTCAGGGCACCCCTAAAACCCTTACAGGAGAACCTAGACCCCAAACAGATGGAGCAGTGTTCTGAGGCCAGGATCCACCAAACTCCTGGTCAAATCAGGGAACAGTTTCCCTTTAAGTGGAGAGACAAAAGACCAGATGAATTCAACAGCTCTGGAGGAGGAATCAGCCTGCTGGGTCTGCTGGATTCTTACATCTTGTCCAAGCAAGCCCACTCCAGCTATGTTTCTTGAGCAGCGCTAATTTCACCAATGAAAAATAATAACTAATATTCCTTATGCTAATTTATACACCTTCTGATTCAAATGTACATGATGTTCTCAGCGCAGCTCCCTGAAAAGCTTGAATTCCTGACCAGGATGCTTCAAGTGCCAATCACACTTAGAGCATGGATTTCTGATGAAGTCCCTTCAAACGTGAGCTGTACACCCCTAGCATGGATTAAAGTTAATTTATACACATATACATGACTCTGTTTATATTGAAGTATTTAAAATCTACTACAGACAATATAGCAACTATGAATAAGGAAAAGCTTCCAGCATCAATGGAACAGGAGAGTGGTATAAAACCATGGCTTTTCCTTCAGTGGGAATATTCATGCCTTAGGTTCTTGTCTGTTTGACATGGCATTGTGAGAATTTATTTTAGATATGCCACTGTAGACAGCCAGATTTTACTGTGTTTGTTTGGCCAGCAACCTGGGGCAGTCATTTGTCCTAATCGGGAATTCATGCCTCAAGGGTGGTCAGCTAGCACTAGAAAGTCCAACGCTAGCTCCAGGGTAGCTCTAAATCTCAATCAATACAAGTGATTTTTTACTAATTAGCATAACGAATGTTGAGAATGAATTTTCATTAGTAGCTTGTTAGTTAGATTAATAAGTATTAGAAACGGGCTGTCATTAGTAAAGTCAGAAGTATTCAAGACATATGGCTTATCAAAAATGTTTTATAGACACTCTTTTCCATCCCACGTCTTCATGTCCTCTAGCCTCAGAGATGCCAATTGAGTCTTTTTTTTTTTTTTCTTTTGTGAGACAGAGCCTTGGCTGGGCGCGGTGACTCACGCCTGTAATCCCAGCACTTTGGGAGGCCGAGATGGACGGATCACGAGGTCAGGAGATCAAGACCATCCTGGTTAACATGGTGAAACCCCATCTCTACTAAAAATACAAAAAATTAGCCGGGCGTGGTGGTGGGCGCCTGTAGTCCCAGCTACTCGGGAGGCTGAGGCAGGAGAATGGCGTGAACCTGGGAGGCGGAGCTTGCAGTGAGCCGAGATCACGCCACTGCACTCCAGCCTGGGCGACAGAGCAAGACTCCATCTCAAAAAAATAAATAAATAAATAAATAAATAAATAAATAAATAAATAAATAAATAAAAGAGAGAGAGACAGAGCCTCACTCTGTCACCCAGGCTGGAGTACAGTGGCACCATCTCAGCTCACTGCAACCTCCGCCTCCCAGGTTCAAGTGATTCTCCTGCCTCAGCCTCCTGAGTAGCTGGGACCACAGGTGCGTGCCACCACGCCCAGTTAATTTTTGTATTTTTAGTAGAGAAGGGGTTTCACCATGTTGCCCAGGCTGGGCCCGAACTCCTGACCTCAAACAGTCCACCCACCTCGGCTTTCCAAAGTTCTGGGATTACAAATGTGAGCCACTTCGCCCAGCCCCAATTGAGTCTTAATCCCTAGCTCTTCCTGTGTCCTTGGGTTTAAGGATTCTAGTTGCTCGTTACCAACCATAAGTTTAACTGAATGGCGACTCTGGAATGTCGCATCTGCATCTAGTAAAGCACATTCAAGTAAGGTGCAATGAAAGCACCTCAAAGAGCTGAGAGACTTCCTATGCCTTGTTGCTAATAAATATTTACTTAATAAACATCTGCCTGTATAGCAGAATCTGGTGCAAGGTTTGCTATCATTAAAATCTGGCAGTGAGGTTGTGGAGGATTAACTAAAGCTTACATGCTCCAACTTGGCAGCTACTCTGTCTATCAAAAATAACTAATGATTGGGCATGAATAAACTTATCTAGGTCAATTGCAATATATTACTAAGTGCTCCTGTTGGAAAACTAGGGTAAGAGTAGGGGTAGTGGCACACGGGTTTTTAGGATCAGTGGATTAGTTGGGATAAAACTTTAGCTGCATGCCACAGAGACCCAAAATAATGGTGGCTTACACAAGACAAAAGTGTGTTTCTCCCACACATTAGCTGGTGTCTCTGCTGTAGCTCCATGCAGCTGTCGGGAGTTCAGGCTCCTTCTGTCTCATTGCTGTGCCATCCCAGGGTGCCTCCTTTGTCTGTATGATCCACAATGGCTCACCAGAACATCCTCAAGCCACCCAGTGGGAAGGAGAAAGGGCACAAGCCAGTGCATACACATCACTTCTGCTCACATCCCATTTGCCAGAACTTAGTCTCATAGTCACACCTACCTGCAAGGGATGCTGGGAAATAGAGGCCTTATTCTTTTTTTTTTTTTTTTTTTTGAGACAGAGTCTCGCTCTGTCACCCAGGCTGGAGTGCAGTGGTGGAATCTTGGCTCACTGCAAGCTCCGCATCCCAGGTTCTCACCATTCTCCTGCCTCAGCCTCCCGAGTAGCTGGGACTGCAGGCGCCCACCACCACGCCCAGCTAATTTTTTTTTTTTTTGTATTTTTAGTACAGATGGGGTTTCACCGTGTTAGCCAGGATGGTTTCAATCTCCTGACCTCGTGATCTGCCCGCCTCGGCCTCCCAAAGTGCTGGGATTACAGGCGTGAGCCACAGCGCCTGGCCAATAGAGGCCTTATTCTAAGCATTCATGTACCCACTTACAAATCAAGGGTTCTTTTCCCTTTAGAAGAAGTGGAAAACAATACCAAGAACAACCAATAGTTATTTCCAAAATCAGAAAGTAGTAATGGAGATAATGGGCCTAAAAATTAGTAGGCAAGCTCTGTTCCTGGGACTCGCTTCTAAAACATTGAAATACTTATATCTCCATTGGTAAATAGTTACTTCTGCAACCAGTAGGGGCAGAAAAAGGAGTGATCCCTTTCCTCACCCATCATAAGGGCCACAGCCAACACTCCTATAACAAAAGACAAGTTAGCAAGAGAAAAGCATAACTGTATTTAGTCGTAATTTTATGTGACACAAGAGCCTTCAGAAATCAAGACCCAAAGACCCAGGGAAGACTGTCTACTTTCATGGTTAAGTTTGATGAAGAATGGACAGCTACGTAGAAATGCGACTGGACAAAAGGGTATAATCTAGTGGTAATAGACTGAGAAGGGAACCCCAGCAAGTCTTGTCTGTTCAGATTCTTCTTGACCTCCTTCCTCCTGAGTATGGAAAGGGACCGCTCTTGAATGAAGGTCTTCAAGAAAGAAGTATTAAGGGAGAACATGATCTTTCCAGGCTCATGGCTTGCTTTGGGAGAAAGAAATTCTAGTTTCTGTGACCCACCTTGGGAAAGAGGAATTCTGGTTTCTATGAATCAGGAGAGAAAGAGGGACAAGAGACAGGAGGGCAAGAGAAAGTCAGAGAGAACTTGTTTCTGAGGCTGCTGGTGGGGCTTTCCCATCTTCTTTAGTTCAAAGTCTCAGCATGCCATCCTCTGGCCCTCTGGAGTTCTTTATTTGTTTGTTTATTTATTTATTTAGAGACAGGGTCTCACTCTATCGCCCAGGCTGGAGGGCAGTGGCATGCTCTCGGCTCACCGTAACCTCCGCCTCCGGGGTTCAAGCAATTCTCTTGCCTCAGCCTCCCGTGTAGCTGGAATTACAGGCCATGTAGCATCAGGCCCAGCTAATTCTTATACTTTTAGTAGAGACAGGGTTTCACCATGTTTGCCAGGCTTGTCTCGAACTCCTGACCTCAAGTGATCTACCTGCCTTGGCCTCCCAAAGTGCTGAGATTACAGGCATGAGCCACCATGCCCACCCTGGGGTATCATTTCCTGAGCCCCAGCAAGCTCCTGAGCACTACCAAATCCCATTGTCCCAGGCACCATGCCTCCCCACCCAGAACACTGTGAACTTCCCCCAGAATCCAGTAACTAGAAGATTAATGAATGTCTGGTCCACTAGGGGCCTCCTAGACTCTCATCCAGCCCAATGGCCTGTGTCCATTCTGATTGGCCAAAGCCCTTGTCTTACTGATTTTTAAAAAATTCAAATACAACTTGTGGCAGCAATGTCTGGAAATCATATTTTATGCAAAAGTTGAAGAAATGAGATATTTAACTTAGAATAGAGGAGATTTAGCAGAGGGCCAACTCAGCCATTATCTTTAAACATTTACATTAATACTCACCGTCTTTAAATGTTATTGTAAGTGCCTGTTATGTGCCAGGATTGGATCTGAACTCAGTGCTGTATTTGTGCTCTCTCAGATTCTCAAAGCAATCCTGTATGGTGAGAATTATTTTTATTTTACCGACAAAGCTGCTGAAGATCAGAGACATTGAGTTACTCATAGAAGATATACAGACAGAGCCAAGATTCAAATCCCTTGGGTGTCTGGCTCCAAAGTGGAAATTTTCTCCACGGTGCCAAAGGACTCATAAACAGAATGTACAAAGGACTCTTACAAATCAGTAATAAAAGGACAATCAATGTTTTTAAACAAGCAGAAGACTTCGATAAACACCACATAAAAGAGAATGCATGCATGGCCAATGAGAACATAAAAAAGATGCTCAGCGTTGTTGGTCGTCAGGGAAGTGCAGATTGAAAATGCAATGGGATACCACTACACACCCGCCAGAATGGTTAAAATTTAAAAATTTTAACAGTACCAAATGTTAGAGAGGCTGTGAAGCAGCAGGATGTTTTATGCATGGCCAGCAAAAGTATAAAATGGTAGAGCCATTTGGAAAACTGGCATTTTCTCATAAATATTCACCTATCATGTGATCTAAAAATTCCAAAAGAAATGAAACTATATGTCTACAAAAAAAGTTGGATAAGAATATTCATTGTAGCTTTATTTCTTTTGTTGTTGTTGTTGAAACAGAGTCTCGCTCTGCCGCCCAGGCTGGAGTGCAGTGGAGCCGTCTCAGCTCACTGCAACCTCTGCCTCCCGGGTTCAAGCAATTCTTGTGCCTCAGCCTCCCAGGTAGCTGGGACTACAGGCACGTGCCACCACACCTGGCTAATTTTTGTATTTTTAGTAGAGATGGGGTTTCGCCATATTGGCCAGGCTGCTCTCGAACTCCTGACCTTGTGATCCGCCTGCCTCGGCCTCCCAAAGTGCTGGGATTACAGGCATGAGCCACCGCACCTGGCCATGGCTTTATTTCTAAAAGCCAAACTTTGGAAACAATGCCAATGTCTATCAATAGACTAAAGAGATAAATTGAGATTTTTCATACTGTGAGATATTGCCCCACAATAAAAAGGAGCAAACTATTAATGCATACAACAACGTAGATGAATCTCAACAATATTATGTTAAATGAGAAGCACCAGACACAAAAGAGTACACACAATGAACGACTCCACTTATGTGAAGTCTAGCAACAGGAAAAACTCATCTATGGAAATAGAAATCAGAATAGTCATTGCCTGTGAGAATGTAGAGGGAGGGTGGGCCACAGGAAAGGAGCATGGGAAAATTTTTTGGGTGATGGCAATTTTCACATTTTGATTAAACAATTAAGTTTAATCAAATTATACACTTAAGGTCTGTGCATTTTACCATATGTAATTATGCTTTGAATAAAAATAAATTAAAATAAAGGGATGAAATGAGTTGCTTCTTCCAGTATTATGCTTTGGCACTGGAAGTATTTAAGCTAGACTAATGCTTATCAGAGATATTGTGGACGGTTCAAATTGGGAGTTCTGATTAAGTAATAAAAAACAAGCCCTCAGATTTTAAGACTTCGGTGTGATACTTGATATGTAATGCTGAACTAATCATGTATTTCGGAATAGGCAAAACCTGCGTTCATCTTCTATTTTGGAGAACTCCACGTAGATATGGAAACTTATGTTACCGAAAACTTTCTTGAATCTGTTTATTTTTCTTTTCTGAAATTCTTCCCCTATTTACCATTACCTCTAACTACTTGCCTCCTGAAACGCAAACCTTTAGCCACTCTATGTTCCTGTATCTTAGAACATGTGGTGTTTGCACATTTCCTTTGTTAAACATCCTCCCTACTCCCACTTCCCATCAACTTCTGCCCTTCCTTGAAACTACACAGAAGTCAACTGCACCAGTAAGACTCCCCTATAAGCCCTGTGGCCCACAGTTTTAGTCTATTTTTGAGTCTAGATTACCTGTAGTATAGCAATTATCCCAGGCTAAATGATGCCAAGGTCCCTTCCCGCTCAAAGAGTCTGGCTCTTTGAACAGGGGAATCTGGGCTTGAAGAATGAAGAGAAACAACCAAGCCATCAGCAGTAGCATCTTCATCAGGTTCTGCATGAGGTAGACTGAATGACAGAATATGACCTGGGTCATTTCTGTGAAAACTATATTACTTAGAATTAAGTCAGAAGTTTCAATCCCAGCTGATTAATAAGAGAACCAGTTGAGATTGCCAAACTTGTTCAGACTTGGAGACTTGCCATTTTGGAGCTAGATGAGAAAGAATTCAACTCAGTGGTTGCATAAGAATGGGTCTGTGCAGATGACATGGAACATGGTGGGTTGAAAGAAAATGGGTGAATAAAACCCTAGGCTAAGTGCTGAAGCTAATATTTACTGATCACTCTCATGGAGTCAGATCCTATGCTAAACACTTTGTCCATTCATCTTATTTAATCCTCACTGTGACTCTCTGTACAGAGGCTAAGTAGTGTGCCCAAGGTTTCACAGCTAGTAAGTACTAGAACTGGGTCTCATTTCCAGGTCTATTTGACTGCAAAGTCCATATTCTTGCTCACTAGGCTCTAGTAAGTCCCAGAAAGGAATTGCCAAAATCATTTAGCCCTGTTTCTTGGTTCCAGGTACCTCAGCCACCCCAAACTGGCTAACTCCTTTCCCATTATTTTTAGGATTACTGGGAAGAGAGGTCTGCAGCATTCCTCAGTAACCTGTCTCAGTGCCTCTAATATCTGCAGCAAGAACATTCTTCTTTGTGTTTCATCTGAGTCCTCCCTACTTTTGTTTTATCATTCATAGGTGAGATAAGGCTCCGTTTATACTTATAATTTCAGTGAAAGCAGGAGGCTGCAGAAACCACTGCCGTAAGAACTTTAAATATTCTAGTGCATCTTCTGTTTGTCTGAGAGTTGTCAGGTTCCTCTAGCAGTGCAGTCTGGAGCCATATGAGGGGAGATTAATGAGGGGACATGGGGGGTCAAGAAGCAAATATTCATTAAAGAGATCAGGAAATGGGTTTGTCCTCATTAAGGCATAATCACAGCAGACCATAGAGCATAGTGGAATATGAAGCTGTGGTTTAGCCAAGGAAAATGCAAGGAACAAATCTTATAGACATGGGAAACAGGAGCAGGAAACCTTAGCACTGTTAGGCTGAAGTTGTGTAACAGTCTTCTCCCCGTGGTCATTTTGACTAAATCAACTAAAACCATGTCTAATATATTTAGCACCTATGAGGAACTCATTTCTCCTCCCTCTCCTCTTCTTCTTGTGTGCATGTGACTGGCTTACTGGACAACCTTTATTTCAAAAGCAGTGTTGTGAGAACCCAGAATATGGCTCTTGCTCAAGAGCCTCTCCTCAATCCTGAGTTGTAGCCCAAGACATCACAGATCACTGAGCTGGGGTGTGGGAGGTCCTCAAGCTCTTGTCTTAATGCTGGTAGAGGGCAGAGCTCAGATATGAACACAGGCAGTTGAGCTCCAGAGCCTGTGCCCTTAATCACTTCATTGTTCCTCAGTTGATTTGTGATCGTGATATCCCTAATCCCCTGACAAAAGAGAAGTACCCTTGGAGATCTAGCCAGTGGTTTACAACCACTTGAAAATTTCAAGCAGCAGAACTAGATTTATTACAATTAAAACCTGACATGGAACCTCAATGTATGAAACAGACAAAAGCAGATGTATGGTACTGAGGCTGTGGGGGGCCCAGGGTTTCTAAAGCCCTGCTTGCTTAACTCTGCCAATCCCTAGGGTTCTGCAGAACACACAGTGAGAACTACATCACTCTGTTAGCAACCAAGTAAATTGAAAATTGACATGTAATAGTAAAGTGACATGTTTTTTCTTTTTATCTCTTTGCATTTCTTTCAACCAGATAAGAGAAATGAGACTCAGGACAAGTAGACAGAGCAAAGGGAAAGGGACAGAGCAAAGGGAAAGAGCCAGTGCACAGGGCGTTATCAGAGAGCAGAGCTGAGCAAGGCACTGCAGTGGGGCATCATGGTCAAGGTGAGCCGTATGAGATCACCTGCAAGTACAGGAAAAAGGGACAGGCCATTTGTGCCTAACACCAGCCCCAAGAACTTTTGAAGGAAAGGTAAAGACAGGAAACTGTGAACTGGGCCAACATGTGAACAGCTTTCTGCCCTCTAGCATCCCTTCTTTTTGTCTATGCAACAATCACATGTACTTTGCACAAGCCCAGAAATGGGAACCCGGTTTTCTGTCCTTTGCTTATGTTTGTAACCTTTCCAAGCCTACCTCAGGAAGGATGTCTATTGAGCAGGTGGGTTTGTGAAATTTCCAACAGGAGGAAGCCGTTTGCTACAACAACAGCTCAGAGGGTTCTTCTGCACTCCGCACTTCAGCAGTTGTGCCAGCTGGGTAAGGAAGAACACAAAGGGAACCAAAGCTGTGGGCTGGTGCATTTGAGTCAGAGGCCTCTTTAAATGTAATTGATGGAGAGAGAGATTGAGAGAGGATTATAATAGTCAGGCTGCCCAACTACTTACGTAACCACACTTAGTGAAGACTCCCCAGATCCAGGAGCTGGATTTTAATTTGCCATGCTCAGAAATTCCATTTTACCAAAGCACATGCCCTGATTTGGGCCATTATCAGTTTCCTGGATATTGTCCATTTTCCTTTAAGCCAGTCTTCATCCTTTCTTGCCCTGCCCTGTGCTTCAGGAGACTGGCACTTGGCTTCCAGTTGGCTTTGGCCAATTGGAGGCACTGCGAGGAGATCATAGTGTGGCCAAGAAAGGAGGGCAGGGTAGTTATTCCCCTACTTTCCTGCCTTCCAGGTAGTTATGGGTTAGCTATGTCCCTTTACTGAAGGCCTGCCGCTGTGGGGCCGTTTTCTTCCATCCAGCTGTTCTCTCTGGGTGTCAGTAACTGCCCCTTCCTCTGGTCCCTTCAGGCTCGGGTTGGTAAGAGTTTCCCCCACTCTTAGCCCAGAATACTGCATTATCTCATGTAAGTTTTGCACACTTTATAAATCATAGCTTTTTAAAATTCATGTTAAAATATCCAATTGCATATGCCATCTCAGAACACTTCTGCTATTCAGTCAACATCTGTCAAACTGACAGTATGGAAACGAAGATCAGAATAACTGCCCCCCAAGACTGTGATTTTATCCCATAACTTTATTAGTTTAGATTATTGCAAATAGTTTTTGTTTGTTTGTTTGTTTGTTTTGTTTTTTTATTATTTTTTTTTTTTTGAGTCGGAGTCTCACTCTGTCGTCCAGGCTGGAGTGCAGTGGTGCAATCTTAGCTCACTGCAACTTCCACCTCCTTGGTTCAAGCAATTCTCCCACCTCAGCCTCTCAAGTAGCTGGGACTACAGGCACACACCACCATGCTGGCTGATTTTTGTATTCTTAGTAGAGACGGGATTTTATCATGTTGGCCAGGCTGGTCTCAAACTCCTGAGGTCAAGTGATCTGCTCGCCTCAGCCTCCCAAAGGACTGGGATTACACATGTGAGCCACCACACCTGGCCACAAAGAGAACTTTCCAAAGCTCTTAAATTTGACCTATGTACTATGCTGCCAATTTGAACAAGCTCCCTGCAGATGAACGGTAGTGCCTGGGTAATAACCTTGTTAAATATGTATAGGTGTTAGATAAGCTTACTTTTTCACTCAATTGTGTAAGAACGTAAAACTAAAACTGTATAAAAACAGTAAATTATTAAAAGTGACTAAATATTAATAGGCTATAGTACAGTAATTCAGTGCACAGGCTTTAAGATGAGACAGATAGGGATTCACATCCATTAACCGTGGCCTTTGGAAAGTTACTTCACCTCTCCAGTCTTGGGTTTCTCATCCATAAAATCATCATGATAATTGAGTGCCCACTTCTTAACAGGTGTTGTGAAGATTAAATGAGATTCATAAAGTATGAGTACTGTGGGCATTTGAAAAATACTAGCTATTGTTGTTGCTATTAATTTTAATTTGCAATTCTGTAATGACATGATATTGAGCATCTTTTCACATTCTTATTTGTGCACTGTATATCTTCTTTGGTGAGGCATCTGCTCAGATCTTTTGTCCATTTTGTATTTGGGTTGTTCATTTTCTTATTGTTGCATTTTAAATGTTCTTTTTATTTTTATATGGCAGTTCTTTATCAGATATGTCATTTATAAAAATTTGCTTCCAGTATGTGGCTTGTCTTCCCATTCTCTTGATACCACTGCTATTAGTAAGTTAAAATAATGATATACTTTAAATTATCTCAGAGAGTTGTCATGTGGATTATATGGGTTTATATATATATTTAAATGGAGTTTTGCTCTTGTTGCCCAGGCTGGAGTGCAATGGTGTGATTTTAGCTCACTGCAACCTCTGCCTCCTGGTTTCAAGCGATTCTCCTGCCTCAGCTTCCTGAGTAGCTGGGATTATAGACTCTCGCCACCACGCCGGCTAATTTTTTTTTGTATTTTTAGTAGAGATGGAGTTTCACCATGTTGGCCAGGCTGGTCTCAAACTCCTGACCTCAGGTGATCCACCCGCCTCGGCCTCCCAAAGTGCTGGGCTCACAGGTGAGAGCCACTGCGCCCGGCCTATATAGGTTAATGTTTTTAAAGTACTTAGAACAGTACCTGGCACATAGTTACCAGCTATATGAATGTTAACTAATATACAGATAATAGTTAAGTGTGAATACCTAGAAATAATTTTATTCCTTTCCCCCTATCTTTTAATTATTCTCAGTCACTTTTCAAACTACCTTTGGATTTCTTAAATAGAAATAGACCCTTCTAAATTCTTCCTGAATTTTTTCTTGGAGTCAAAAACCTTCCTAAGCACATGTAAGGTTGTTTTAAGTTCTGATTTTTTCTTTAAGAGATGGGGTCTTGCTTTGCTGCCCAGACTGGAGTACAGTGTGATGATCATAGCTCACTGTAGCCTCCAACTCCTGGGCTAAAGTGAGCCTCCTGCCTCTGCCTCCAGAGTAGCTGGAACTACAGGCACCTGCCCCTACATTCACTGAATTTTTAAATTTTTTGTGGAGATGGGGTCTCACTATGTTGCCAAGGCTGGCCTCAAACTCCTGGCCTCAAGCAATCCTCCTGCCTCAGCCTCCCAAAGTGTTGGGATTACAGGTGTGAACCACCGCATCCAGCCCTGATTTTTAAGCATTGGTCAGCTTGCTGTCAAAAGCTATCTCGAGCAAGTTTTCTTGACTGTTTCAATCCTCACACTCCCAAATGAGATCTTAGATATATTTTTAATATAGTGATACAGCAACTGAAACTTTGCTTACTAATCCATCCTCTCACCTTTACCCTACACCAGCAACATAAGGCAGGGAAACAAGTGGTTAGGAAGAAGTGTCTAGGTCCGGAGCTGTTTATTATCTGGCAATTTAGAGATGAATATCCACTAGAGAGACAACTCAGAAAGGAAAAATGCTTTCTTCACGAAATGAGTCAAGATTAGTGCTCTCAAAGTGTCAAATTTATGATAACAGAGGAATATGAATTTCTTATTTAGACCAGATAAATGTTTTTATGACAATTAGTCCTTGAATTCATGACCTGTGTTTGGTTACAGAGAGTAAGGCACCCATGGCCCGGAGTGACATGCTGCTCTCCTTATACTTCCTTCCCTTATCCTCAGGACTTAAGCTTAAACTGCCTCCTTTCCTGTGGGAGCCAATGGACCCTAACACCAGAACTCTCCCCTTCTGGCTGCAGAGCAGCAGTACTGAGTACATGAGTCAAGCCACTGATACCCCATGGAGCTTGAGAATGTGAAACTTACCATATACAAGAAAAAACTTAGGGAGACTGAAATTTGACTATTTCTCCAAGGAAGGTGGTAGATTCCAAGAGAAAGGGGGATTGGATGGGGAAGCAGAAGGAGAAGAGGTTAAAAGGAGAATAAAAATGAGAGAGAAGATAGGAAGAAAGGAATGTCTATGAGGGATGCCCTCCGAAAGCATAAGCAGTAAGATCCAGCCCTTTGTAAAAGGTACAAAGGAGAAAATTATCTAAAAGAGGCACAACCCTTTATCTCTACCTGTGTCTGCTTCCCTCTATATTAGCCACTAGTCTTTTAGATGTAAGGGGTAGAGACTAAAACCAGCTGAAGTGATAAATGAAATGTATTGACTTATATAACCAAGAGGTCTAGAGGTGATCTAACTTCAGGCCTGGCTGAGTCTAGGATTTCAAATTATAAGGACTATTAATTTTTTGTCACCTCTTAGTTCTATAGGTACCTGGGTCCATTGGCTTCACTCAGATTTTGTCCATATGACCCAAAGATGATCACCAATTGTCCCTGGCTTATACTATCCTTAAAGAGAAAAGAGAGAACCTTCTCTCCCCACCACATCATTCAGTCCATATCAGTCCCTGAAGAGGATTCTGCTGAGGTCACATGCCCCAGTGTTCTATATCCAGGAGGATGGGGTATTCTGGTCGGTCAAGTGGAGTCATGTGCCCACAGTAATCAGCAGATGTGGGGGAAGGACATTTCCCAGAAGGAAGGCTTGAAGCACAGCCATCCCAAACAGCCCCCAACTCCATCTAGCTAGAATACTTTTCTAAACTCCTCAATAGAAGGCTGTTTTAACATCCATGGCCAGGCGCAGTGGCTCATGCCGGGCCTGGTGGCTCACGTCTGTAATCCCAGCACTTTGGGAGGCCAAGGCAGGTGGATCACTTCAGGCCAGGAGTTCGAGACCAACCTGGGCAACATGGTGAAACCCAGTCTTTATGAAAAATACAAAAATTAGCCAGGCGTGGTGGCGAGCACCTGTAATCCCAGCTGCTCTATAGGCTGAGGCATGAGAATTGCTTGACCCTGGGAGGCAGAGGTTGCAGTGAGCTGAGATCGCGCCACTGCACTCCAGCCTGGGTGACAAAGCGAGACTCCGTCTCAGAAAAAAAAAAGAAAAAGCCATGGTGTTTTGGTGTACATTTAGTAGGGGAAAGGAACACTGTGGGTTTGATGCCATGGTGGGCATTGAGGACAGGGGTCAAGGGTCAGGGGTCATCCTCTCAGGACTCTTTGCACTTCATGGTGGACCACTAGATGATGAAGACAATCTACACAGACATTGCAATTTAGATTTTTTTAAATCAAAGGGTCACTCAACTGTACCACCTCCCCAACTTGCCCTCCTTACCTCCCCAGCTAGTAACGAGAGACACACCTGTGAGACAGAAAAAGAAGGTCTCTTGACGCAGATTATGTAATTACATCAGCCATGTTTATTCTTTCATACTCTCAGTTCCCTAATTTCCTTTTCTCTTCATTGGGGTAAAAACCAAAAAGACAGAAAGTAGAGGGACCGCAGCCATATTATTCATAATTCCTCTGTGATAACTCCATGATGCCCCTTATTTTTAAGTGAGGGGGTTTTCTGACAGCTGGCTTTTTAAATTCATCTACTAGACAGTTTAAATTTAATGACCAATTTCTTTTTAATAATCTTAGCAGGCCCCCCTAGAGTTTCAGCCATTTAAACAGAACATAACAGAAATTTCCAAAGAAATAAAAGGTGATTTCTTTATACAGCTTCTCACATTCAAACACATTTGCATACATGGCCCATCTGAAAAGCTAGAACTAATGAAATTATGAATGAGATTCTCATTTTTCTATTCTCAGAATCCTCTCCCTCCTGGCATCTTTCAAAACTCTAATCTGAAATTATTCCCTCCAGGAAGTTATCCTTGATTAATCACTCCCAACTCTAATTATGTATTTCTTCATTATATAAACAAGAGCTGTGGATACAGTTCCAGTTAGGTTCACCTTCTCTCGTTCATATATGGATTTAAAGTTTCCTGAGTCTTGGGATGTGAGTGTGTTCTTGGGCAGGGATGTCTTCTGTCTCTGTGTAGCCATTCCTTCCCTCTACCCTCATCCCCAGGACTGCTTTAAGCAAAGACAAAAGAGGAACTTATTTACTGGTGTAATAAAAAATCCTGGGCCCTGCAAATTGCCAGAACTGAAGTGAAATTTGAGCTCTGCTGATACTAGCGGTATGGGGGAAAAGTTAATTTTTTTAAAGCTTGATTTTCTTACGTGAAAAAATGATAAATTCTTTAGAGCTCTTGTGATAAGATATGTATTCAAAAACACTTAAGGATGCTTGTAGATCTTTTTAAAAGTATTTGTTTCCTTAGTGATATGATTGCAGAAGCTACTGAGTCCATGAAATATATTTTTCATCTGTTGTTGACATCTGAAATTCTTTTCCAGAAGACAAAAGCCATTTATGCCAAATTAGAAATAAGATTGAGGCCAGGCACAGTGGCTCACACCTATAATCTCAACACTTTGGGAGGCTGAGGCAGGTGGATGACTTGAGCCCAGGAGGTCGAGACCACCGTGGGCAACATGGCAAAGCCCTGTCTCTACCAAAAAAAAAAAAAAAGTACAAAAATCAGCTGGGTGTAGCCTGTGGTCCCAGCTACTTGAGGTGGGAGGATTGCTTGATCCTGGGAGGCAAAGGTTGCAGTGAACCAAAATCATGCCACTGCACTCTAGCCTGGATGACAGAGTGAGACCTTGTCTCAAAAAAAAAAGAAAAAGAAAAAGAAATAAGGTTGAAATTGCAAATAATCTTGGCGTAAGTAACAATGAACTTAAATACATTCACTCTGCCAGGCATGATAAATACCTGGCCATACATCCCTTCACTGATCCTTCCCCTACCCGTGATTGACACCATAAATTGGTCGGAATAGAGTGTCCCACTCAGCCCACTGCGTGCCTCAGAACTCTCAACACAGGGCTCTCTAGACAGACACTACCCATCAATTAGAGTTTGGGAGGGTCCAGTCGTGCTAAGACATACATCATTGACACCGTTACTCTCTGAAGAGCAGGGTTTGCTTAGAGGATGAGGAGAAGATTAAAGGAAGGGATAAAAGAGCAGCCACTGCTGGATGTGGTAGTGACAAAGGGTACTAGGAAAGAAGGTGCAATTTCTCTAGCCTGATAAGTTTTCTAAGATGTCCCCATGACCCAGAGAGGCATTGCTCAGGGCCCAAGTGAAAGGTTTGGCCCATGAACACGCTGCTTCTTGACCTAGCTCCTCATTTTCACATCTTCGCTGTCCTTACTCTTCGTTGTCAACGTTGACCCACTTCTCCGTTCCAAAGTCCCCCATGTATAACTCCTTTGGTTCTGAGAGGAAATAGGGGGTGGGTTATCTCTAAGGTCTACTCCAAGTCCAGACCCTGCGCTCCATGTTGCTGACTCAGGGTCCATTCTCCACTCAGCTTTCCCTTCTGGATTGACACTTCCACCAGCGGATTCCCAATAACCGGCTGATGATGAGCAAGCCCTGGCAAGCCTCTCCACACCCCGACCCCACAGGCTTCTGCCACCAGGCATAGTCTGATAAGTGGTGGGATGAGATGTAGACTAAAATGGTGAGCCTCGTAATGTTGCCTTGATCCTCACGAGCCTGGATGAGGCCATCCACAGAGTGACAGCCAAATACATGGAGGTCAACTCAAAGTGACTTAGGGGTGGCTAAAGTTAATGACTGTTGAGTATAATTATCTCTCCTACAAATGAACTGTGTGTTTACAAGCTTATCAGGTCTCTTTTCTGAACCTTGGTTTTCTGCTCTGATCAGCGAGGAGGGCTGAACTACTGTGGAGAAACAAACCCCAAGGCTCTGTAGAGAATGGATGGGCCATGGGTGGGCTCTGTGGGGAGACATTCCAGGGCTCCCTAGCTGTGGGAAAGAGTCCAGGAGCTAGTACAGTTTTGCCTGCCCTTTGTTTTCACCAATTCTCATCAGATTCAAGAGAAGCTCTTCTCACAGTAGGGTAGTGCCAAGAAGAGTCAGATGTGAATACCTCACATCACTCTTCATCCATCCATTCATCAGTCCATCCATCCATCGTTTTCATTCATTCTATACATACATACATTATTGTATACATATATCCGTTCTATACATTATTCATATGTAAATATGAAAATACGTAAATATGAATAACATGTCAGGGCACTGGGATACAATAATAAATATGCATATTTATTCATATGTAAATATGTAAATATGAATAATATGTCAGGGCACTGGGATGCAATAATAAACTAATCAGATGTCACCACCACCTTAGGGAGCTACAGTTTATTGTAGGTATAGACAATAAGCAAGTGAGGTGACAAATAAACTAATTACTAATTGTGAAGTTCCTGAGGAAACAAACAGGGTGGTATGATAGAAAATGGTCAGGTGCCCAACGCCCCGCACCCCCGCCGGCCGCACTTAGCGGAGCTTTGCTGGGGAGGCGCCGGCGCGGCGGCTGCGCAGCTCGAAGTTTCCGCGCGAGGTGGGCGGGCCGGGCTGGGCCGGGCGCTGCGGGGCCGGGACCTGGTCTTGGAGCTCTGCGACCGCGCGCTCGCCCTCCCGCGGCGTTTGCAGGCGCCGCCGCCCCTTCCGCCCCTTGCGCGGGACTGCGACCTGAAAAAGTGACTTTTACTCATGTGAGCTGCCTTCAGAGAAGCCTCCTCCAGAAACAGGAGAATGCGTGGCTCTCTAGTGTGGTCCCATCTCTGCAGGGTTTGTGGATGTTAAGGGTCCCAAACCTGCACCCGATGTCACAGGCACATTACTGCCGTAAGGAGCATGGATGCCACACTGGAGATTGACACAGGAGCAGGCTCGGACACAATAGGAGTTTGCACGATGCAGGTCCTTTTTTTTCCCCAGAATTTGACATTGTAGCAGAAACAGAAAATGAGATTACACATGAAATTGTGGAAAAGGAGGGCGACTCAGAGATCACAGGGAGCGTGGGTGAAGCCCTGGAGAAGGGACTGGATTCCATGGTGAAGCGCGAATCCGGGATAGACACAATTTCCCAGAAGTTTAGCACTCAACTACCCCTTGAACCAGAACGGATTCTCAGATAAAGGCAGAGGGCTTGCTGCCATTTGGACTTCTGGTGAAAATATCTTTCAAGAAAAGGGTATTCCAGACTGCCTCTGTGTTGCCAAGAGAATGTTTGAATTCCAGGCCCTGCAGCTGGCCCTGAATCGCCTGAAGGCCACAGACCAGGCAGGAGTGCTGACCGCGCGGCCTCCTGGACGGCTTGTCCTGCGAGGAACACTGAAGCTTAGGAGAATTTGTAAGGACGCAAGATGTAACAGATCCTACCCAAAGACAACATCTTAAAGCCTTAAGAACGTTAATAATCTTATACCTTGCAATTCCATTTCTAGGACTTTCTCCTAAGGAAATAATTATATCAGAGATAGAGGTACAAAGATATTGCTTGAAGCATTGTTTACAATGTCTGAATATTAGTAAAACAAAAAAAATGTCCAATGACGGAATTAAAGAGATTTTGGTACACACACCCACACGAAGAAGGAAAAACATGAGCAACCTCCTTTGGACAGATGGGACTGTGCAATGCCTCTCTAAGAAGGTGACATTTGGGTCGGCATCTAAAGAATGGTCTTTAGGAACCAGCCACACAAATGGGCAAGAGGAAGCAAGTAGGAAAGGTTCAGGCCAGAAGGAATTAAGCGCCTAAGAAGTTAAACAAAACCCAGTGGGGCTGGAGCAAAGGAAGCTGGGGAAAGTGACTGATATAGTTTGAATATTTGTCCCCACCCAGATCTCCTGTTGAGATGTAATCTCCACTGTGGGAGGTGGGGCCTGCTGGGAGGTGTTTGGATCCTGGGGGCAGATACTGCATGAATGGCTTGGGCCATCCTCTTGGTGATGAGTGAGCTCTAGCTCTGAGTTCACAGGAGATCTGATTGTTGAAAAGTGTGTGTGGCGGGGCTTGGTGGCTCACGCCTGTAATCCCAACACTTTGGGAGTCCGAGGTGGGTGAATCATGAGGTCAAGAGATCGAGACCGTCCTGGCCAACATGGTGAAACCCTCACATGGTGAAACCCAGTCTCTACTAAAAATACAAAAATTAGCTGGGCTTGGTGGCGTGCGCCTGTTGTCCCAGCTACTTGGGAGGCTTAGGCAGGAGAATCTCTTGAACCCAGGAGGCGGTTCAAGAGGTTGCAATTAGCCGAGATTGCGCCACTGCACTCCAGCCCGGCAACAGAGCGAGACTCTGTCTCAAAAAAAAAAAAAAAGTGTGTGGCACCTCACCCATTCCAATTCTCTGTCTCTTCTCTCTCACTTGTTCCTGCTTTTGCCATGTGACCTGCCTGCTCCCCCTTTGCCTTCTGCCGTGATTGGAAGCTTCCTGAGGCCTCCCTAGAAGCTGAGCAGGTGCCAGCACCATGCTTCCTGTACAGCCTGCAGAACCATGAGCCAGTTAAGCCTCTTGACCAATTAAATGGCCTAATGTACTGACAACGGATGAATGTGAAGAGGTGAACAGAACTGCAGCCCACAGAATTCTGGGGCCTATAATAGGAAATTTGGGTAGATATTGAAGTGCTTTTAGGCAGGGTAGTTGTATTAGGCCATTTTTGTGTTGCTATAAAGAAGTATCTGAGGCTTGGTAAATTCATAAAGAAAAGAGACTTAATTGGCTCACAGTTCTGCAAACAGTACAAGAAACATGGTGCCAGCATCTGCTTCTAGCAAAGGCTTCAGGAAGCTTCCAACCATGGTGGAAGGTGAAGGGGTAGCAGGCATGTCATACAGTAAGAACAGGAGCAAGAGAGAAGGTATGGACAAGGTGCCACGTACATTTTTTTTTTTTTTTTTTTGAGACTGTGTCTCCCTCTGTCACCCGGGCTGAAGTGCAGTGCCATGGTCTTGGCTCACTGCAACCTTGACCTCCCGGCTCAAGCAACTCCCCCCGCTCAGCCTCCCGAGTAGCTAGGATCACAGGTGGATGCCACCGTGCCCAGCTAATTTTCTTGATTTTTTTATAGAGACAAGGTCTCGCCATGTTGCACAGTCTGGTCCTGAACTCCTGGTTTCAAGTGATCTTCCTACCTCAGCCTCCCAAAATGCTGGGATTACAGGCATGAGCCACCATGCCCAGACGCCACACACTTTTAAACAACCAGATCTCACAAGCACTCACTCACTATAGTGAGGACAGCACCAAACCATGAGGGATCTGCTCCCATGACCCGAACACCTACCGTCAGGCCCCACCTCCAACATTGGGGATTACATCTCAACATGAGATTTGGAGGGGACAAATATTAAAATCCCTCTCTGGTAACTGTGTGCAAATTGGGTAGGAATGGGTCAAGAATAGAAGAGAGGACACCAGTTAAGAGACTAAATGAGAGGGAATAGTGGCTGAGAGAATAGTCTGGAGAAGGGGACCGTCATGTATGTTCTGGAGGTTGACACTGTAGGACTTGCTGATGCACTGAGAGTAGGGCATCAGGGGGAGAGATAAGAGTTGACTCCATGCTTCCAGATCATCGTGCCATTGACTCAGATGAAGGTTCTCAGGAGAAGAACCATCAGGGGCAGGGGTGTGTAACTTTTTGCAGAACAGGTTTGTATGTCTTTCAGTGGCCAATTTCTTCTATCCAGGGGGAATTCTGGGGATGAACTGAGAGAAAAGCAAGATTGAGAACAAAAGGGAATGTGTGCTTTATCTTTGACTGATTGGTTGATTGATTCATTGATTCATTCATTCAACAGATATATGTTGGATACCAATCATGTGCCAGACTTGTCATGTGTGATAAGTGCTATGAATAAAGCGATGTGAGGAGTAAAGAATTAAGAGACAGTGTGTGTGAATGTGTAGGAGGTGGTTTGCTGTTGTATATATGGTGGTTAGTCAAAGCCTCTCTGATAAGGTGACATTTGATTGGAAAGCTGAAGGAGGTGAGGAAGTAAACCACCTGCATATCTGGGGGCATCCTAGGCAAAGGAACTATGAGTGCAAAGGCCCTGCTTGTTTTGTTCCTGGAGCAGCAGGGAGGCCTGTGTGGGTAGAGTGGAGTGATGGAGGGGTGCACAGTGGGAGGTGAGGCCAGAGAGGTAGTGGGGGCCAGGTCTTATAGGGCCTTAGAAGGTCATTATAAGAAATTTGGATTTGACTGTGGGTGAGATGGGGAGCCACTGGAATGTTTCTACCTTTATTGAGGACCCACTAACGAGTCCCATTTGCATTCCTTGTTCCTATTAAATGAAGAGAGTTTCAACCTTGGCTAGTTTGCAGTGAAGCATAAGAAATAGATCAATATCTCACACTATTAGGATGTCTACTGTCAAGAAAAATAGAAAATAAGTGTTGGTGAGGATGTGGAAAAATTGGAACCTTTGTGCAATCTTGATGGGAATGTAAAATGGTGCAGCAGTTATGGAAAACGATATGGAGGTTCTTCAAAAAATTAAAAAATAAGATTACCATATAATCCAGCAATCCCACCTCCGAGTATATATTCCAAAAGAATTGAAAGCATAGCCTTGAAGAGAGATTAGTACACCCATGTTCATAGTAGCATTATTCAAAATAGCTAATAGGTGGAAGCCACTCAGCTGTCCATGGATGGAAGAATGGATGAACAAAATGTGCTATATACAAACGGAGAAATATTATTCAGCCTTGAAAAGAAAGGAAATCTGGTCAGGCATGGTGGCTCATGCCTGTAATCCCAACACTTTGGAAGGTCGAGGCAGGCAGATTGCTTGAAGCCAAGAGTTCGAGACCAGCCTGGGCAACATAGTGAGTCCCTGTCTCTATAAAATTTTAAAAAATTAGTCAGGCATGGTGGCACGTGCTTGTAGCCATAGCTACTCAGGAAGCTGAGGCAGGAGCATTGCTTGAGCACAAGATTTGGAAACTGAAGTGACCTATGATCATGCCACTGCACCCAGCCTGAGCAACCGAGCAAGACCCTGTCTCTAAAAAAAGAAAGGAAATCCTGTCACATGCTGCAACATGAATGAATCTTGACGACATTATGCTAAGTGAAATAAGCCAGTCACAGAAAGAACAAATACTATATGATTTCACTTATATGAGGTATCAAATGTAACTAAGTCCATAGAGACAGAAAGTAGTATGGTGGTTGCCAGAGGCTGGAGGCAGAAGGAATAGAGTTGTTGTTTAACGGGTATAGTTTCAGTTTTGCAAGATGAAAACATTTTGGAGACTGCACAATGTGAATATACTTAACACTGCTGAACTCTACACTTAAAAGGGGTTAAGATGGTAAACTTTATATTATGTATATTTTAGCACCGTTAAAAAAACTTATTATTGGAAAATAATGACTTCTTAAATCAAGATTAATAGCATGTAACCCACACACTACTTTGTTTGAAAAAAAAAAAGATCAAGAATAATGACATAAGTGTATGTACATATTAATAAAAACTGCCTAAGCCAAAAAATATCAAGTATCTCTTACGTAAGCCATTTCACCCCTAAGCAGCTTGAGATATAATATCTGCAGGTGGCAAATTCTGCTATCAGGGACACAATTTAGGAAAAATGGGAAAGCATCCATCATTCTTTCAAAGTTTCTCAACTACCAAAAATCTTATCCATTCCATTCAACCAAACAGCATGTATTGACCCTTGACTACATTTATAGCAATATGCTAGGTACCATGGACATATACAGACAGATAAGACACCCACCAAAACTTCTCTCTCCCCTTTCCCTCTCTCTGAGTCAAAAATCTCTTCCTTCCCTTTGATCTTTGCCTAATTTTCTCTTTGCCACGCCTAAGATATGGTTTCTTTGCTCATACAGTCTTGGTCCATGTTTCTCTGAGCCTCTGAGACCTGGAAAATTGATATTGGCTGGTTGTTGGTAGAACTATTTGCTCTTCTTGAGTGTCATTTTTCCTTGCTACCATCCTTAGTAGGCTGCAGGCTAACCCTTCATTTCCTTTTAGGTGCTGCTTCAATTCCTCTTGCCTCTGATAATTCTCAAAGAAGACCTACAATATATTCAGGCCACTGCCCAATTTTAGAGACATTTCCACCCTAGTTGTCATGGTCAATGTCTGAGCTTTAATGCTTCCTCCTGAGCCGTGGTTCATCCAGCTAAGTCATGCTTAATGATAATTAGAAAAGAGGTGACCGACAGGGGGATTTGAGTCCATGGCTTAGTCATCAGGGAGAGATATTTTTTACTGCTAACTCATATGACAAATCTGTGAAGCACTGTTGGCTACCGTAATTTATTTTATTGAAGTAAGAGGTTGTGTTTTTTCTAACTTTTCAGTTGAGCTTACTGACCTGTATAAAGTCAGCAAAATCAGGTAATTTTGTGTACGCATCTTTGTAGAATCTACACTAAATACTGGCAATTGAGATGAAGTGGATACAGTTGGTGTTCTTTAAATATTTACATCCCAAAGCTGATACAATCACAAAACAGTTCACCACAATGCCATGAAATATTGTATGCTCATGGATTATAATGACTGATTAATTCACAATTGCTTCCCAGGTAAGTTTTAGAAACTAAGCACCAAGGCTCCCCTCTTTGCAGACCTACTGGCCTACCCTGGAATTGCCAGGTGCTCAGCCACTGATCACAATAACAGTGAGAACATTCAGTAGCACCTTCCTAAGTCTTTGGCTTAGTTTTCCAACTGTTGTACTCTGGACTCCCCTCTTTAGTGACTGGTAACTTGGCGTTTTAATTCAATATTAGGCTTCAGATGGCTATAATGTGTTAAGTAACTCTTTTTCACAATGCACATTTATTGAGTTCTCTCTTAATATTCATCAGACATTCCTTAAGAGGCCTCTCAATGGCATGGAAAGGCAATCTGGTTTTGCAGCACATATCTGCACACATCTGTCCATTCCTCAGGAGAACTATAACCACAGCCTGAGTCCCTCCATTTTTCCATATTGCCTTTGGGAGCAAATTTTAAAAACTTAATCCTGCATTTGATAGGTCACTAGCATTTATCTGAGTAACAAGGCCAGTTTCCTGCTGTGCTAAACCTTTCAAAATCATACAAAGCTTCACCTGTATGTTCCTAATCCCACTTCCACATCCTGGCATGGAGTTTGATGTCATAGCCACATTGCATGGGTTTATCCTGCAGAGTGCAAGAGGAAAATCATTCTGGATTTTAGAGAAGAAAATCCAAGACAAGAAACAGAGGTAGCAAGAGAGAGATGTCACTGGTGCACCACTAAAGAAAAACCTCAAGCTGCCAACGTCAGCTCTACAGAGAAATGGGGACTGAAACCAAAGAGAGGGATTTCAGACCTGTGTCAGCTGAAATCTAAAATGCAGTCATTCATTTAGACAATAGCTAGGAAGTTATTTTTATGTATCAGTGACTTTGAAAATGCAATATCAATCATGGTGTTATTTCTCTTGGACCTGGGGCGAAAGGACTCAAGTGGAAGGTTCCCATTACCACAGCGGTATTTCAGGGAGTGAGGAATTTGGGAGGGAGGAAAAACAGTATGTCCCTCATCTGGGGATTTTCTCTCCTCATAACTGATCTTTTAAAATCCTTTATGTAGGGATTTTGCAAACTGACTATGAAAAGGAAAGCCCCACTATCTCTTACTGTGCCATCAACTCACACTGTAAAAGGAGCAAAAAGTGTTTTAAAAGCCAATTTGACCAGAGCTGACTTATTTTACTTTGTTTATCGACAGATGTCAATATCTTTATATTTCTTATCTCCCCAGTGGACTGTAAGCTTCGGGAAAGGCAATAGCTCTGGAATAGTTACTGCGCTACTGGAGTAGTGCCCATCAGACTGTGTGTAAATGAGACTTGGCTGTCAGTCACCCTGGGAGGCGATGCACATTCATTCTCAGGATGCTGCTATTGCTCAACTGATTTTTAGAACTCTGAGAGGGAAGAATTTTCTAACCCTTTCCATTTGCCTTTAGAATTGGTTCATATGTCACCCCAAAATCAATTTTTTATACTTTATAATCATCATATTCCTTTTTTTTTTTGAGATAGAGTCTTGCTTTATTGCCCAGGCTGGAGTGCAGTGGCGCGATGTGGGCTCACTGCAACCTCCGCCTCCTGGGTTCAAGCGATTCACCTGCCTCATTCTCCCAAGTAGCTGGGATTACAGGCATGAGCCACCATGCCTGGCTAATTTTTGTATTTTTAGTAGAGACTGGGTTTCACTATGTTGGCCAAGTTGATCTCAAACTCCTGACCTCAAGTGATCTGCCCGCCTTGGCCTCCCAAAATGCTGGAATTACACGAGTGAGCCATGTCTAGCCACATTTCATTTTTCAAAAAAGCTTTATTGAGGTATAATTTACATATAATAAAATGCACTCACTTTAAGTGTACGATTAGATGATTTTTAGTAAAGTCACAAGTATGCAACCCTCACCACAATCCAATTTTAGAACACCTCCATCGCCTATTCCCATCCCTAGCCCCGGGCAACCACTAGTCTACTTTCTGTCTGCATAGATTTGCCTTTTCTGGATACCTCGTATAAATGGAATCCTATCATATATGATCTTTTGCGACTGGCTTATTTTGCTTAGCATAATGTTTTCAAGGTTCATCCATGTTGTAGTGATGCAGATGCACCCCAAAACTGGAGCTTAGCTTGGTGGGTTCTTGGTTTCACTCAGAAAAGAATTCAAGAATCAGCTGACAGTGAAAGAAAGCAAGTTTATTAGAGCAACAGTGTACATCACAATGGCTGCTCCATAGAGCAGGGCTAACCCATAGGCAGAGCAGGGCTAACCCGTAGGCAGAGCAGGGCTAACCCGTAGACAGAGTGGCCCAGAGCAGCAGTGTACAGCAAGGTGGCCACTCCATAGGCAGAGCAGTGCTGTCCCATAAACAGAGCAGCCTAGAGCAGCAGCAGCAGCTGCAGTCCCAAGCAGGAGCAACAGCTGCCACAGCTGTCACAGATTGCTGGCCAGCTATATTTTTGCCTACTCTTAACTAAGTGCTAATTATGGGATTATTCAGAATTTTCTCGAAAAGGGGCGGGGAAGTTCCTGGAACCATGTAAGGCAACTTCCCACTCGTTACCATGGCATTTGTAAACTGTCTTGGCACTAGTGGGAGTGTCTTTATGCTAAGGAGCAGTGAGGGCAACTAGAGGTTGCTTTCGTCACCATCTGCTGGTTTCCGCCAGTTCCTCTGCTACATCCTGTTTTGATCAGAAGGGTCTGATTGGAAAACAAGTCCATCTACCTCAGTAGCATGTATGAGTACCTCATTTCTTTTTAGGGCTGAATAATATTCCATTGTATGGATATTATCACATTTTGCATAGGCATGGACATTGGAGTTGTTTCCAGTTCAGGGTTATTATGAATAAAACTACTCTGAATATTCACATATGTTTTTGTGTGGACTTATTTTTTTAAAATCAGAAAATATATTCCTCAATTTTATCTTGCCTCTACTCTCAGTGGCTTCGCAACATTGAACATATTCAAAAGAATGAACCATAGGCTCTGAGGTGATGCCCAAAGAAAAGATGTTCTAAAAATACTTTCTACGCAGATAACACCATTGGATTAAGAATATTATCTCCTGAAGGCCGGGTGTGGTGGCTCACGCCTGTAATCCCAGCACTTTGGGAAGCCGAGGTGGGAGAATCACAAGGTCAGGAGTTCGAGACAAGCTTGACCAACAGGGTGAAATTCCGTCTCTACTAAAAATACGAAAATTAACCAGGCGTGGTGGTGTGTGCCTGTAATCCCAGCTAGGAGAATCACTTGAACCCGGGAGGAGGGGTTGCAGTGAGCTGAAATTGCACCACTGCACTCCAGCCTGGGCAATAGAGTAAGACTCCATCTCAGAAAAAAAAAAAAAAAAAAGAGTATTATCTCCTGAAATAATTGTTCTAAAGATGACAATACTCATTTGATATATAAACATAGGTGTATTGTTTGTAAATAGTTAATCTCATGTGTACAACTTAATTACAGCACGCTTGTGAATCTGCAACAGTTTAGCACAGTATTTTGCAGATAGAAGCTGCTTGATAAATATTTGCTGACTGAGTTTTTAAATGCCCATAGTGGTTCCTCTTGGAAAGTAAAATATCAAAAGTTTCAATGTTTAACAGCCTTTTCCCATTTTGTATAAACAAAGCCAAAGCCCTCCGAGAGAACATGACAAGCTATCCAAAGAGCTCCAAGTCACAATTATCTATCAGACAGCCTTATTGATCTTCCTTCAACTTGAGAGGCCTCAGGCAAAGCAATTGCTCTGTAGGCTTGGAGGGGCAGGAAGCATTTGTGTGGGGCCTGTGGGAGCATTGGTTTCACCACTGAATTATGCCTCCATGAGAAACAGCCAGAGGAGCCCAGCTCTTCTCGGCAAGGGCCCTGCCCCTTGCTGGCACGTTTTCTTAGAAGTTGACTGGCCCGGATCCAACATTGGCTAACTTCCTCTCGGTTGCTCCCTTGCACACTGTTCCAAGCCTGTGTGGTCAGATTTGGGCTGTTAACTCAACAGACTCCAACCACAAGGAAACTAGAACCACCCGGTGTCCCCTCTTGCTGACATTCTAGCCACCTTGTTGGCTCTGGGCAGCTGTGAATGCATCTGGGCCTGTGGTCTGTGGGCTCTGAGGCAGCACTCAATGAAATCCCATCTTTAATTGGACAAATGAAGTGTCCTCCTCTGGGTTTCCCCAGTGCTCAAGAAAACAGTGTATGAGAAATGTAGCCAGCGTGTCCACCCACAGCATGAGCTCTTGTGTGCCTCTTCCTTAGAATGGCCGCCCAGGCAGTAGGACCACAGCCCCCAGCACAGGAGAACCCTTCATCCAGGTGTTCAATGCCTCAATAGTTTTCCACTGTCATGTAATCATAAGTTGATTCTGTTTTAATTTTCAAAGCACTTTTTCAAATAGATATCAAGTCACTATTAGCACAGATTTTATAACATTTTAAAATGTATTTAAATAATTATAATTATTTCCCATCACAAAATATTAAATTGCATTCTTACTAGATATCAATTAAAAAATCAATGCACTCAACATTTTCTTGTTTCTTCATTACTTGTTTATCTCCCTTAAAAAAAACTATCAGGCCAGGCGTGGTGGCTCATCCCTGTAATCCCAGAACTTTGGGAGGCCAAGGCGGGTGGATCACCTGAGGTCAGGAGTTCGAGACCAGCCTGGCCGATATGGTGAAACCCTGTCTCTACTAAAAATACAAAAATTAGCCAGGTGTAGTGGCACACGCCTGTAATTCCAGCTACTTGGGAGGCATGAGAATTGCTTGAACCCAGGAGGCGGAGGTTGCAGTGAGCCAAGATCATGCCTTGGCACTCCATCCTGGGCAACAGACCAAGACTCCATCTCAAAAAAGAAAAAAAAAGTATATATATTACTCATTAGCCAATTAAAATTTTTTTCTAGCATTGCTGCTGTCTTAACAACTCTATTCTTAGAATATTAGAGTGCTCTCTACACCTTCCTTTTTTTTTTTTTTTTTTAAATAATAATCCCTAGAAGGCCAGGCACAGTGGCTCATGCCTATAATCCCAGCACTTTGGGAAGCTGAAGTGGGAGGATTGCTTGAGGCAAGGAGTTTGAGACCAGCTTGGGCAACATAGCAAGACCCCATCTAAAGAAATAAATGTGCAATAACTGAATAAAATATTTAGTGTTTGTCTTTGACTTTGTGGCTCACTCTCTGCAGGGCACCTTTATGTTTGTTTGCCTATGTCCACACCTTCACCTCTCTCCTGGTGATACTCTGCTCCCTCCTCTGTCCGTGTGATCTGGGTGATTCTTTCCTCTTCTTACCCAACTATGACTTCCCCACCCAGGAATTGGCAGTGACCCAATTTGACTAATCAGAGCCCTTTTCCAGCTGGAACTGAAGGGGGAGAGGGCTTTTTGCTCTGGGATGAAAATATTCTGTTATTTGTTTAAGAAAGTCCCAAATGGGTTTTATCACTTGCAACAGAAAGCCTTGACTTACATACTTACCTTTCCCTACAATCCTGGTCACAGTCTTTCCAGTCCTGGAACTTTATTACTGACTATTTTTTTTGAGTCAGGGTCTTTCTCTGTTGCCCAGGCTGGAGTGCAGTGGTGCGATCTCAGTTCACTGCAGCCTTGACCTCCCGGGCTCAAGCTATCCTCTTGCCTCAGACTCCTGAGTAGCTAGGACCACAGGTGTGTGCCATCACATCCAGCTAATTTTTTTAAAATTACGAAATTTTTAAGGTGGTACTCACTTATTCTCCCCATATTTCCCAGGCTAGTCTCAAACTCCTGGGCTCAAGCAATCCTCCTGCCTCAGCCTCTCAAAGTGCTGGGATTATAATTACTGATTTTTTTACTTAGCACATTTTTAAACTGTCATGATACTTTTGCTTTGTTTTCTTTTCATTTTATAACCTAATGATTTTTAGTGGCTCTGAGGATCACCACAGATGAGAGATAAGAATAGGAAGGTGTTTAGAAACTCCATCACTGTGGGACATTGTAGAGAACTGGGTGTTCAACTAGGAAAAAGAACAAAACAGCCTAGAGGAAGGGGTGGTAGATATAAAGCTAGTTGCAATTATCCGAAAAGCTTTTAGGTGGAGAGAGTTATTGTTTGTCATCCTGTAGGGCCATTGATTGCTGTAGTTGGAATTTATGGAGAGGCTGACTTCTGTTCTTTATAAAGAGAATATACTTTCTAATAACCAAGGTGTCCCAAAAATGAAACAGGCCTCCACTCAAAAATTAAGAATCCCAGGACTTAGATGTTATCTTTTTAAGGACTCCTGGGCTAGGAATGTAACCTCAAAGATCCTTTTAGTTCTTCAAAGTCTGCGATGTTGAGATGGAGATGAAGGTGAAAATGTTGCTGGTGAGAGAGCTCAGGAATTCTGCCTACGGTTCGAACCAGCCTCTGTCTTATATAGAAACAGGTCCAGATCCCATATCCTGCCATGATCATTAATTTCTCTGACCTCATTCTCTTTCAGTGTTGCCTGTTATAATTTTT